>NC_000008.11:21375254-21678284 GCF_000001405.40 Homo sapiens | reverse complement strand
TGTTCATTACAGAAAATGTCCCTTCCATACGGATATATAAGACCCTAGATCTTAGTACGGGAAAAATAGTCTTCCTTGATGTTAGAGCATGATGGAACAGATCTTATTGTCCCTTTGTGCTTTGGTTGCCAGAAAACACAGTTAAGTTTCTGCTCAAGAGCTGTGATGTCTGACATACTTGTACTGCCCAACCTCCTTTTACAAATTTCTCAAGGAAAGCTTCTCTGGCTCCCCAAGGCTGGGAAAGAGGCCACCTTTAATGGTCCTGGATGACCCATGCCCACTTCTATCTGAACACTCTCAGGCTGATTGTCTTATTTTTTTTTTCTCAACACACAGATGCACATATACACAGACTTTAAGTTCCTTAAGGCCATGGAGTGTGTCATTCTGCCCAGTACACCCAGCACAGAACACATGGTGTCTGAAACTTATGATATACTCCATGAATACTCATTGAATAAAGGGATAAATGAATGAACAAATGGTTAAAGAAAGCACTTTAGTTCAGTTTCATGTTTAATTATCCTTCCAATTCTACTCTATGGGTTTGATCTTTTACATTTGATATTTTGCAGTGATTGAACACTTTTGATTAGAAACAGAACTTCAGGCTGGGGACAGTGGCTCATGTCTGTAATCCCAGCACTTTGGGAGGCTGAGGCGGGCAGATCCTTTGAGGTCAGGAGTTCAAGACTAGCCAGACCAACATGGCGAAACCCCGTCTCTACTAAAAGTACAAAAAAATTAGCTGAGTGTGGTGGCACACGCCTGTAGTCCCACCTACTCGGGAGGCTGAGGCAGGAGAATCGCTTGAACCTGGAGGCAGAGGTTGCAGTGAGTGGAAATTGCACCATTGCACTCCAGTCTGGGCGACAGAGCGAGACTCTGTCTCAAACAAAAAAAAGAAACACAACTTTAAACCTTTTTGGAATTATGTGGGGTGTAAGTAAATGAATAAGCAACTGCATATCTCTTTCACAAAGCCTTCTTTGCCAACTCCAGCCAATGAGCCCCTTGTGCTCAAGAATGTAGATCTGGAGTGAAGCAGGACATGTGTTTCTATTCTGTGCTGTCATGTGACAGCTGTGTGAACTTGGGCACGTTTTTCACCTCTCTGACCTTGTGTTTCCCTGCTTATAAAATGGAGGTAGCAATATTTCTTGCAGAGGGTAGTGGAAGATTAAACAAGACAGCATAAGTGGGTAACAGAATTCTTGACCCATAGTAAGTGCTCAGCAAATTTTTATGATGAGTGAAAAAAAAAAAAGTTTCTGGTTCAGTGATTTGATGTGCCCTAAGTCCCGACATTTAGACTCAAATGTAAGCTCCTTGAGGCCAGGCACCTTAACTCTTCTTATGTCTTTTTTTTTTTTTTTTTTTTTTTGAGGCGGAGTTTTATTCTGTTGCTGCCCAGGCTGGAGCGTAGTGACAGGATCTCAACTCACTGCAACCTCTGCCTCCTGGGTTCAAGTAATTCTGGTGCCTCAGCCTCCCTAGTAGCTGGGACTACAGGTGTGCCCCACCACATTCAGCTAATTTTTTTTATTATTAGTAGAGACGGGGTTTCACCATGTTGGCCAGGCTGGTCTTGAAGTCCTGGCCTCAAGTGATCTGCCTGCCTAGGCCTCCCAAAGTGCTGGGATTACAGGTGTGAGTCACTTCACCTGGCCCTGTATGTCATCTTGACCACCTAGCTTGGTGCTTGGCATATTGGCTCTGCAAATCCCTAAATAAACCTCTGAACATCATTGGAGAGAAGGTTCAGGCATTCAGTCTGGTGCATAGACTCGTGGCACATAGTTCTGGGAGGGGCCTTTGAGATCAAGTGGTCTGACTCCCTATTACGTGGGAGAAATTGGGGTCTAGGCAGGTGCTGCCCTGGAGCCCAGGTCATTGGCACCAGGCAAGGATGCCTTTCCCCCCATGGTGCTGCTCCACCTGGCCATTAGCAGAGATGGCCCAGGAGATCAGCCCTCCCAGCACATGGCCTTGACCAGGCTGACACCAGGCTGCAGTAATTACCCGTGGCACAGACGTGGAGCTTCATGTTTTCAAAGTTCTATTTCATAGCCATGATCTCTTTTCAGTCCTCACAGGGAAGATATGAAGTAGGCTGAGCAGCTGTTTTTGTCTGGATTCCCCATGGGAAGCTTGAGGGCTGGAGAGGTTAAGCAATGGGTTGGAGCTCCCTCTGCCAGTTAGTGGCAGATCTGGGATAAGAACTGCAGTCGGTGAGCCCCAGTTCCATGCTCTCTGCCCTGTGCCTGGTGGGGATGCTGCCAGGGACGGCATCTAGAAGTTGGTACCGTCTCTGAAGTTTGCTGTGAAGAAGGTCAGAGCCTGAACCCAACCAGTGTAGCCCATGGAAACTGAGAGGGCTTGGCCTTTCGCTGAGTCCACCTTTGTCCCTGACTGACGTGGCATGATGGCATCAGGGGGAGACCAGGTCTAACTTTGAAGGCCTTGACTTGTCTCTGGGGCTGGGTTCAAAGTCAAAAGCTGTGACAGGCAGTGTTGCCAAAGGCCGTACTAATAACATGGCAGGGGAAGAGGACCGCGTGTGGAGAGTAAAGGCTCCATGCTCGTCTCTGAAGCTGTATCACGCTCACGAGCGCGCACACACACACACACACACACACACCCCCCTCCGTTTGGAGCGGGCACTGGACACACGCACAGATTGATATTTAGCAACTTTCCAAATGTGAATCGCAGTATAAAATTAAATCCACATTTAAGGGCTTTTAAAGCATAGCCTATTTCTTCAGCAGCTCTTTACGCAGCACTCGCTGATTTATAATCTAGGCGGTAACTCACTTCACACTGCTGAGAGCTGGGTGTTAACCCTTAGCTAGAAGAAACACAGGTCTTCCTGTGTGGACAGCGCAAGTCTAGCTCCCTGGGCCTATAAAACTGTAGGACAAAGGCGTTCTGGGAGATGCTACTGAGTCACCTCCCCGTCCATCCTGATGACCTACTTCCACTCCTGGTCCTCTGGAGTTCCTTGCTGGCTAGGAGCCTGACATGCAGGGAAACAGATTTATTCATTCAGCAACTTTCATCCAGAGCCTGCTATGTGCTGACTACGGGGCATCCAAAGGAGAAACTCCCTTCAGAAACTCCCTGAGGAGGCCAAGCTGGTAGCCTGGGCTTTCCCGTCTGTTGTGTAAGCAACTGTTGCCCATAAACTCTTGCACACCAGCCCCCTCCCCACACCATCCCAGGAAGAGAAGAGACACTTCGAAGTGCACCTTGGGAAGTCCCCAAGCCTTAGCCTATCCTCTTTCCCTTCAGGTCGGCAGGGTGTTCTCTGATGATTTTAAGTTAAGTCTGGTCTAGGGCCTTCTCAATACTTGGGCTTATGCAAGCAGATTTCTCTGTGGTCTCCTCCTAGAGAATGACTCAGGCCTTAGGGGGTGTTTCTTCCACTTCTGTTGGGGAGTATTTGTGCTAGTTATTTGCTGCTTCCATTACATAACCAGGCCTTTGTCAGCTGTTTTCCGATGGGACCGTCTGTGAAGTTGAGGTTTGCTGTTCAGGAAGCATTTCTGATACGTGCTCTGGGAAGTCCATGGTACTGTGATTTTGCATCTGCCCTCTTGGACTCCACATGCCACTGGCTGCAAACCCAGATTGCAGAAGCCCCAGAGAGCTCAGGCACTCTGCTGTGGAGGCAGCCTCTCCTAAGGAGGATGCATTCAGGAGATGCTCTGCATTCATCTGCAGAGGCAGGGCCCAGGACGCCTGGCTCTGGCCACAGCTGGAGTGGGGATGACTTATTGGAAAGGGGCAGAGTACAGTGGAAAGAGCTCTCCTTATAGAAAATGCCTCTGTTTATCTGTGCCCAGCCCGGGACCCTTTTGTTAAATGTAAACCCAAGCTTGAAACCTCATTAACTAAATTCTCATTAATGGCAATGACAGTAGCTAACATTAATTGAATGCATTTTAGGCACCAGATACTGGCTGGGCATTTCACCTGCATTATCTTATCTAGTCCTATTACAATCCTCTGAGAAGGTGCTATTCTTCTCTTCATTCTACAAGCATGGAAACTGAGGCTAAGAGAGGTTTACTACCTTGTCCAGAGTCACTTAGTTGGGGTAAGTGGTAGTGGTGGAGGGCAGGGATTTGCCCCCCAGGGCTTCTTGCTTTTATTGCTTTGTTTGCTCATTCATTTTTACAAACATATATTGGATGCTTTGTTCATCTTCTTCCCCTGGGGAAGCTCAGAGCATAATGGGGGAGACCTTCTTTGAAGTGTGCAATGTGGGTGTAGCATACGGGGATGCGTGCAGCACATAGCACTGGGTGCTTCAAGGAGATGGCTGTATTAGGGTTCTCCAGAGAAACAATCAATAAGACACATATTATAAGGAATTGGCTCACGTGATTCTGGAGGCTGAGAAGTCCCATGATCTGTCACCTGCCATCCCTCAGTGGGTGGAGTAAATTCTAGTCCAAGTCTGAAAACATGAGAACCAGGAACGCTGATGGTTTAAGTCTCAGTCCCAGGACAAGCAAAGAGTAATGTCCCAGGGTAGCAGTCAGGAGAGAGAGAGAGAGAGACAGGAGAGAGAGGAGAGAGAGAGAGAAAAAAAAGAATTCCATTGTCCTCTGCCTTTTTATTCTATTCATGCCCTCCATGGGTTGGATGTGCCCACCCATGTTGAAGAGGACAGGTTTTTATGCAGTCTTATGATCCAAATGCTAATCTCTCTTGGAAACACCCTCACAGACACACCCAGAAATAATGTTTATAATATTTAACCAGATATCCGGGTACCGCATGGCTTAGTCAAGTTGACACATGAAATTTGTCACAGTGGTTGAGTGTCAGTGACTGTCACATATAGGGATAGGTCAGGTGGCTTCTGGAGGTGGCAAGGTACTGGAGCTGAATCTGGAAGAGTAAGCAAGAGATGCCAGGCAAAGAAGGGGAAGAGGGCCTCCCAGTAGGAGGAGTGGCCTGTGCAAATGCAGAGAGATGAGAGGGATGGCTGCCCTGGGCACCTTGGTGCAATAGCAATATGGTGGATCCTAAAGTCAACAAGAGGCCCATAGGTCTGGGAGGGAAGGCTCAGATGGGTGGGGGTGGGGCCTAAGTGCAAAGAGAAGGGGACATTTCTATCATGGGTCTTACGGTTGTGCTGAGGCTCATCTTTGCTATCCATAAATGCCTCTTTCTCTAATCCTTGATACTTAAAGCCCATTTTGTGTGTTCCCTACCCACTTTGATGTCAGTGTCATACGATTCCACCCCCTTTGCTATGTGGTCTAAATGTATATGTCCCCCAAAATTCATATGTGGACACCTAACCCCCAATGTGATGGTAATAAGAGGTGGAGCCTTTGGGAGGTGATTAGATCTTAGGAGTGGAGGGTTCCTGAATAGAATTTGTGCCCTTATAAAGAGGTTTGAGGGAGCTGCCAGCCCTTTCTGCCATGTGAGGACAGATACAAGCCACTATCTATGGGGGACAGGCCCTCACCAGCCATTCAATCTCCTGGCACCTCAGACCTCCCAGCCTCCAGAACTGTGAGCAATAAATTTTGTTGTTTATAAATTACCCAGTCTAAGGTATTTTGATGTAGCAGCCAAATGAACTAAGACACCCTGCATTAAGCTGCTGCAAGCTACCGAGTCCGGCTATATGCCCTGGGGTGTTTGAGGATCTATATCCTTGCAACTCCCCCTCCTTTGTCTTAGCTTATAGGAAGCACACGCTAAACTTACTTGTAACTTGACTTCCTTTGTTCTCCTTTTGCTTCCCCAAACCACCTACAGTAACGCTGAGCAAGACCAGTCCTAAACGGATGTTCAGGAGATTCTGAACTTAGATCACATGTTTAGTGTGTCCTGCTAAACTTCCTCAATTCCCCTTATGTCAGTACAAAATCTCAAATAATAGGAGGAACTAGAAAAAACTGGGGTAAACTTTGGCCACTAAATACTATTATAGTAGGGATGGCCGCGGTGAGTTCAGGTTAAACACAAACCACACCGTTTCCTGTCACACACCTGCCCCAGCCTCGAGACCCTCCTGCAGCTAGAACAAATTCCCTCTCCCTCATCAGACCACCTCCTTGAATGAGAAGACAATATTGCCAAGAAGTCAGTACTCCCTAGGTAATTTATACAAGTATATTACTCCCAGTAATATACCTACAGGTTTTCCCCCATGCTCCACTCCCTCGGAACTAGACAAGGTAGTTGAAAGTTTATATGGGAATAGAAACAAGCAAGAAATATGAAAAATATCTTAAAAAACAAAAAGCAGCAGGCTAATGAGTGGAGACTAGCCCTACCCGACAATTTGGAAGTACTATTGCCTGGATAGTGAAAGCAGCGTGGCATTGGCATGGATGGATACACCAAAGGGGTAGAACAGCAGGACCAAGACAGCCCAGAAGCAATGTAAGAATTAGGAAGTGATACGGAGAGGCAGATGGCATCTCAAATCTATGTGGTAAACATGAATTCTTAATAAAGGGTATTGGAACAATACAGTAGCCATTTCTGGAAAAAGATAAAATTGGCTCTGTACTTAATATCATGCATGGGGAAAATCTCCACATGGAGCAACAATTTAAACATTAAAAGCAAACCTAATAATGCTGCAGGGAAACTTGGAGTTCACTTTGGATGGGGATAGACTTTCTATGATTCAAACCAGGCACGGTGGCTCACACCTGTAATCCCAGCACTTTGGGAGGCCGAGGCAGGTGGATCACCTGAGGTCAGGAGTTCGAGACGAGCCTGACCAACATGGAGAAATACACTACTAAAAATACAAAATTCGCCGGGCATGGTGGCTCATACCTGTAATCCCAGCTACTCGGGAGGCTGAGGCAGGAGAATTGCTTGAACCTGGGAGGCGGAGGTTGTAGTGAGCCGAGGTCACGCCATTGCACTCTAGCCTGGGCAACAGAGTGAAACTCCATTTAAAAAAAAAATGAAGAATTTTGACTATATAAAAATAAAAATGATTTCTGCATGCCCAAAACACCACATGTGGAATCAAAAAGCAAGTGATACTGAAGAAAAACGAGTGAAGAACGTGAACGTTGAGTTCACAGAAAAAAAATGCAAATGCTCCTTCATCATTGGAATGGAATAGATGTGCAACTCATTCCTAATGAGAGAAATGCAAATCAAAACCACACTGAGAGACACCATTTCTCATCCCTCTGATTGGGCAAAAATACAAAAATTTGACAAAACACAGTGTTGGCAAAATTGTGGAAAATGATGTGATCTCTGCTATTGCAAGCAGAGCGTGACATGGAAGAACTCTATGGAAGGAACGTTGGTAAGGTCCAACAACATCATGGATGCCTTTACCCCTCCACCCACAATTGCACTCTAGGAATCTATCCTACAGGTACACCTGCACACGTATGAAATCACATGTGTACAAAGTCATTCATTGTGGCATTGTTCATAATAACAGAAGTCTGGAAAGGACCCAGCGTCTGTGCACCGGGGACTGCATGAAGTGTCCTGGCACATCTACCCAGTGGAAAACTCTGCAGTGGAGAGAAAGAAAGAGGAAAATCTCCATGTATGGATATGTAGACAGTCCCAGGATAGTTTGCTAAGTGAAAGAGGGAGGGACAGAACGTATAAATAGTATATCTTTTGTGAAATATAAGAAATAAGAATATATACATGTATATTCATTTGTGCTTGCATTTGCGTAAAGAAACATGGGGAAGATAAACAAGTGGATCGAAGGGTATTCTGTGGTAGAGCAGGCCAGGGTTAGGGAGCTGCAGGAGCCTGGATTCTCTGGGTTTATCTTTGTATGGAATTTGGAATTTGATGAATACAGATATATTACGTGACTTAGAAACCTGTGTTACAATCTGGCCAGATTAGAACAGTGCCATAGGTTGTGTGTCAAAATGAATCCAGAGTCTCCGGCTCATGTTTGTGGTGGGACC
This sequence comes from Homo sapiens, assembly GCF_000001405.40. NCBI lineage: Eukaryota > Metazoa > Chordata > Mammalia > Primates > Hominidae > Homo > Homo sapiens. Next base: position 21,670,335 of record NC_000008.11, on the reverse strand, counting down.
GAGGAATGCGCATTTCCCCACAGCCATGAGGTTATTCTGTGGTTTGGGAAGTTTGGGAAACTGTTGAAGCTCATGCTTTTGATGCCACTGAGGTTGCAAGGAGCCAATCAGAAGAGACGATCCCTGTGAAGGTCCCAACACTCACAGTGTCATGGTCCTCAAACCTGAAACCCCATGTCCAAGTCTGACCCCATGTCCACTCCTTCCCCTTGAAACCCTGACCCCACGAGGCCAGGCTCCCACCCCCAGAGGAGCACTGTGCTGTTGGGCATTTGTCTCCAGCAAGCCAAAGTATTTTGTCAGATTTTATTTTCCACAATTTAGAGTACAAAAATGGCACATTTATTTTTGTTTTAAAATATAAAATTACAGTTGAGCCTTGAACAACACAGGGGTTAGGGGTGCTGACTTCCCCACACAGTAAAAACTCTACTTATAACTTTTGACTCCTCTAAAACTTAACAGCCTACTGTGGACCCGAAGCCTTACTAATAACATAAAGTCAACGAACATAATATTTTCTATGTTATATGTTTTACATACTGTATTCTTACAATATAGTAAGCTAGAGAAAAGATGTTAAGAAATAGGAAAGAGAAAATATATTTACTCTTCATTAAGTGGAAGTGGATCATCACAAAGGTCTTCATTCTCGTCGTTTTCAGGTTGAGTGGGCAGGGGAGGATGAGGCTGGTTTTGTTATCTCGGGTGGCGGAAGTAGAAGAAAATCCGTGTATAAGTGGATCTGTGTAGTTCAAATCCGTGTTGTTCAAGGTCAACTGTATATTGTAATCTTTATTTTTATTTATTTTATTTTATTTATTTTTGAGACAGAGTCTCACTCTGTTGCCCAGGCTGGAGTGCAGTGGCGTGATCTCAGCTCACTATAACTTCTGCCTCCCAGGTTCCAGTGATTCTCATGCCTCAGCCTCCTGAGTAGCTGGGATTACAAGTGTGCACTACCACTCCCAGCTGATTTTTGTATTTTTAGTAGAGACAAGGTTTCGCTGGTCTCAAACTCCTGGTCTCAAGTGATCCGCCTGCCTCAGCCTCCCAAAGTTCTGGGATTACAGGCGTGAGCCACCAAGCCAGACCTATAATTTTGAAGACAGTTTTTCAAACTCCTCCTCCTCCCTCTGTAGGGAATCCTGATAGTTCCAATGGATATTCCTTCCCCACTCCCAAACCTCATTCAGGAAAAACTGATGGAAGATGCTTAAAAGAGATCCCTCTGGTGCTTCCTCCCCTCCCAGGAAACATTCCCTCCCCTTTTGTAAGAGCTAATGTAGTAAGAAAACCTAGGCCTGAGAGCTGGATAGGGGTTGCCATGCCAAGTTCCCTCTGGCCCTGTAAAGATTTCTTGAAAATCAACTTGCAAAAAGCAGATTAGTTGGAGAAAAGCCATGTAAATTTATTTAATGTGTGTACATGGAAACCTTCAGAATAAAGACCCAAAGATACAGAGGAAATTGTCCATTCTTAAGCTTCGGTTCAACAAAGGATGGACAGCTGTGTAGAGATATGATTGGACTAAAAGAGTCTGATATAATACTAACAGACTGAGTAGGAAACCCAGCGAGGCCTGTCTGTCTAGATTCTTCCTGGCCTCTTTGAGCAGCTTTCCTTCCTTCTGGGTGTGTGGCAGGCTTTCTCTGGAGTGAGGGTCTCATGACCTACAGTCAAACAAGGTAGGTCAGGTAATTTCCTTATGGCCAGTGTCTACAAAGAAAGGCAGGGGGAAAGTTAGAGTCATATTTTTAGGTTTTATGGCTGGCTTTGAAGAAAAGGGGTCCTGGTTTCTATGACCCAGCTTGGGGAAGAAGGATTCTAGTGTCTCTGGGTAGCCTCGAGGGAGAATGAGACCGGAAGGCAGGAGGGCAGGAGAAGGGCAGAGAAAGACTTTTGCTTCTGAGGCTGTTTCTGAAGCCTTCATTTTGGGGAGTTGTTTTCTGAGCCCCAATGCAGCTAATCTCCATGGAGCACTGCAGGGAGTAACCCATATCATGACCGTGGGGTGGGTACAGGGGATATGAGGCTGGTCTTGGTCCTTTGAGAGAGTCTGAGGCTGTCTCTGAGAGGCTATCTAGAAGTTAGGGAGATGTTTGTTTGGAGCTGGCACCAAGCATTGGCCCTTTAACTCACTTGGCTGGCTGAGAATGCTGCCAGGAGGACCCAGGAGGGCCCTGGGCCCAGTAAGTTTCTAACCAGGCTTTCTGTGGACCCACAGCCCAAGGGACAAGGTAGTGGCAGAGCTGTGCTCTGAGCCACGAATGCTGGCCACCTAGCTCAATGGTAGCACGGGGCCTCTAAAGCTTAGCCCTTTGCCCCATCTCTTTCCTGGCCTTGATTTTCCAGTTTGTTGCTTTTTTTTTTTTTTTTTTGTATCAGAGGACAATGTGTATCTCCTTCCTGCGTCTCCCTGAAGTCCGAAAGGACTAATGAGAGCCTGTCTTGGAAAAACTTGGGGTTCTTGACATGCTGCTAACAACTGGGAATTATGAGACAGAGATTGGATTTGCCAAACCCCAGCCTGTGGTAGGTATTGGGTGGAGGTGTTGGCAAGGGTAGCTCCATGTCTCTCCACCACCCTGCCCTGCCTGGATCCTGCCCTTGACCCATATGCACTGTTGTTTGCAGGTCCTGTTGCCCATGGCAACAATAATGTTGGAGGAGGGAGTAAAGGTAGCCATGAGACCTGGGACACCGCCCCTCTCCTCTGCCAACCTCAGTTTCCTCCCCAGGCAAATGAGAAGCTGCCCTAGGTCATCTCTAGAGGCTTCCCAGCTGGAGCTCTGGTTCCTGCCTGGCCTGCTGCCCAGCACTGGGATCTCTCTCCAGCAGACATTCATGGTGAGGAGAAGCCCCTTGCTGGAGAGGACAGAGCAGCTTTTGCTGGAATAAAGAATGCAGGGCAGGAAGGCCTGAACAGGAAGCGCCCACGGGCACTGGCCCTGTCCACAGGCTGACAGTGGCATGTGGAGGCTGGCTGCTCCTACCCACTGCCCCCACTCGCCACTCCTGGGTCTGTGTGGTTTTACTCCCTCTGCACCCAGAGAGAATGAACAGTGCATCCAACCTTCAACCCCATCTGGAAACAGATGTTTTTCCTCCCTCCATTATTTTCTGTAAATTTTGCAGGCATTCAGTCCCCATTTCCTGCCACCCTGTAAGCTCTTGGCAGTTCTCCCAGGTTCTTGAGCCAAAGCACTAGGAGAGATCCAAGCTGAGCGCTGGGAACCCCGCAGCCCGAGCTGCTCTGCTCACCCTCCATTCACTGTTTTCTTTTTCTTCCTTTCCCTTCCTCCTCCAGCGTGAGCTCAAGGGAGTCTGGAGGTACTTCCAAAGAGACCCCACTTTGAGGAAGATTCTCATCCTTACTGGGGCCCAGAGGCTCCAGGGAACGGCCCTGGGCCAGTATGTGTGATGAGTATTTGCAGGGAACTGCTGCTTACAGGGGACCATTTCATGGGCAGCCAAAGATATCTTTGTAACCTTCTTATGTTCCTTTCTGTGTTCTTTGGGGTCTCCTCTCTCTTTGATCCCATAATTCCCCCCACACTTGTTGGTGTAAGCCCCTGATTTTTTTTGAGATGGAGTCTCGCTCTGTTGCCCAGGCTGGAGTGCAGTGGTGTGATCTCGGCTCACTGCAAGCTCAGCCTCCCGGGTTCACACCATTCTCCTGCCCCAGCCTCCCGAGTAGCTGGGACTACAGGCGCCCACCACCACACCCAGCTAATTTTTGTATTTTTAGTAGAGACGGGGTTTCACCTTGTTAGCCAGGATGGTCTCCATCTCCTGACCTCGTGATCCACCCACCTCGGCCTCCCAAAGTGCTGGGATTACAGGCGTGAGCTACCGTGCCCAGCCAGCCCCTGATTCTTGAGGTCTGCATCACAGAGTCCTACTCCTTCCTAAGTGACAGGTGCTCAGTTATTCTTTCAACAAACACTAATTGACTGTTATGTGCCAAGGGACATAGCAGCGGAGGAGCAGCCGGCTCTGGCTCTTAGGAACTGGTGGTCGAGTAGTGGAGGAAAAGATCACTGAGGAAGCAATGACAACAGTGTGATCAATGCCGCAAGGTCTCAGCACAGCCCGTGGGGCTCAGCACAGGCTTCTGGAAGGAAGAGATGTAAACATTCCCTCCCTTCCCCCTGAAGCTCCTCTTCTCACAGTATCCTGATGGTTTTGGAGGGGAGCAAATGAATGGAAAAAATTCCCTGATTTGGCGAGTCTCAGGTACAGGTTAGTTCTCTCCAGATTATTTCCACGTTACACAAAGGAGCTTGTTAACCTAACTTGCTGACCTAATTGCGTGTCCTGGAGAGAAGGCCCCTTCATCTGGCCCCTGATGTCTTAGTTTCTGCACTAGTTTCCATCCATGCCTCCCTTCTGAAAAGCTGACAAATTCTCACATAGAAGATCAACTATGGGGTGTGTGAGTGTGTTTAAACACTATTTTTGGAGGGAGGCTGGTACTTGGAGTCCAGAGACCTGGATTTGGGGTGCTATTAATTAGCTTTGTGGCTTGGGGTGAATCGTCACACCTCTCTGGACCTTGATTTCTTCCTAGAAGAAGGCAATGCCATCTGCCCTGTCTGCTTCAGGCAGAAGCTACTGGGAGAGTGTTAGAGCGTCTGTGTAAGTGTTGGCCAACACTTGAAAAGGTCTTCTCCAAGTACCAGGAGTCACCTTTGCTTGGTGTATTAGTGAGGGTTCTCTAGAGCGGCAGGACTAATAGGATAGATGTATATATGAAAGGGAGTTTATTAGGAGAATTGACACACACGATCACAAGGTGAAGTCCCACAATAGGCCGTCTGCAAGCTGAGGAGCCAGGAAGCCGGTCCGAGTCCCCAAATCTCAAAAGTAGGGAAGTCAACAGTGCAGCTTTCAGTCTGTGGCCAAAGGCCTGAGAGCCCCTGGCAAACCTCTGGCATAAATCCAAGAGTCCAAAAGCTGAAGAACTTGGAGTCTGATGTTTGAGGGCAGGAAGCATCCAGCACAGGAGAAAGATGAGGGCCAGAAGACTCAGCCAGCCTGCTCCTTCCACCTTCTTCTACCTGCTTCGTTCTAGCTACGCTGGGTGTTGATTAGATGGTGCCCACTCAGATTGAGGGTGGATCTGCCTCTCCCAGCCCACTGACTCAAATGTTAATCTCCTTTGGCAGCACCCTCACAGACACATCCAGGAACAATACTTTGCATCCTTCATTCCAATCAAGTTGACACTCACTATTAACCATCATACTTGTCCTCACATACTCAGTAACATGGGTCTCACTCCAGTCAGCAGATTGGGACCAATTATGAGCTGGGGTCCCCTCCATGCTCATCCCCAAGGTCCCCACTTCCTGTTTCTGTGAGTCTGTTCCTGGCTGCAGTGAGCTTTTGCTTCCAACACCTACCCCTGAGCAAGACAGCTCTGGGGGTATTGGAGCTGCCTCGCCAGCTGCCAGGGACTCACCCCACCCCCAGCTTTCCACTGTTACCTGGGATTGGAGGAGGGTGAGAGCCTAGCTCACTGGCCTCACCATCAGGGGGTCTCTGTTGTGTAACTGACACTCACGAACTTCTCCGAGGGATTGGGCTGAAGTCATCTAAAGGGGACCTTACCTGAGATTCCACTTGTGCTTGGCTCCTTCTACATCCCTGTCATGTGTCCCCCTCTTCCTTACAGTTTTCTCCGGGAGAACTTCCTTAAAAAGTCACCGCCATGTGAAGCCTGGCCTCAGAATATCTGGGTCTGTTAATGGGGATCTGGACCTTGGGGAAAAACTCTTTGAAGATAATGTATCCTTAGCGAGGATAAAAGGGTGAAGAAAGAGAAGAAGCAGTTGAACAATTATTAAGCACCAAATGTGTGCCAGGCACAGTGATAAGTGGCTATTTCACCTGATCCTTAAAAAAAAACAAAAAACAAAAACAAAAAAAGTAAAAACTGTATGTTTGCTATACTTCCCATTTTATGGTTGAGAAAACTGAGGCCCAGAGAGTTTCAATAACTCACCCAGGTAATGAAGTTAGTGAGTGACATCTGACCCTGGGTCCCACAAGTTTTCTGATTCCTTCTGTCACTTCCCTGGTATGCTGTGGATATGGGGAGCCTGGGGCTGGCTTGGAGGGTACTTGTGAGGTGAGGGAGGTGTCTCTCTCTCTCTATTTTTTCTGAGACGGAATCTCACTCTGTCACCCAGGCTGGAGTGCAGTAGCTCGATCTTGGCTCACTGCAACCTCTGCCTCCGGGGTTCAAGCGATTCTCCTGCCTCTGGGATTATCTGTGTGCACCACCATGCCCTGCTGATTTTTGTATTTTTAGTAGAGATGCGGTTTCGCCATGTTGGCCAGGCCGGTGTCGAACTCCTGACCTCAAGTGATCCACCTGCCTCAGCCTCCCAAAGTGCTGGGATTACATGTGTGAGCCACCGCTCCTGGCCAGACATCTCTTTAGGCTAGCCTGGGCCTGGGCACAGCCCTTGTAGTCATATGCCTGAGCACAGGACAGCCTTGAGTGCCTTTTGTTTCTCTTCTGGTGGGGAGTGTGTGACCCTCTCCTACCACCTGCAGGGTGTGTGTGTGATGGGGCTGCTGTCACCTTCTTTTCTCCCTGCCCTATCAAAAGAAAGAAGATAGGATGTCCTCCTGGGACTGGGAACACATGCTAAACCAAAAGCCCTGTGGCCTGGAGCCACTGTATTTCTGCCTTCTGGGCCTCTGTCTTCTCATCTGTCAAATGGAGATGGCCATATCTGTGTGTGGCCTTCTTCATGGAGTCGGTAGGGGACAGAAGGAGAGAGCAGACGCTGAAGCTTAGTAGGTAGAGTGGCCAGACAGCCCCATGGAAATGCCAGGGGTTCCAATTCTGGAAACGTATCTGCTCCATACCTCTGCCCTCCTGCACCTGAGCTGCTCACAGGCTGGGGGTTAGGGTCCAGGTGACTGATCCTCTATGGGACAGTTCCCTACAACCCACCCCTGCTCCCAGCTCCTCTGCAGTCTGGGCTGCAGTGAAGAGTCCCCTTCCTGGCCCTCCCCAGGCAGCCCTGTAAATAGCCTGTGCTGAATTCTGAACACACCTCAGTGGAAGGGGAATCATTTGCCAGATACACAGTGTCTGCGAGAAGGGCCTCTTATGAGTCGGTGTTCAAATCTGTTACTGGCTCAATAAACAGAGGTTTGTTGTAAATTAAGGGAAGGAAGCGAGGTGCTTGCAACAGCCCTTGTTCATTTACTGTTTTCTATTAGCAGCACTTTCCCCTAAGTAGTGCCTAATGCCCTGGGAGCTGTGGGGCAGGCAGCTTGGTAGGGGAGGGTGGGGGGTGTAATTACACTGCAGTTGTTAGGTAGTTAGAGCTACACAGTAAGGCCCACAGATGGACAGGGGCAGCCCCTGAGGGACTTGGCTGGGCTCCTGTGTGGGACGGGGGCTGCTGGATGGATTGGCGAGAGGCAATAGGAGGTGGTGAAGGGAGGAACAGCCTGGGCAAGGGTGGCAGGCAGATCTGGAAACCGAGGCTCTGCCTTTCGTGGCTGGGATGCATGGGGTTGCTAGGGTCGTGGCTGATGGAGCCCTGTGGTTGACTGACAGGTATTGGCGAGACATGGCAGACTGCGGCTGGCACTGGGGATGAATGAGGCCAAGGTGGGACTGGGGAGGGGTCTGAGGTGAGGACGGCTGTTGGGGAGGGGAAGGAGAGCGCAGAACCCAGGTTGAAATCCACCCAGGCTGCCATTGCCTCAGAGGAAGCAGGCTGGCTGCTGGGTCTCATCTTTGAGGTGTTTTTTGGTATTTTCCACTTCCCAGCCAGGTCCAGGGTCCCATCCCCCCCTAGTTCCTCATACTGAGCGGGCTTAGATGGTCAAGGTCAAGCTACCCACTCCTTGACCTGCCTCTCCACCCTGTGGCCTTCAGAAGCTCACCTGCCTGCACATCAGGCATCCCAGGCTTGGGAAATGTTAGGCTGAACTGTGGGTTTTGGGTGGGAACCCATCTGGTCCTTGACATCAACTGTCTCTGCAGGTGTCCCCTGAGATGTCACTGTGCCCATCTGCCATAGTCACGTGTCCAAGGGGGTGCTACTGGGACATCCCTCTTCCCCCAGCTGGCCTGTTCGGCTGTGTCTGTCATCTCTCCTCAGCACAGGGAAATAGTATTTAGAAAGGTGGGAAGGCATCCTTGAACTCTCAGCAATGGAGGTGAGGGTTCCCCTGCCTCCCTGGTCCACCGAGTCCTCTCAGGTCCCAGAGGACACAAGCTTTTGACATACTAGAGGCCAGAAGAGGCTGCAGGCCTGTTTGTTTTCTGTCCTGCAGGTTCCTGCCCCGAAACAATGGTCAAAGAAAGGTCTAGTGCTTGAATGGGAGAGGGGGAGGGGAGCAAGGAGTAGATGAAAGATGAGTGCTGATGTTCCCTGAATCCTTTCTGGTCTCATGGAAAGACCAGGGACCTTGGGCAGAATGTGGTTTGGCCCCTCAATTTATGGATGGGGATCTGGGGCCCACCGTTAGGCAGATTCTGCATGGAGAGGGCACCTCTTCCCTGGCAGAAGAATTTGCAGTTGACATACTGGAATGTATATGGCACCTGGTGGGTGCCCAGAACATTTTAGTTGAATAAATGAATGAATGAATGGAGAGTGGGGCAGCCTCTAGTGAGTGAGGAGGGAGGAGATTCAATGGGAGCTCCAGAGTTTCTCCACTTTTCTTTCCTTCCCTCCCTCCCTCCCTTTTTTCCTCCCTTTCTTCCTTTCTTCCTTCTGACATCATGGCATGCATAGAAAATGATACCATTAGGCCGGGCGCGGTGGCTCACGCCTGTAATCCCAGCACTTTGGGAGTCTGAGGCGGGTGGATCACGAGGTCAGGAGTTCAAGAGCAGCCTGGCCAAGATGGTGAAACCCCATCTCTACTAAAAATACAAAAATTAGCTGGGCATGGTGGCGGGCGCCTATAATCCCAGCTAGTCAGGAGGCTGAGACAGGGAATTGCTTGACCCCAGGAGGCAGAGGTTGCAGTGAGCCAAGATCGTGCCATTGCACTCCAGCCTGGGAAAAAGAGTGAAAAAAAAAATACCATTTGGAGGGCACACTAGAATAAATCAGGGAGAGATTAATGTCTTGTAAACCTGTAACTACTCCTGTCCCACCACTGTGCTGCAGCAGGCTGGCTGGGAAGCTCTGGATGCCACCTCCCCACTGGGACCCTAGAGCTAGCTGGAAGCAAATACGGGCCTGAGGGGTTGGAGACCTCGGCTCAGATGAGCAGAAGGAGAGGCCGGTAGGTTCTGCCTTAGGCTTCAAAAGAGAGAAGGGGCCTCATTTAGCTAGCGGCACACAAGGGCCATGGGTTTTGGTAAGTTCCTCCTCTGTCCGTGATCACAGCTCCCCATTGGAGCTCCTTGGTGATTGAATGCCTGGCTGCCCACTTACTGGAGGCCTTCTGCTGCATTCTCCAGGAGGATCTCATTAGTGTCCCTGGGGAGGGGACTCTCTCGCCCCCTCCCCAGAAGCAGAGCGGCGGGTAGCTGCACAACTCCTGCTCTACTGCTCTGAGTGCAAAAAATTTCTCATCATGGTAGGCATGAAAGGTTCTGCTAGGTTTATGGGATTGGAAGACAGCTCACTTCATTCCAATTGGAGAGGGCGGGAGAGCATCTTTGGAGAGCTTTTGATTCTAGAGGCCTTTATCATATACCCAGTCTCTTCTTCCCAGACTGGATGAGAAGGCTATATTCCCTTTGTGTCTCTTTTCTATTCCACTCTTATTTAGCTAAGTCTTCTCGACATCCCTTGAGGCTCAGGAAGTGGTGTGCAACTCCATGGAACGCCATTACCACTCCGCTTGGAGCAGAGCAGCAGGGAGGTCCTATCCCCAAGTCTGGTTCTCCAGGCCTGCCCTGTCTCTTAGCTGTGAGCCTATGCTGGTCCCTGACTGGATTAATCCACAAGTCACTAACTTTTACTCTTCTCCCAGTCTCTGATACTGGGGCTCACTTCAGCATGGTGCAGTGGGAAGAGTGTTGGCCCAGGAAGCGAACAATTAGGTTTGAATCCTGGCTCTGTGGTGTGATCTTGAGCAACTCAGATAACTATTGTGTGTGTGTGTCTGTGGGGTGTGTGTGTCTGTGTGTGTGTCTGTGGGGTGTGTGTGTGTTTTAATCAACTTTAAGATACAGAAAAATGTACTTCCCAGCATTGGGGTAAGGGTCATATGACAATGTTTGTAAAGGTATTTAAAAACATTCTATACCACTACACAGGTATTGGTTATCCCAGTTAGACCCTGTGATCTCAATTCTAGTTTTCATTGAGCTAACTTGTCAGAACCAGGCTATAAAGGACACATCTCCACCTTCCCTATTACAGAGCCAAATCAAGGGAGTGTAAGAGCAGGATCTCGGGGCAGCCCCTAAGATGAATGCTATTGGTTTGCACTTAGCCTTCATTAGACGTTCCTTCCACAGATACTTACTGCACACTCATTCCAAGTCTAGGTACTCAGGGTACATCAGTGAACAAAACCCATACATTAGTCCGGTTCCACTGAGAAGAAGATGCCATGATAGGATGACGTTTCCTGGAGAAAGAGCAAGGAAAGACAAGGAGAGCCTCACACTGTGATGCAGGTCTGATGCCTGCAGAAGGAGACAGGGAAGGGAGGAGGCTTGGAGTAGAACAGCCTTGGGCTGAAGTGCAATTCCAGGAATGCTCTGGCCCCACCAGCGGGGAATTCTTGAACCAAAGTCACCCATAAGAGAGTCTTGCATTTTGCCAAATGGATCCGTGTTAATGACCTTGCTGTGCTCAGCTGCTGGCTGGAAACAGCCCGTGGGAAGTGTGAACTCAATATGAATGTGATGGTGGGTCCCAAGGGGTGAGCTGAGACGGTGAGTCCATTGTGCTTCTCACAGCAGAGATCTGAGCCTTGCAGTTTTCATGGACACCCCTAATGTTTTCATGGAGTGAGAGAGACAGAAGGCACTCAGTAAGCATAAGAAATGAATGAATAAATAGATAAAGGTATGATAGAAGCCTGTAAGTATTATGCAAAACCCGAGGTGGCACGGAGAAGGATTGGGAGTGCCAGGATGGGGAGGGCTGCAACTGAGGTAAAATGGGAGGGTAGGTCTCATTGAGAAGGAGACGTTCCAGCCCAGTCCTGAAGGAGATGAGGGAGTTAGCTACATGGCTGTCTCAGGGAGGAGTGTTCTATGAAGAGAGAAGAGTGAAAAGGCCCTAAGGTTGCAGCATGCCCCACTGTGTGAAGAACAGCAGTGGAGCTGGAGTGGAGAGGGCCAAGGGGAGATTGGGAGGAGAGGGTGTCTCCCAGGAGGGGTGTGCCCGTAGGCCATTACATGAGCTTAACTCCTCTGAGTGATGTGAGCAGATGATGGAGAGTTTGGGCAGGGGAACAATGTGGCCTTAATGTTTTAAAAGCACCGATATGGCTTTTAAATCAGAACATATTCTAGGCAGCTAAGATGGAAGACTGGAGACCAGTTGGGACATGAGGACATTGACTCAGGTAGGAGATGAGGGTGTCAGTGGAAGTGATGAGGAATCAGGGGTGATATGGTTTGAATTTGTGTCCCCACCCAAATCTTACATCTAATTATAATTGCCAATGGTGGGAGGTGATTGGATCATAGGGATGTATTTCCCTTGGTTGTTCTCATGATAGTGAGTGAGTTCTCACAAGGTCTGGTCGTTTAAAAGTTTGTAGTGCCTCCCCCTTCTCTTTCTTCCTCCTGCTCTGGCCATGTAAGATGAGCCTGCTTCCCCTTCACCGTCTGCCATAATTGTTAGTTTCCCGAGGCCTCCCAGCCATGCTTCCTGTACGTCCTGCAGAACTGTGAGCCAATCAAACCTCTTTTCTTTATAAATTACCCAGTCTTGGGTATTTCTTTATAGCAGTATGAGAAGAGACTAATACAAGGGGCCAGGCTGGGTGTGGTGGCTCATGCCTGCAATTGCAGCACTTTGGGAGGCTGAGGTGGGCGAATTGCTTCAGCCCAGGAGTTCAAGAACAGCCTGGGCAACATGGCGAAAATCTGTCTCTATAAAAAATACACACACACACACACACACACACACAAATTATCCAGGCATGGTGGTGTACACCTGTGGTACTAGCTACTTTAGAGGCTAACTGAATCCAGAGGATCACCTGAGCCCAGGAGGTCAAGGCTGCAGTAAGCCATGATCGCACCAGTGTTCTCCAGCCTGGGTGACAGAGTGAGACCCTGTCTTAAAAAAAATAAATAAATAAAATAAAAAAAAAGAAATATATATATGTATCTCATATCCCCATAAGATTCTGAATGTATTTTGAAGGAAGAGCTAACTGGACATCCTTATGGACTGGTGAGAGAAGGAGGGGAACCAAGGATACCGCCCACAGTTTTAGCCTGAATAATGAGAGTAAATTAGGCCAATACCATAAAAAAAAGAACATAGAGCATTCAGACCAGCAGAGGGAAGTTTTATCTATCCAGTGGAAAAAAGGGAAGAAGGAAAAACAAGTATGAAAATGTGAAATAAGAAATGTGAAATAAATAGCAAACATAATTCTTAATATAACATCAATTTATAGTAATATAAATGAGTTAAAATCATAATTCAAAATATAGAGACTTAAATTGGATTAAAAACACAAGACTTAAGAATACACTTTCTGCAAGATACACAACAAGAGATTGGAAATAAAAGGGTAAAAGAAGAAATAGCAAGCAAACATGAGCCAAAAAATTTTATAAGAAAAAAAAGGGAGGAACGTTATATTCCAGTAAAAGGAATAAAGGATCATAAGTCTATAAAATCATGAAAAATATATACACACCTAGTAAGATAGCCTCAAATATGTATGTGTGTATATTTATACACATGCACATACATATAAAAAGTAGCTGTAGAAACAGAGAAAAATAGATAAATCAACCATTTTATTTGAATATTTTAACATATTTCTCTCATAAGTTTATAGAGCAAGGAAACAAAATTTATTAAGTATACAGAAGATTTGAACAACTTTTTAATAATCTTAAATGTGTGTGTACAATTATGTGCAAATATGTAATTTAAACATAACGGAAAATGCATTTTGATTATACGTAGAACATTTACAAAATTGGCCATAAATCAGAGCACAAAAACAGCCTCAATAAATTCCACAGGACCAATATCATACGCATCTCACAGATAGTGTTTGTATTTAGTCCATCTTAACACTGCTCATAAAGACATACCTGAAACTGGGAACAAAAAGAGGTTTCACTGGACTTGCAATTCCACATGGCTAGGGAGGCCTCAGAATCATGGTGGGAGGCGAAAGGCACTTCTTACATGATGGCAGCAAGGGAAAAATGAGGAAGAAGCAAAAAGGGAAAGCCCTGATAAACCCATCGGATCTCGTGAGACTTATTCACTATCACGAGAGTAGCATGGGAAAGACTGGCACTCCTGATTCAATTACATCCCCCGGGTCCCTCCCACAACACGTGGGAATTCTGGGTGATACAATTAAAGCTGAGATTTGGGTGGGGACACAGCCAAACCATATCACTGTTCTCTGACCAAAATGCAATGAAACTCCAAATCAGTTAAAATCCAAAGACTGTGTGTCTAGAAACAAAAATGACAATACTAAACAGTCTTTGGATTAAAGAAGAATTAATAAAAACAGTCACAAAATATTTAGGATTAAATGAATGAACAAGCCACATGGCAAAAGTTGTGGGACATAGATCAAGCAGCTTAGGAGAGAAGGGATAGCCTTAAATACATCATTAAGAAGATAAAGAATATCTTAAACAAAGGGGCTAAGTGCTTATCTCAAGAGGCTGGAAAAGTAGCAACAGAATAAGCTTAAAGAAAAAGAAGGAAATCATAGACATAAAGGCAGACATAAATGAATAGCAAATGACAACAAAGAAATCACGGAAGCTTAGCAAAGCTGAATGTAGGTCTTTTGAAAAGATTAATAAGATAGACAAACCACTGTTAAAAGTGGTTGAGAGAAAAAGAAATAAGACAGGATTAAAAAAGGAAAATGACAGACACAATAGATGTTTAAATATTCAAATAATCTTACAAAAATATTATAAAGTACCAGTACATTTTAAAAATTAGATGGATTGGATATTTTCTGAAAAAAATGAGAAATGCCAAAATTGGCAAAGAATAAATAAAAAACCCAAACAGACCAGTAATGAGTAAAAAAATTAAAATCCTAGCCAGTCCCTGCCTTTAAAGAACTAGGCCCATATCCCTTTACAATTAAATCCTACAAAGCATTTATAGAGAAAATAATCCTCATCTTGCAGAAGCTGTTCCAGAAAATAGAAAGAGGAAAAAAGTGGTCTGATCCATTTAATGAAGCTAATTTAATTGTTACTCTTAAACTAGACAAGGAAAGGAGTAAAAAATGATAGGCCCATTTCACCTGCAAAAATAGATGAAAACAATACTAAATAAAGCATTAGCTAACTGAATCCAGTCATGTCGGTGGGTTTCCGGGAAGAATGCAGGGCGGTTTAACAGCAGAAAGTCTGGCAATTCACCACATTAGTGGACCAAAGGAGAAAAAAAACATCGTATGATTATCCCAGGAGTTGCATAAAAAACATGTGATGAAGTTCAATATCTGTTTATAATGATAATAATAAAAATGACAAGGTTCAACACCTGTTTATAGCAATAATTATCATCCTAAAACATTTCTCAGGAAACTAGAATTAGAAGAGAACTTCCCCAACTCTAGCAAAGCTGCTTACCCCAAACCACAGCAAGTCCCACTGAATGGAGAAACGTGAGCTTCACTGTTTTTATTTTTTAAGAAGAAACCACATGCACATCGGGGTCTGTCTGGCCTCACATCTCACGCTCTTCCTCCTCTGCTGTTTTCCATCAAGTAGGGTCAAAGACTGAGGCATAGCAGGCTCTAGGAATTTTCTCTGGAGCAAGGTCTTTTTGGTTGATTATAATAGAAACTCACTTAAATCAATTCTGTGAAAAGTGGGAACTTGACGGTAGATATGACAAGGCCAAAAGTATTTAATGATGTCTTCTTAGGCTGTAAGGAGTCTTGCTGGTACCTCACTGATGAGCAGGAACCTGCTTATCTTGCCGGTGGTTCCAAATGGCACCACTCAGTACTCCAGGGACAAATGAATGGGTCACTCTGTTTTGCTCCTCAGTTTTTGGAGGTATAGGGAGAAGGATGGTGGATTCCATGAGAGAAAGGCTGTGGCCCTCCATAGTGTGGACAGTAATCCTCATGTGTGGATAGGATTACTAGGAAGAGGAAAATTTTATAAATTTTTGCAGGTATTAGGTGCAGCCTCTCCTCCCCTAGTTCCTCAAGAGGATCTTCAGTCAAGAGCTATTTTTTAAATCTCTAGACTTTTTAGTGTTAGCTATGTGACGTCTGTTTTTTTCTTCCAATGTGTTCTTATAATAAAGGAAGAAACACAATGCCACACTTTATTCAGGTCACATAAGAAGACAGGATCTCACAGTCCCAAATCAGAAGTAGGCTTCATGCCCCACTTTCTGTGCCTCCTCCTCTGGGTGCTCAGTTCTTCTCATCCATTGACTGGCCTTGCTCTCGTGTTCCTGTTCTCTGTTTCATTTCCTTCTCCCTCTTGCTCTCGCTCTCCCCTCAATTCAACTCCTCTGGATCTATGAAAATTTGAGGTTGATGAAACAATTATCCTGTGCAAAGTGCATGAAAATTTTACATCCTTAATTCAAAGGAGAAACAGAGACTGGCTGGTGCCTCTTACACTCAAGTTCAAAATCTTGTAAGACAATCTCTGATTTCCCCAGCCTGGGTCAGGTGTCCATCCAGGTCTAATTGGTTTCTGGCCAGAAATAGGGCATTGAGGAAGGGTGGAGACAGGGTCCCAGGAACAAACATAGCTATTAGGGGACCATGTCTGTAGGTAGGACTGGCTCTCAGAAAAGAGAAGTGTGGGTTGGCTGGACTTCCCAAGTGAACTCTGCACCTGTCTGCACAAAAAGTACAAAGTTTTCTTAAAAGCCAGACCCTGGCCAGAGAGGGTAACACATGACTCTGCAAATGAGCTGGTCCAGGACAGTTGCGGGTATGACACTGACCATACAGAAGCAGTGTTCAGCTGTCAGCTGGGTGATTTCTGAGGACAGGGAGCTAGTTCTAACTAGCAAGAGGAAAAATAGAGAAGAAAAGAATTCATAACAGCTTGACACCCTCCAGGCTGAACCCAGCAATTTTATTTTTACTTGTTCAGGAGGGGGAAAAGTCATCACTAATTCCACAATTACTTCATTCCAGAGTACTGGTGAAAAATGACTTCAAGTGTAAAATATTGTCTACTAAAGAATTAACTTAATAGATAATTTGGATTCAATTATTGGCTCAATACTGAAATTTTCTGGGAAAAGTGCAGGCAATATTTTATGACTGTCACATGATGCAGCAATTGTGAAATTAGTTATTAATGACTTATGAGAGAGATACTTAAAAAAAGTCAACGGGGGAAGGAAATACATCACTTAGGCGTTTATAGGGCAGGCTAAGATGGGGGATTCTTTCTCCTCCATTTCTCAAGCAATTCCAATTTTGCTGACCGAGCCTCTTGCCTTGGCTCTGTCCTTCCTCTCCCCATGTGTGTGATTTGGGGTTGGAGTCATACATGAATTCTTTGGGAGCAATTAGAAACTGAAGGTTGCTGCCATCCATCATGGCCAGGGGGACGCCATTTCTGTTCGCCCTGAGAGTTGGGTGCTGACCTCTCCCCTCTGCTCCTGGCCATTGATTATCTCTAGCCAGCAATGTGTGAGCACCAAATGAACTTTTAAAACCAGAATGAACTGCAGGCAGTTTATGACCATTACTTCCCACCTATAACCTGCTTGCTAGTCAAAGGGGAAATTTTTTTGAAGTCCCCTGGATTCACTTTGGGGGTGGGTATGATATACTTTCATTAGTGCCTTTAAAGTTGCTGCTGAGGCTACCTTCTAAATTCAATGTAAATGACATTTGTTCATTCTTCCCACAGTACTTATTGAGCTTCTGTTCCAGCCCAGCACTGTGCTAGAGCCTGCAGGGAATGGGAGATGCAGAAGACATGCTCTTTGCTCACTTAGAGCCTCGAGCCTAAGCGGTGAACTACGATGAATCAATGCAGTGACAGTACTATTTAGGACAGGGAAACTGCCCAGTTGAGTGGCAGATGCAACATGTGTCCCATAGAGTGAGATGTTGGGGATAGAAGGTCCTTGCCAGAAGAGGAGTGTGGGAGGTCCAGATTCTGACATTGAGCCAAGAGCAGTATGAAGGGGCAGCTCATTAATTCAGCAAATACTGAGTTAGGTCTACTAGGTGCCAGAAGAACTCCACAGGGCTCTAGGTGTCAGGGACATAAAACCACAAAGTAGACTAATGCTTTTTGCAATTCATTCTAGGCAACAAACATCACATACCTAACACCAAAAAACCCAGAGATTGAAAAAATAGCTCTTGACTGAAGGTTCTCTTGAGGAACTAGGGGAAGATAGGCTGCACCTAACACCTGCAAAAATTTCTAAAAGTTTCCTTTTTCTAGTAATCCTATCCACACATCACGATTACTGCCCATACTGTGGGGCATCACAGCCTTTCTGTCATGGAATCCACCATCCTTCTCCCATATCTCCAAAAACTGAGGAGCAAAACAGAGTGACCCATTCATTTATCCCTGGAGTATTGAATGGGTGCCATTTGGAACCAGCAGCAATGAATTAAATGAGTGAATATGTGTGTTTTGGGGTGGAGGGAGATGACCAATAATCAATACATGTTTAATAGGCACATCATCTAGTATACTAGAAGAAAATAGGTGCTGCAGAAAAAAACGCAGTGGGGTCAGGTGAACCGGAGACATGTACAACAGTGGGTGGGAGGGAACAATTTAAAATATGGTAGCTGGGGCTCACCGAGAAGATATCTGAGTAAATATTTCAAGGAAGAAGTGAGGGCTTTCGTCTATGAATCTCTGGAGAGAGATCTTTTTAGGCAGAGAAACATCCAGGGGACGAGATGCAAAACGGGAGTGAATTGGTGTGTTGCAGAAATAGCAGTAAGGTCGTGTGGCTGTGGGAGTGAGTGGAGAGATGAGGTTGGAGATGTGATGGGGGCAAGATCGTGTGCTAGGGTCTTCCAGGTCATTGTAAAGACTTGTGTCCTTTTTCTGAGTGAAATATGGAGTCACTGGAGGATTCTGAGCTGAGCAGTGGTATGATCTGAATAATGATTTCAAGGGATCCTTTTGCCTGTTGTATTGGGACTAGACTACAGGGGGCAAATATGTAATCTGGGAGATCAGTTAGGAAGTTAAGACAGTGAGCCAGGTGACAGAAGTCCTGTGTGTAGCAGTGGAAGTGGTCAGATTCTGGATGTATTTTGAAGGTGGTGTTGATAGGTTTTGCTGGTGGAGTGTGTGGTGTGAGAGAAAGAGAGAATTTCAGATGGGCTCCAAGGCTCCCCTTTATCCCCAGTAAACTTTGGGTTGAAATATGCACCCACAGAAGGAACTGTGCCATCTCTATGCAAGACCACATCCCTGCTAGGCTCTCTTCTGGTGATATGGTTTGGATGCCCCACCCAAATCTTATGTTGAGTTGTAATCCCCCATATTGGAGGTGAGGACTCGTGGGAGTTGTTTAGATAATGAGGGCAGATCCCTAACGATAGCTTGGGCTATCCCCTTGGTGATAAGTGAGCTCTCGCTCTGAGTTCTTGCGAGATCTGGTCATTTAAAGGTGCATGACACCAGTCCTGCCACCTGACTTTCTCTCTAGCTCCTGTTCTGGCTATGTGATGTGCCTGTGCTCTCATTGCCCTCTACCATGATTGGAAGCTTCCTGAGGCCTCCCCAGAAGCACTATGTTTCCTATATATCCTGCAGAACCATGAGAAAATTAAATCTCCTTTCTTATAAATTACCCAGTCTCAGGTATTTCTTCATAGCAGTCCAAGAATGGCTTAACATAGAAAATTGGTACTGAGGAGTGGAGAATTGCTATAAAGATACCTGAAAATGTGGAAGTCACTCTGGAGCTGGGTAATAGGCAGAGGTTGGAAGAGTTTGGAAGGTTCCGAAGGAGACAGGAAAATGAGAGAAAGTTTGGAACTTATTAGAAACTGGTTAAATGGTTGTGACCAAAATACTGACAGTGATATGGACAGTGAAGTCCAGGCTGATGAGGTCTCAGACAGAAATGAAGAACTTATTGGGAACTAGAGCAAAGGTCACATGTGTTATGCCTTACCAATGAGCTTGGCTGGATTTTGTCCATGCCCTAGAAATCTGTGGAAGTTTGAACTTCATAGTGATGATTTAGGGTATCTGGTGGAAGACACTTCTAAGCAGCAAAGTGTTCAAGAGGTGACCTGGCTGCTTCTAACAATCTATGCTCAATGTGAGAGCAAAGGAATGAGTTAAATTGGAAACTTATATTTAAAATGGAAGCAGAGCATAAAAGTTTGGAAAATTTGCAGCCTGGCCATGTGGCAGAGAGAGAGAAAAAAAAAGCTTTTTCAGGAGAGGAATTCAAGCAGGCTGTGGAGCAACCACTTGCTAGAGATATTTGCATAACTAAAAGAGAGCCAAGTGCTAATATCCAAGACAGTGGGGGAAAAGCCTTGAAGCCATTTCAGAGACCTTCCTGGCAGGCCCTCCCATCACAGGGCCAGAGGCCTAGGAGGGGAGATTAGTTTTTTTGGGCCAGGCCCGGGGCACTGCTGCCCTGAGGAGCCTCAGTACAGCACTCCCTGCATCCTGGCCACTCTGGCTTCAGCCACAGGGCCCCAGATACAGCTTGGGACATTGCTTCAGAGGGTATAAGCCATGAGCCTTGACAGCTTTGTTGTGGTGTTAAGTCTGTAGGTGCACAAATGCAAGAATGAAAGAGGCTTGGGAGCTTCCACCTAGATTTCAGAGGATGCATGAGACAGCCTGGGTGCCCAGGCAGAAGCCTGCTACAGAGGCGAAACCTTCACAGAGAACCTCTACCAGGGCAATGCAAAGGGGAAATGTGGGGTTGGAGCCTCCACACAGAGTCCCCAATAGGGCACTGCCTAGTGGAGCTGTGAGAAGGGGGCCACTTTCTCCAGACCTGAGAATGGTGGATTCACTAGCAGCTTGCACCCTGCACCTGGAAAAACTGCAAGCACTCAACTCCAGTCAGTAAGGGAAGCGATGGTGGCTGAACCCTACAAAGTCACAGAGGTGGAGCTGTCCAAGACCTTGGAAGCCCCCTTCTTGCACCAGTGTGCCTGAGATGTGAAACATGGAGTTAAAGGAGATTATTTTGGAGCTTTAAGATTTAATGACTGCTGTCCTGGGTTTTGAACTTGCATAGGGCTGGTAACCCCTTTCTTTTGGCCAATTTCTTCCTTTTGAGATGGGAATGTTTACCCAATGCCTATACTCCCATTGTAGCTTGGAAGTAAGTAACTTGTTTTTGATATTACAGGCTCATAGGTGGAAAGGCTTACCTTGTCTCAGATGAGACTTTGAACTTTTGAGTTAATGCTGGAATGAGTTAAGACTTTGGGGGACTGTTAGGAAGGCATAATTGTATTATTGTAATATGAGAAGGACATTTGTATTTGGGGGGGCCAGGGGTGCAGTAATATAGTGTGAATGTCCCACTCAAACCTCGTGTTGAATTGCAATTCCCAATGTTGGAGGTGTTTGGATCATGAGGGTGCATCACTTGTGAATGGCTTGGGCCATCCCCTTAGTGATAAGTGAGCTCTTGCTCTGAGTTCTTGTGAGATCTGGTCATTTAAAGTGTTTGGTACTTCCCCTCCCTCACCTCTTGTTCCCATTCTCACCATGTGATGCACCTGCTCCCTCTTTGCCTTCTGCGATAATTGGAAGCTTCCCAAGGCCTTCCCAGAAGCAGATGCTGCTATGCCTCCCATACAGCCTGTAGAGCCATGAGCCAATTAAACCTCTTTTCTTATAAATTACCAGTCTCAGATTTTTTTTAATAGCAGTGCAAGAATGGCCTAACATACCTGGCCTGCCTACTTTCCTCACCCCACTTCTCCTGAGCATATCCCCTCAATAAGCTATTCCACAAGGACCTCCATCTCAGGCTTTACCTCTAAGGAGCTCGGAGATGATAAACTTTCACAAAAGTAATACATTCATGTAACCATCACCCAGATCAAGAAATTGAAACACTGCCAGCTCTCTGGAAGTCCCCTGGTGCCTCTTCCCAAAGATTGTCATCAATCTGAATTATAAAACCATAGATTAGTTTTGTCTGCTTTTAAACCTTATTTATTTATTTATTAGAGACAGAGTCTTGCTCTGTCACTCAGGCTGGAGTGCAGTGGTGAGATCATGGCTCACTGCAGCCTTAAACTCCTGAGCTCAAGTGAATCTCCTTCCTTAGCCTCCTGTGTAGCTGGGGCTACAAGGGTGCACCACCACGCCCAGCTAATGCTCTTAAATTTGATATAAATGCAATAATACAGTATGTACTCTTTTGTGTCTGGCTTCTTTCACTTGAGATTATGGCATTCATTCATAATGTTGCTTGTCATGGTAATTCATTCTCCTTCATTGTTGTATAGTATTGAATTGTGTGAATGTACAATGCTTTCTTATCCAATTTAATGCTGATGAGCATTTTGGATTGTTTCCAGGTTTTGGGTATTACAAATAATAATCCTGTTAATATTCTTCTTGTATGTGTGTTTTGCTGCACATATGTAGGGTGTGTAAGGATGGAATTGCTAGGTCATAGCTGAAAAAATATGTTTAGTTTTTTTTTTTTTTTTTTTTGAGATGGAGTCTTGCTCTGTTGCCCAGGCTGGAGTGCAGTGGCACTATCTTGGCTCACTGCAACCTCTGCCTCCCGCGTTCAAGTGATTCTCCTGCCACAGCCTCCCGAGTAGCTGGGATTACAGGCGTGTGCCACCACATCCAGCTAATTTTGTATTTTTAGTAGAGATGGGTTTCTGCTAAGCATTTTTTCACAGTATTTGTCCTAATTACCCTGCTGCCAACATGTATGAGTATTCCAGTTGCTATACATAATTGGTAACATTTGGTATTGTCTGTTCTTTTTATTTCAACAATTCTGCTGGTATTTTAGCAATTCTGCTGGCAGTGTTTCACTATGGTTCTAATTATTGATTCCCTGATGATGAAAAAAGATTGAGCAGATTTTCATGTATATTGACCATTTGGAAGTGTTAACTTTTATAAAAATGCCTGTTCATGTCTTTTTTCCATTGAACAAAAATTGGGTTGCCTTTTTTTTGTTGATTTTTAGGATTTCATTGTGTATTCTGGACACAAGTCCTTTGATTATATACAACACAAATATAATTTCTCAGTTGGGATTGCCTGTCACTTTCTGAATGGTATTTTTTTTGTGGACAGAAGCTCTTATTTGTAATGTTATTATTTATTTCCTTTCGGGTTAGTAGATTTTGTATCCTGTTGAAGAAATCTTTGTTTAACTCATGATCCTGAAACTGTTCTACATATTTTTTTCTAGAAGCTTTATAGTTCTAAGGTCTTTGACCTGAGCAACTGGAAGGATAGAGTTGCTATCCACTGAGATAGGAAGATGGGGAGTATCAGTGTCTGAGTGGGGCTGTGGGGAATTCAGGTTGGGATATGTTAAGTTCGAGGTAAATATTGAACATCGAAGTGAAATTTCATATAGATGATTGGATCGATGAATTGGGAGTTCAGCAGTTAGGTTGTCATGAACACAATACTAAAACAGTATTAGAGAGGATGCCAAACACTGAGCTCCCAGGCTTGGCCATGTTAAGAGTTCTGGATGAAGAAGAACTGGAAAAGGAGACTGAGAGAGCCAAACCAGCAAAATGGGAGAACAGCGAGAAGACTGTGGTGTTCTGGAGGGCTGGTGAAGAAAGTGTACGTGGGAGAAGGGTCAGTGCTGTGTTGAATGTCGTGGACATGTCATGTAAAATGAGGACTGGAAATTGCACCTTGGATTCAACAACAGGGAGATGACTGGTGACATGATAAGAACAGTTTTGGAGGAGGGTGGGGAGGAAAGGCAGATTGGAGGAGGCCCAGAAGAGAAATGACTGGATTAAGAAGTCTGCTGCTGGTAGCTATGACTCTGTGAGAGCCCAGGCCAGGCATCAAGAGTGTAGAAGGGAGGGAGCTGCTAGTCCCAAGTGAGAGCAGCAGACACAGGAGTGAATCCGATAATCCTGCCAGACCCCAGAGCTGTTTTAATGAGCCAGCCCAGGTAGGTGGGTGCTTGCTGAGGAAGAGCTCCTGAGCAGACCCATGGGGGCTTGGAAGGGAGAGACAGCTTTATGGAAGTCCTGGGCCATGTCGAGTTCATAGGCACAGCACATAGTGCTCTCTATGCATTTCCCAGCTCATTTCCCCCTTTTGTTTCCTCCCTCCCGCTTCTTGTTCCTTCAGTGCAGAACTTTCAGCTTGGGGGTCCCTATTGCATCAGCTGTCCACATGTCAGGGTCTTCATTTAGTCTGTTTCCTATCCTAGAATCTCCCCCACGGCTTCCTCCTGACTGATTCCTACGTATCCTTCTCGTCTCAGTCAGGAAACACATCCTCTGGGAAGTCTTCCATGACCGTTTAACATCTAGCATCTGCCTCCGTGGCATTCCTCTAGGTGAGTTCAATGGTCTCTTTATCTGTGTATCTATAGCACTTGATGATGACCTTCTTATGGGCTGTGTCTCATGCTTATCCATTTCCGTCTCATGCACAATGACTGGCATAGGGTCCTCACAGGGTTTTAGCAGGGGGACTATGGAGGCCTTTGCATTAAGTGCAGGATGTGGACGGGCTACCAGGAGGGAGAATGGTATTCCGGGAGGAGAACAGTGTGAGCAGTGACTCAGCAATGCAGCCGTGTTGATCAGGGCATAGGTGGGAGCCTGAGAGCCAGGCCTGGCTGACGGTTTGAGGTGAGACTAGAAAGAGACAGTGATGGCTCAGTGGGTGCCGGCCACATCGGAGAGGCAGCAGGTGCGTGTGTACTTGCAAATGTAGCCGTTGAAGAGAGAAATTATGGATATCAAATCAAGCTAATTTACATGGATAAGTGCAACCAGTGAGGCTTGGTTTGTGGGAGCTGATTTATTTAGGGCAGGAGGAGATCCGGCAGGGAGCTCCCCTCAGGTGAGCGAGCGGCGGTGTGGCCACCAGTATAAATAATCCAGCTGTCAGCCCGAGTTAAAGCCTCTGTTACTCTGTTTACTGCTGGAGGAGGAAGCACCAGGGCTGTTTCAGAAACATTTTTTAGAGAGGTGGACCTCTCCCTTTTTTCTTTTCCTGGAACACTGGAGGACTAATCTTTTTTAAAGCAAGCTTGATTGCTTTTAATTCTAATTATAAAAGTGAAATGTGTTTAGTATAGAACATGTGAAAAATACAGAATGGTGTAAAGACAAGAATTAAAATAACTCTACGTCTACTGCCCAGAGATAACCACTATAAGCATGTTAAAAAATTTCTTCCAGTCTTTTTCTATGTTTAAGTGCAATTTTAATAGTATTCCAGCCTATGTTCTAATTTTTTAAAATTTAAGATGATATTTTTATCCTTTTCCTATCCCACTGATAGAAGATGACTGGAATAGTCTACCTTGTGGATGCACTGTACTTTATTTAGTCAGTCCTCAGTTAGTGGATGTCAGAACTATTTTCAATTTTTTGTTGTTATCAATAGTACTACGCAAAAAACATTGTTTATGAGTCATTGTCTATATCCTGGATTATTTAGAATAGCTTTCTAGAAGTCAGACTTTTCTTGCATATTGTCAAATTACTTTCCAGAACATTTGAGTGGGTGTGGACTTTTTTTTTTGTTTGCTGCTATAATCAATTTATACTCCTATTGGAGATCATTGGGAATGATCATCTCATGGCACTGGATATTACTATTAAAAATGTTTGATGGCCATTTGTATTTTTATGTAGTAATCTATATTCTTTGTTTTAATTTTTTTTTGTTGCTAAGTCTGATCTCTCCATATAACATAAAAAGGATAGTTTAATTATATCCTTATTTTATTTTATTCCCGTGTATAATTTGCCTTTTTGTTTACAATGGGGTTTTTGACATGCGCAGACTTTAATTTTACATGTAGAAAAATTTCTTTCTCTTTCTTGCCCTTATGCTTAGACAGTATTTTCTACTACAAATAGTAATTTAAGATATAGGCAAAGACTTAGAAAAAAATGTTTTTTTTTTTTTTTGCTGTAGGATTATTGACAAGAACAAATTAATGATTTACTTACATCTATTTTACTTATTTTATGATTTCATATGATTTATGAATGATAAAATTAATCCATCTGATGTTTACTTTGATGAAAATTATTTGTTTTCAATTATTAACCACATACTTAACCAAATGTCCCAAATAATCTTTTTCTGGGTGCTTACTGATGACCTCTATTTAAAAAATAAATTTGTATATATGTGTCATTCATTTACATACTTGAATTTGTCTGTGAACTACATATCAATTTTCTCATCAGCTCCATGCCATTTAATTGCTGTAGTTATAGTCAGTTTTAATACTTGTCACAGCAAGTTCCTTGTATTACCCTTATTTTAATAACGCTTTTGGGAGATTATTGTATCTTGATTTTTACTGATGACCATTTGAATCACTTAGTTAAACTTTAAGGAAAAAAAGTTTCCCCTGGCATTTTGATTGGAGTTATACTAAATTTATAAAGTGTTATGTGAAGAACTGACTTCTTTACAAGATTCAGCTTTCCCACCCACAGGTATACTCTCTTTACTCAAGTTTTCTTTTGATAGGGATTGTTATTTTATTTATACAGAGTTGGGGGCCAGCCTGGTTCACCTGGAAGATGGGAACAGGGAACAGATGTGCTGGGAAGGCAGAGAGAGGCTGGGTAGCAGCTTGTCCCCATCTGTCCTTGCCTTTGACCCTACCTCTCTCCCCAGGAGCCCCACGTGGAGCCTCCTAAGTGGGGCACACTGGCTTCTGCCCAGAGGCTCAAGGCTGCCCATGCCTGATCTGGAAGCCTATAGCAGCCATGCTTCTCTTTCTAGATTGTTTTTGCTGCTCATGTCTTATTTCCACTCTCTTCATTTCTGATGATTTATCTGGCTTTGGATTTATGGTTTTGCATAGCTCTGGGGAGACAGGCGGAGAGCAGATACTCTTTCATGGTGGAAGAATATTACCATAGGTGTGAGGCTTGATTGGGTACACAGCCTGTTCAGCTGGCGAATGCAAGGCCTCATGGCTCAATATGATGCCCAGCAAGGATCTCTTGGCTCTCAGTGCCACGTAACACAAATCAAGAACCCACTTTATTCCCTGGCCACAGTCTATCATCTAAATGTTTGGGCGACCCTTTTGGCTTCTCTATCTTGAGATAAAGCCAGAGTTGTACCTCTTAGCATTTGTATGTGTGATGTGTGTGTGTGTGTGTGTGTGTGCGCGCGTGCATGTGTGTGTTTTGGCTTCAGAAGCTCTGTCTAGACAGCCTGAAACTTTGAGCCTGGATATCCTCTGGTTCTCACCCTTCATTACCTGCACCGTTTCTTTCCCTAGCTACGTTCTCTTTGAGTCTTCCTGGAGCAAAGAGGTCAGTCTCACTGGAGCTGAGGGCTTGGATTGGAAGGGAAGAGTAATAAGTTGGACACATTGGGTGCAAAGGTCATTCTGGTCCTGGAGGTTGTCTCGAGACAGAGGATGGTTCCAGGGGGCATCCAGGGGCTCAAATTTCAATCCTGGAATTCCAGGTGGACAAGATCTTAACTTGTCAATTTGATTAGACCCCAATGTGCCAGAAGTGTCTCCAGCTCCTCTTACACTCTAGACATCCTCCTTATCTTGATCTGGGTTGGGGGAATTTCCCAGTACTTGTCCTGGACCAGAAAGACCTGCACTTCCTGCCAGCTACCTCCAGCCTGCCTCAATCTGGGTGTCGGCTCCTCACCTTTCACTCAGGCCCCTGGGGACCGGCCATCTTTGGGATGGTGACTGAGATGGCTCTCCCTGCTGGGCAGTGACTCTCCTTAGGGTTTCCTGGTCTTGACGAGAGGAAGGAGTTGCAAGAGGAAGACAAGAGCATAATGAAGTGCCTCGGGTCGGTTTCTCCAAGTTCTTATCACTCCCAAGAAAGTTTCTTTTCTTTTCTTTTTTTTTGTGATGGAGTCTCACTCTACTGTCCAGGCTGGAGTGCAGTGGTGTGATCTGGGCTCACTGCAACCCCTGCCTCCCTGGTTCAAGCAATTCTTGGATTCTCGTACCTGAGCCTCCTGCATAGCTGGGACTAAAATCACACACCATGACATCTAGCTAATTTTTTTTTTTTTTAAAGTAGAGACAAGGTTTTGCCATGTTGGCCAGGCTGGTCTCAAACTCCTGACCTGGGGTGATCTGCCCACCTTGGCCTCCCAAAGTGCTGAGATTACAGGTGTGAGCCACCATGTGCAGTCCCAAGAAAGTTTCTCAAAAGGGTTTGCCCCCTTTGAGAAGCAGAAGCAAAGAACTTCTACAGGCAAAGGGGAGGGAGATGAGAGAGAAAGGAGAAAGTTTACTGCTATTTCTTGCCTTTCTTATCTAGAATGCAAATTTCTGGATTTGCATGGCTCTCTTTTTCAAGGAGGAACACTTAGTCCTCTGCCCACCCATCTCAGCCCCACCAGGCCATGCTGTCTGTAGCCTGGCAACACTTCCTTGGGTCCTCAAACCCCGCCTTTCACCTCCTGCTTTTCTCTTGCCATGCACCCGACACCTGAAGGCCGCCTCACCTCTCTTCTCCCTCCCAAGAGTTGGGTTCCTTGTCAAAGTCACGCAGAATTGTCTAATTATAACAGATTAATCCATTAGGATTTATGCCTTTCTGTTTATTGGCTGGAACTATCCATTTCACAGCTGCGGCTCCCACATCTAACCAGCTAGCAGGCGATTTAAATATAGAAAGCAATTTAACCTAGTTGGATACCAAGGCATCTCGCTTAATGTAGTGCATAAATTTCGGAGCTCTTTGCTCTCAGTCCTCAAAAGGGCAGCCAACAGTTTCATGTCCTGAAAAGATTTGGCTTTTCGGGGAATTTACACCCCGAGAAGGGACCCTGGGTCTTGGCTGAAAGAAAGGAGTCTTTTCAAATGAGGTCAGGGGTTGTTTGCAGGTCAATTCAGCTTTTCTTTTTTTCTTCCTCTTGTGGGGAAAATGATGTTTTCCTTGACTGAGCTTTTTTGGAGCCTGACATCCAAAGGATGGAGGGTGTTTGCGTTTTCTTCTCTCCTTTTAATTTTCATGTACTGCCTGTTTGAGGAAAGTGGTTTTCCCACATTGTGCCAATAGTCAGGGTCACCCTGCCTGCTAAGACTTTGCCATCCAGGTGACACCATGCTCAATCTTGGTTCTCCTAGCTTCACAGCACCTGGCTTATAGTAGGGCCCCACCTAATGTGTGCCATGGCTGGGAAGAAAGGTGGAGGCAGGAGGCCACGAGAACTTGCAAACCCAACTGTAAACCCCAAACTGGAAGCAACAGTGCAGACTTGAGAAAATCCTTTTGGTATGTACGACTGCAAGGCCACCCCCCTTTCAGGGAGGAGAAGAGCAGAGAGGGAGATCTTGCTGAGACAAGAGAACACTAAGAGGAATGAGATGCAAGTCTCCAAGTGCCTGAAGAGCTTCCACAAAATGGGATTGGATTTTTTAATTTTCTTTTCTGCAGGGCCTCAGAGGGCACAGCTAGCAGGCTAAGGGATGGAAGTTATAGGAATAAAGAGTTGTAACTAACTTATTTGTAGGACAAACTTTGCATTGATCAAAGTTGAAAAAAACTTTTTAATGGAACTCTCAAAGAGGTAACAAACTTCCTACCAGTATTTATGCTTAAGCAGAAGTTAGCTATGGCTGGGAGCTGTAGTGGACTTGAGAACCAGACAGGTCTAGGAGACCTTGAAGAGGTTGTCCAACAGAGATTCTGTGATCATGTATCCAGCTTCAGGAATCCATGGACCTGAAATGCAGTCTGTTTTATCCACTCCCTTGGGCAGATGGGAAAAGAAAACCATAGGCTTTGAAGAGGGTGGTGGGAACTTGCTTAGCGCAGAGTCCCTGAGCCAAGAGCGTGAATGCAGTTCGCCTTGGTTCCCACTGCTTGGATTCAGTTCTTCCCCAGGGCAAGATGGCGATTGCAGTAGCAGGGATGGGGTGTCTGCTATTTTCCTAGAGCTTCCATAACAAAGTACCTCAGATCAAGTGGCTTTAATCACAGGAATTTATCGTCTCCCAGTTATGAAGGCTAGAGGGCTGGAACCAAGATGTCGCAAGCCCAATGCGTCCTCTGACGGTGCTAGGGAAGGATCTGTTCCAGGCCTTACTCCAGCTCCTGGTGGTTTCTTGGCTTGTGGCAGCAGCACTCCAATCTTCACAGGGCATCTCCCTGTATGTGTGTCTCTACAAAATTTCCCTTTTTTCATATTGGATTAGGGTTGTACCCTACTCCAGCGTGAGCTCACCTTAACTAATTACATCTGTAACAACCTTATTTCCAAATAAGATCCCAGTCATATTGGATTAGGGGTCTACTTTATCCCAGTGTGATCTCAACTAATTACATTGGCAACGACCTTATTTCCAAATAAGATGCCACTCTGAGATACCGGAGGTGTTAGAATTTCAACATATAAATTTTGGTGAAACGCAATTCAACTCATAACAAGGTATGAAAAGATGGGCTATAGAATGGTTGGTTTGATTATAGGACCCAGCAGAGGTTTCAGATGGTTTTGATAGGTGTGAAACAACTCTAAATTGTTCCAGTCTGAGCCACTCACTCCCCCATCAATCTGCTCTATGTAAAGCCCCAAGCAGGTATTTCCTTTTTTTTTTTTTTAAACTCTAACAGTATTTGAAGTGGGCATCACAGTTTAGCCCTTAATGACAGTCCTTATACTAGTGTTTTGTTCCTGCAAAGAAACTACTACTGAGCACTTAATATAGAAGAAGTATGTGATCTATACAATATCTCAATTAGCCATGACTCTGTGAAATAGTATCAATCCCATTTTGCAGGTGAAGAAATAGATGTTGAGAAGATATTTGGTAACATGCTGAAAGCCACACAGCTAGCAGCAGCAGAACGGGGATTTGGACCCCTGTCTATTTGGCTGTAAAGTTCATTTTCTCTCCGATATACCAGGTAACTCCCAAACTTGTTCATAAGCTTTTCAAGAGAACAGACTTCTCTTACATTCCACTCACTACCAGGTTGATTACAATTTGCTGTAGGCATTCCTTCAGTTCCTTGTGGTGAAATGCCCAGGTGCTGCTAGCTGATCTCTAAGCCCCCTTTTAGCTCCTCTGCTTCATGGTGAATAATCTCCTTTTTTGACTAATGGATTGGTTTACTTTGAATCAGAAATTTGGTGATTATGTACAGAGTTGGTATGTAATAGAGCACCAGTACGGACGTGGAAACGGCTCAATGCTGGGTGTCCTGCCTCCCGGGTAACTGTATCCTGGGCTGGGTCCTCTACTTTGAGCTCTTTTTTTTGTTTTTTGTTTTTTTTTTCAGCTTTATTGAGGAATAGTAGACAAATAAAAATTATCTACATTTAAAGTATGAAACCTGATATTTTGATATGCAGATACATAGTGAAATGATCACTTCTGTCAAGTTAATTAACATACACCACCTCACATAATTATCTCTCTCTCTCTCTTTTTTTTTTTTGGTAGTGAGAACAGTTAAGATCTACCTTCTTAGCAAATTTCAGTATATAATACAATATCGTTAAGTATAGTGCACCACGTTGTCCATTAAACCTTCAAAACTTATACATCTTGCATGACTGAAACTTTGTACCTTTGACTAGCCCCTCCCTGTTTCTCCCTCTTCCTGTCCCCTGGCATCTCCTTTCTACTCTGTGTTTCCATGAGTTTGCCTTTTTTTTGTTGTTTTTGAGATGGAGTCTCGCTCTGTCACTCAGTCTGGAGTGCAGTGGTGTGGTCTGGGCTCACTGCAGCCTCCGCCTCCTGTGTTCAAGCAATTCTCCTGCCTCAGTCTCCCGAGTAGCTGGTATTACAGGTGCCTACCACCATGCCTGGCTAATTTTTGTATTTTTAGTAGAGACGGGGTTTCACAGTGTTGGCCAGGCTGGCCTTGAACTCCTGACCTCAAGTGATCTGCCCACCTCGGCCTCCCAAAGTGCTGGGATTACAGGCGTGAACCACCAAGCCCAGCCTAGTTTGACTATTTTAGATCCCACATGTAAGCGAGATCATGCAGTATCTGTCTTGCTGTGTCTGGCGTACTTCACTTAGCATAATATCTTCCAGGTTCATGTGTGTTGCCACAAATGGCAGGATTTCCGTCTTTTTAAAGGTTAAATAATATTCCCCTGTGTTTACACACCACATTTTCTTTATGCACCCATTAATGGACACTTACACTGTTTCTATATCTTAGCTATTGTAAATAGTTCTGCAGTGAACATGGGAGTGGAGATATCTCTTTGACATACTGATTTCATTTTCTTTGGATATATACCCAGTAGTGGGATTGCTGGCTCATATGGCAGTTCTGTTTTTAATTTTTTGAGGCACCTCCATAGTGTTTTCTATCATGGCTATACTAATTTACATTTTCACCAACAGTGGTAAAGACTCTTTTTCTCCATATCCTTGACAGCACTTGTCTTTTGTCTTTTTGATTAGCCATTCTAAGGGGTATCAGGTGGTATCTCATTGTGGTTTCGATTTGCATTTCCCTGATGATTAGCGAGGCTGAACATTTTTTTCATATGCCTGTTGGCCATTTGCATATCTTCTTTTGAGAAATGTTTATTTAGGTTCCCACTTTTTAATTGGGTAATTTGTTTGTTTGTTTGTTTGTTTTGCAACTAAGTTGTATGAGTTCCTTATGTATTTTGGATAATATATCTATTCCTATTCTCTTAGGACCTATTTAACAAGCAGACAGTGTATCAGGTCAGTAGGTCAGGACACCTTCCATGGGGATGCTTACACTTACATGCTTGCTCTGACTGTATTAGCTACAAACCTGCCCTTCCTATGTAGCAGATTTCATGACACAGAGGAGGTGGGTTTTGCTTTAGGTTGCCTGTCTCAGATGATCAATATTTATTGAGCATGGATCATGTGCTGGGTGCTGGGCTATATATTGGTGGGGGCCAGAGAGACTGATACATGCTTGATAAGCACATGAAGAGATATTATAATTTGAGGAATAACAAGGTCGGGATAGGTACTGGATTTTATGTGAGCACTTGGAGAGGCTGGGGCTTCAGGAAGGACTCCAGGAAGAGATGCAGCTGGCGTTGAATCTTGAAGAGTAAGAGTTAGCCAAGACCAAGCCACAGAAAATAAAACAAAGAAACAAAAGCTGCCAACAAGTCCTGCAGAGGGAAGAGTATATGCAAAATCATGGATGCATAAAGCAAGGTGTGTGTGTGTGTGTGTGTGCGCGCACGTGTGTGGTGTTTTTTTTGTGTGTAAGTGGATTGGAATTAGAGGATAAAATGCTGGAGATGAGATGAAATAGTTGACAAATCATGGAGACTGGTCAATACCAGGTCAAGGGGCAAAGACTTAATTAGTCATGTAGATGACAGAATCACTGAAATGTTTCAAGCAGAGGAGTAACAGGGTCAGAATCACGTCCTCTAGAGAGCTGACTATGTGGAGGATTTCCTGATGGAATTTCTGGAGCCTCGCTGATCTGCTCCATACATGTTGCTGAAGGAGTTACTCTGGAGCTCAGGGGAGGGTTACTTCTTGGTGGTTTGCAGGACAGCTCTGCCTGCCTCCCAGGTAACTGCAGTGCCAGAGGGGAGGGAGGCATTCCCTGACCTCGTAGCTGGGTTTTTGAACTCATTTTCTTTTGGAGGTTTAGAGTTCTCTGCTCCTGAGTACATTGTGAACTGTTGAGAGCTGCTGTAGGGTAGGAGGAATGGTGTGTGTGAGTGTGTGTATGCGTGTGAGAGCATGTGTGTGTGCACCCGTGCATATGATCATCCCCAACAGTGAGCTTGGCATTAACCAGTCAATACAGTATCTGGTTACTGTCTCTTCTTTCTCTATTCATTTAGCATCTATTGCAGTGCTGATTGCATTGTACCTATAATCTTTTTCTGTCTATTCTACTTAACAGTGGGCAGAGACTGTCATCTTTATTTCACAAGTAATCCCTGAACATAATAGATGTTCAGTAAATATTTGTGAAGTGAAAGGGTAAATGGAAGAATGAGGGTTCCTGTGCTCCCTGGCACAAGACCCTGCCCTGGGATCAGCAGAGAATGCCAAAGAAGGCAACATGTCCTGACTATGCCTGTGCCAGGTGGGAAGCCGAGGGCATTAAAAGGCCTTAAGTAGAGGGTCAGGTCTTTGATTAGTGCATTGACTCTTTAAAGGGAGACTATACTATGAAAACTGTGGTACTTACAGGAAGGTCGCATCTCAACAAGGCTTCAGGGTGGATCCCTGCTTGTCCCTGACAGCTAGGTCTTGGGCATAGTCACCAGGCTTCCTAGTTGCCACAAATTACAGGAAAATCACAGGTGGGGTGTGGCACAGGCTTTTATGGGTCCTTTCCTTTGGACCTTATTGACTGTCTTCTTTTAAGTACAGGCCATGCTCCCCTCTCTGACATAGCGGGCACTGGCAGCTGGCAAATCCAATTAAAAATGCTGAAGCATGTACTGTAATTACAAAAAAAGATATGCATGCATCTTAAGCATTTTGCCTTAGTTTAAAATATATACATGTGTACTTATTTGCCAATCCTTTGGGGAGGGGTCAAAGCCTATTCTTGGAGTATGAGTCTCCTAATCAGAGTTTCCGTTCATTGTTCTTGGATCAACCATGCCTGTGATTCATTATCTAAGAACTCTGGTTTTCTTTAAATCCCGGGTTTCTTTAAAGTAAAATAAGAACATCAAGACCCATGCAAAGCAGTATAAACGCAGAATTCTAAATTTTTTATAATTATGCCCACCACTTTCCCACCCTGCTCCCCAAGCCCCAGTCTGTTTTAGTGGTCTCACCCACACATTATTTAACACCATTTTAAATGACTTGCCTTTATCAAGCCTTTCCAAAGCATTCAATATGGTGTACTTAGAATCACCAGCCTTCTTTTCATTTGTGATTGCATTTACAGCTTATTGCTTTGCATAATATTTAATCTAGATGCATAATCAACAATAATAAGTATAATTGGCAACAGACTCCTGATAAGCAGACAATTTGCTGCTGGGAGAGGGGTCCAGGCTATCTTGGAACTAGCCCAGTGATTTCTGTCCTCAGCAGGCTAGGACCCCATCAGTAAGGTAAAAAGACATCTGCTCCACACCCTGTTTTTTCAGTGACTTCAGGACTGGCTGCCTTTGCTGCTCTCTTCTTCTCCAGTCTGTTAGTCTGTCATAGGTGGGGGATTGGGACCAGTGCTTTCTGAGCTCCCCTTAGTTCTAGAGTAGACTTCTGGGCCCCCACAGGAAATGCTTCTAATTTCTCCTGCCTCCTTCTTTTACCTGCCTCTACCAGACTTCCTAAGTCCTCCCCAAGGTCCCTGCAAATGTTTCCATGTATAGGAAATCCCAGATCTCTCTTGATTTCTTATAAGCCACGTAGATATGGGATGGATTCCCAGCTTCGTCACACAGCAGGGTGTGACCTTGGCCATCATACTTAACTTCTTTTAGCCCATCACACCTATCACATCAGTTTATTGTTGTATTAAATTAAATGAAGTTCAACGTGTTATAATAATAGCTAGCATTATTGAGTGCTTACTGTGAACCAGGACAAGCTTTACATGGGTACTCCATTTCATTTCTGCAATGACACTATGAGCTAGGTGCTACTGATCTCAATTTACAGCAGAGGAAATGGAGAGTGAGGCAGTCTACAATATCTTTTAAAATCTAGGTGGAAGAAGCCACGCTACCACAACTCTTGCATTCTGTGTGCCTGCAAAATTAGCACCATGTGAATGCCGCCAGAATTTATGGCTTGTGCCTTCTGGAGTGATGGGTTGAGCAGCACTTGGGCCCATTTGAGTTATGGCTGGGGCAGCCAAGGAGCACTGCATCCAATGTGAGGAGCAGTGACCCAAGGCAACTCTGGGCAGCAAGTCTATGGAGGGTACCATTGACACACCCCCCCAGATCATTCTGCCCACCTTGAATTTTGAGCCTTGATGAGAGGAGCAGATTTAAAGATCTCTCAAATGTTTCTAGGGTCATTCTCCCATTGTCTTGATGATCTCTTATCTCCACACTAATCTTCTTAGCAAATGGTCAATTGCCACACCCTTAGTTTGTACTCCTGAACACTGTTTTTTATTCTTTATCTGATCAGGCTGGAAATTTTTGAAATCTTCCTATGCTGCTTCTCTTTTAATTATAACGTTTGTCTTTAAGTTACTTCTTTCCTCTTGCATCTTACTTAGGCAGTTAAAGTAGCCATGCAGCTCCTTCAGCTTTTTGCTTAGAAATTTCTTCTGACAAATACCCTAGTCTATCACTTTTAAATTCTGCTTTCTATAAAGCCCTCAGGTATAGACATAATTCAGCCAAGTTCTTTGCAACTTTATAGGAAGGCTAGCCTTTACTCCATTTTTCAGTACCTGTTTCTCATTTTCATGTGAGACCTCATCAGAATGGCTTTTACTGTTCATATTTCTCCCAAAATTCTGATTCGGACCACTTAAATAATCTCTAAGAAGAGTCAGACTTTCTCCACAGTGCTCCTCATCTTCTGAGCCCTCACCAGAATCATGCTTAATGCTTGTTTACTGAAGTCCATGTTTTTTCTAGCATGCTTCTCCAAAATCTTCCAGCCTCTACCCATCACCCAGTTCCAAGCTGCTTCCACATTTTCAGGTATTTGTTATAGCAACAATTCCATTCCTGGTACCAATTTTCTGTCTTAGTCCATTTCTCTTGCTATAACACAATATTACAGACTGGATAATTTATAAAGAATAGAAGTTTACTTGGCTCATAGTTCTGGAGGCTGGAAAGTCCAAGAGCATGGTGCTGACATCTGGCGAGGGCCTTCATGCTGCATCATCCCATGGTAGAAGGTAGAAGGGCAATAAAGCATGGGAGCCAGGGACAGAACAAGAGGGAGCTGAACTCATTTTATTTATTTATTGTTTTAAGAGACAATCTCCCTCTGCTACCCAGATTGGAGCATAGACAATGTATCATAGCTCACTGCAGCCTCAAACTCCTGGTCTCCAGTGATCCTCCCACCTCAGCCTCCTGAGTAGCTAGGATGACAAGTGTGCGCCACCACCCCCACCTAATTATTTTATATTTTGGAGAGATGGAGTGTCACTATGTTGCCGAGGCTGGTCCTGAACTCTTGGCCTCAAGTGATCCTCCTGCCTCAACCTTCCAAAGCTCTGGGATTACAGGTGTTAACCACCATGCCCAGCCTGAACTCATTTTTATAACAAGTCCACTCACGTGATTACTAATCTACTCCTGGGGTTACATTAATCTATACATTGGCAGAGCCCTTACAGCCTAACCACCTCTTAAAGGTCTTACCTGTCAATACTGTTGCATTGGGGATTAAGTTTCCCCCAGGAAACTTAAGTTCCAACATGAACTTTGAGGGAAACACTGAAACCATAGCAAGGTTTTTTTGAACTTTCTGGAAAGAGACAATCTGCAACCCTCCTATAATTATCTCTGTGGCTCACCACACTTTTGGTGCAGTAGAACGTATTCTAATGTCTATGTTGTTAGACACCATATCCCTAGTTTATAGAAACTGAAATTGCAAGTAAAACTCTATTTGCCACAACCAAGATGTAGTGAAAAAAGGTGCCGTGGGATTAGGAAGATCTCCGCTCACATTCCAGCCCTGCCATTTTCCAGCTGTAGCACCTTAAACAGATTAATTAATTTCTTTGCTTCTCGGTTCCTTATCTGTAAAGAGGCATAATAATATCTACTTTGCAGGGTTGTTGTGAGGATTAAATGAAAGTGACACTGCTCGGCAGATAGAGGGCAATCCACTAAGGGCCTTTTATTTATAATTCATTCATTTAATAAGGGTTTAATGAAAACCTATGATGTGGCCAAAACTATTCAAGGAGCAGAAGATACTGTGCCTACCTGTAGGAGATGGCTCTCTAACTGGGAAACGTGCTGAGTGCACATGAGGCTGTTGAGTCCCATCGCCAGGTGGCAGAGCCCTAGTGCTGGAGCAGTGGGTGTAGAGATCAATTCTGTGACAGCTGCCCTTGTCCAGATGGAGACTTCCCTGAGGAGGACAAGGTGGAGGAGATATTGTTGGGACCTGAAGGAGAGGAGAAGCCAACGTGACCACTTGGAACAGGGCCCCTCTGGACTTCTGGTCCCCTTTGCCTGTTGCTTGGCGTGACTAGAGTGTTGAAGAGACTGGAAGAGGTTGGAGGTAAAAGTTGTGGGCTTCAGTGTGTCCTGAATGCCAGGCTGAGAGCAGATCATGGTGCTAAGACAGTGCTGACAACCCAGCCAGGGAAAGCGTTTGCTTGGAGGGGCTAGTTGTCACCACCAGATCAGCCATCTTTGCTGCTGTGAGGCGTTTGCAAGGAAAGGCAGCTGGTTCTTTCATCACCAGAATGTGCAGCATGTCCCTGTGTCTCTAGCCTTTGCTGGGGCACCAAAACAATGCCAGTGACACAAAGAGATGAGCAGCGCAGTCATCCTTCTTGGCTCATTTCTGGACAAGTCTCCAGTTCTGCTACCAGTATCACCGGATCTTTTAAGAGAGAGGCTCCACCTTGGGGATCCCCCAGCTCTTGGCATCTTCAGCCAGGAGGCCAGAACAGCTCCTCCAGGGACCGATGGTTAGTAGACATGCCATCCCTGTGAGAGGACTACTGCAGCCACCATGCCAACAGGCTCCTTGTTGCTGACACAGACCGGCAGTCTCCCTTTCCCCCGCCTCCAGGTTCTGTGGCAGCTGTTTAGTGACCATAGATCCCTTTGTGCTTAGTGTTTTCCAGGTTAATTAATCCAATTATTATCATCACTATAGTTTATAGTTAGGCACACTGTGCAATTATATCATCCATTCTGCATTATTGACGTGCAATTCGCCAGCCAAAGACAATTATTAATTCTTACCCTGTCGGGTTGTATCACACATAAACATGATGCATCCTCAGTCCCGATGCCTGGGTGGTTATCCAGTGTTTTGGGATCCCTGCTTGGGTCTGGGCTAACTGTTGTTAGAGAGCCATCCAGTGAGCATGAGTGGATGCCTCTCATTGAGGGGAGGTCTCTTTGGGCAAGACCAGGTAGTAGCAACATCCTCAGCTGAACTGGGAAGAGGAGCATGTGCCTCTGGTCCCAGCCTTCCTATCCAGGCCTTTCCTCCATGGGCAGGCCCATTGGTGTCCTCAGAGATCCAGCTGTGTTCTCCCCAAACCCTAAGGCCCTTCAGCTCTGGTACTTCAAAGGGCTTAGGAGCATCCAGGCCAGCATTACCTTTGTGTGTGTTATCAGCTCTGTGCCAGGAACTTCACATATGCTCTCACTGAATCATCACATCAATCCCACAGGGTAGAATTATTATTCACATTTTATTTATTTTTATGTGTTTATTTTAGGGACAGGATCTCTCTCTCATCCTGACTGGAGTACAGTGATGACATCCCAGCTCACCGCAGCTTCGACTTTCCAGGCTCAGGTGATCCTCCCACCTCAGTCTCCTGGGAGACTACAGGTGTGTACCACCACTCCCAGTGAATTTTTTGTATTTTTGGTAAAGACAGGGTTTCACCATGTTGCTTAGGCTGGTCTCAGACTCCTGGGCTCAAGTGATCATCTCGTCTTGGCCTCCAAAAGTGCTGGACTACAGGCATGAGCCTCGTCACCTGGCCCATTCCCATTTTACAAATGAGGAAGTTGAGGCTTGGAGAGACTTAGGGACTTTTGAAAGAATTGTGGTGATGAGCTGCACCCCAGGTGGCTTTGCTTCAAATACAACACCTTCTTAGCATAAAGAAAAGAATCACATTTTATAAAGAATAAAGGGAGATGGGCATTTGAACCTGACTTGATGTGAAAGGGAAGAAGAATTAAAGAGGACTGTCAGCATTAACTGGCAGGGGACAGAGAGATAAAGGCGCTCAGGCAGTAGGGCCTCTGGATTCCTGGAGCCACGTGTGCGTAAGCCATGCCGGCTTTCACATGTGTGGCTGTGACAGCCCCTCCCGCCAGGCTGCTGAGAAGAAGGCCCTGTGTGTAGTGAGCCAGGTCTGGAGGCTTGTTCACATGTGACCCCTGACGGCAGCGTGGGACTTCCGGGGAGATGAGGATGTGCCAGGGCAGAGGCAGGCCCCCCACAGGGACTCTTGTGTCCTTAAGCACTCATGGTGTCTAGATGGTGTGTGAGACACTCTTGACTGGGGACGTCTGGCTTTTGGAAGGTCCATGGGGAGTACAGGATGAAGCCACCCAGACAGACTGTGTCCATCTCCCTGCATTCTGCTCTGCCTGCCCCCCTCCTATCTAAGCCAGGTGAGGCCAAAGTGAAACGACAGTGTAGGGAGGCTTCAGAAGGAAAACTGGTGTGAAAGGGCTGCTTTCTGCCTGGGGTGGGGGCAGCTGGGGGCTGAGGAAGGTTGACTTCTTATGTTTGGGTTGTGTTGATACAAGAGTCAGGGCTGTCCTCTGTCCTCGCCTTCCCTCTCTGCTGTATTCTTCATGTTTTTAAATTTTCTGTGTTTTATGATGTTTTGACGTCTTGCAGGGGCCTTGTCAGCTGGGGAGAGATGGCTTCCCCCAGGGCCAGCTGATTCCTAGACAGGGTAAACATCTTGCCTATGAACACACCCTTCATGCCCCAACCAGCCATTCCTGAGCCCATCCTCCTAATCATCTCCTTTATCTAACTCTTCCCCACCCAGCAATATTTCCCTACCCTGAAGCACTCCAGGGTCAGGTACCAAGCAGCTAGGGACCACCCTTATACTCAGAGCCCACTGACATTATTCAGAGGAGCCAGCCTGAGGCCTGCCCACCCTGCCCCACCTTGTCTTCCCAAGAGCCTTGTGATAGAGGCATGGCCTCTGCTTTCCCCGTGCTGGCTTCTGCCTCCTGCCTGATTCAGGTGCTTGCCTGCGTGGCCGTGGCTGGTGATGCCTCCCGTTTCTAGGGGAGTTGGGAATAATAATAAAATCTTTCAGTGGTATTAGTTTCTGTGTGCCATCACTCAGTCACCTCAATTAAGATCTTGCAGGTACATTTTAATACAACTGCCATCAGGGCAGCCCAGATTCATGGTCCCCAGCACAGCCCTGTGGGGGCCTTGCCAGGGCTGGTCACACCTGGGGGTGGCTGACTGTGGCCACTGTGAGAGGATGGCACACATTCCGTGGAGAGGATGAGATAAAGGTTCCAACCCTTTCCAGCTTGTTTGGAAAGTCAGAGCAGCACATCCAATTCTTTTTTTTCTTGAGAGGGGGAGTCTTGCTCTGTCGCCCAGACTGGAGTGCAGTGGTGCAATCTCGGCTCACTGCAACCTCCACCTCCTGGGTTCAAGAGATTCTCCTGCCTCAGCCTCCCATGTGGCTGGGATTACAGGCGCACACCACCATGCTTGGCTAATTATTGTATTTTTAGTAGAGATGGGGTTTTGCCATGTTGGCCAGGCTGGTCTCGAACTCCTGACCTCAGGTGATCTGCCCGCCTTGGTCTCTGAAAGTGCTGGGATTACAGGCGTGAGCCACCGTGCTGTACACACCGTGCTGACACACCCAATTCTGTGTGTACTTTTCAAGAGGTTTGGAGACACCAGACGAGGCCATCCCACAGTAGGTGTGGGTGCCACCCGGGAGCCTTTGGGAGTGAGGAGAAAAGGGAGGATGACTCAGAGTGTGAAGGGAGTAAAGGAGGAGAAGCTGTTTCCCAATGCAGCTCAGGGAAGCAGAGGCAGTGCCCAATGCCTCAGTTTTTCCATGTGCTAAACGGGGGTTGGTGTATTTGCTCCTTTACATCACAGGATTTAAGCCTGCAGGGTCAGGGAGGGAACTCTGAGTCTGGGTGGAAGCTCTTTAGAAAGTCCTGGAATGTCATCATGCTTCGCCCTGGGACAGGCAGCCTGGAGACAGGAACATCAGGGGTGGGGATCAGGAGGTGGCTGGAGTCTTCAGTCAGAAGGAGGAATCATCCATTTCTGCACAGTTCAGTGGCATGTTCTGGGTCTCCATGGACCCGGCCAACTGGTTAAAGGAAAATGATTTCCCTGTGGCATCATTTTCAAAAGGAGGATGAGGAAAACTGAAAATTGCAGTAATGATAATAATGATAAACACAATATAAATAAATTAGAGAATAAATAGTAGTGGTTTGCAGAAATAGCAGTTGCAAAGCCCCAGGCTGGTTCCAGGACCCAGATGATGGGTTATTGCAGCTGCTGACCTTGGGGATGGTGCTGCCACTGATCGGAGAAGTGGCAGGGGCATTTCCTGTGGCTTCTGTGGGGGTTCTGGTCTCTGCTGTCCTCTCCACACTTCTGTAGCTCTGCCTAAGCCTCTGGGGACTTCTCAGCTTGGCTCAAGGCCTGGTCTGGCTTGGTGGGTGGGGACTTAGACCCTGGGTTAAGCTCTGGCTCGGGAAAACCTCCAGTGTGACCCTGGCCTGGCCACTCAGTTCTGTCACACCAAGATGCCTGTGATCAGTTGGCAGAGGGAACAGGTGCCGAGCTGTTTATTTATAACAGTTAAGGGCCTTGAAATGCTTTCTCCAGGCTCAGAAAAACCCCCACAAAATTTTTGTCTTCATTCATTGTATCCCTTCCCATCTTCCTACCTCTCTTTCATTGTCCTTCCCTTCCTCCTTCCTTCCTTCTCCCCCAGCCTATCTCCCTCCTTCCTTCTCTTCTTCTCTTCCTCATTTTCTTCCTTTGAATCCCTAATAATGCAGCCCAGTACTGGGTTCTTGCTACCTGGAGATGAATGAGGCCCAGCGTTTGCCCTTGAGGAGTTTTAATTGGATGTCTAAGTCTGTAGAGAATTATTAAAAGTCATTGACCTGCAGAAAAAAATAGAGCTTTTCTCTATCTGATTGGAAGCATCTCACAGTCTTATGAAACCCTAAGGCTGCTCTTGAATTCCTGCTCCTCCTTCCAACAGGCTTCTGGGGAAGACAGGGAAGCAGGGCATAATGACAGTGTCTTGGGGTTGTCCAGCCGGCTTCTGCATCCTGGCTGTGTAAGCCCAGAGAAGGGGCATTGGCCTCACCTGGGTGACCCCGGCTGAGTCCTCTGCAAGTCCTGGTGGCCCTCTCCCTGTGCACCCCTCCATGTCCCTGCTGTTCCCATGGTGAGTTGTGGCCTGTGGTCTGTGCTGCAGGGACAGACTGAGTGGGGGCTTGCTGCCAGCAGTGCCACTAAGCCTACTTTAGGCTGTTATTGTCCAACTGCAGGCCGCGTCCATGTGCTTCTCCAATTTCCTCAGGTCCAGTTCAAACCTTTTCCCTGAGCTCCACGGTGGGGTAATATTGAACTGCCTCCTGGATAATAGTGCACACTATTGGTGTTTGTTAAGTGTGTGTGTGCTATGTGCCAGGCGCTGTACTCTGCTGACGAAGGTCATTGTGTTTAATCTTTATCATTATCCTACAAGGCAGGACTGCAAGGGTGAGGCAGTAAAGCCAGGGTAACTCACCCAAAGTGACATGGCTCCTCGGCGGGTCCCTTGAAAGCCCAGACCCAGATGTGGAAAATTGCACTTGTTTTCTGGCTGTCCTTTCCTTATTGGATTCTCCTTCAGTGACTTCTTTCACTCTGTTCAGCCAGTGGCCCAGTTGAGTAACCCAAGTTGCTTTTTTGCATTCTTTCCCTTCATCCCAACAGCCCCTTGACACTACCAATAGCTTTGTTGCCAATGATATCCATAGTTACTATTTACTGATCTCCTCTTGGTAGCAGGTTGTGTCAGGATTTAATTTTTAATCCTTGGAGGAACTCTGTGAGGTAGATGCTGCTACCTTCCTTTAACAGATGAGAAACCTGAGACCTGGAGAGGGCTGGATGCTTGCCCTTTGCCTTCTAGTGGGCATGCACCCAATCTGTCTGATTCCCAAATGCCCACCCCTCACCAACAGGCAGGGATGCCACCCTCCTTGCTAAGCCTTGCTAAATTCAGTTATTGTACTTCCTTGCACAGGCTCTTGATCCATTCCTATGGTGGGTGACATAATGGCCCTTCCGAAGATGTCCGTGTCCTAATTCCTGGAGCCTGTGAATACACTGGCTGCATGGCAAGGGTGGAGATTAAGGTTGCAGATGGAATGAAGGTTCCAGCTCACCTTAAAATAGAGATTATCTTGGGTTATCCGAGTGGACCCAGTGTAATCACAAGGTTTCTTTAAATGTGAAGGAGAGAGGCAGGAGAAGATCTACCCTGCTGGCTTTGAAGTTGGAAGGGTGCCACAAGCCACAAGTGAAGGAATGTGGGCAGCCTCTAGAAGCTGAAAAAGGCAAGAAAGTGGATTCTTTCTTAAAACACCCAGAAGGGAACACTGCTCTGCAGGCACCTTGATTTCAGCCTTGTGAGACCCATTTTGGACATCTGACCCCCAGAACTGTAAGATAATAAATCTGTGTTGTTTGAAGCCATCGAGTGTGTGGTAATTTGCTACAGCAGCAAGCGGGAACTTATATAACCCCCTGCAGCCCTCAGCTCAGGACCTCATTACCTTTCTCTTGAGCTGTGGCCTCTGCCTTTCCTCCAATCTTCCATCTAAAGGGTCCAAACTATCTTTTCAAAGCAAATATTGTTCCCCACCCCCAACCTTGGCCCAGAAATCATTACTGGCTTCTGCTTTCAAATCTGAGAGGCGGCCAGCCTCTGCACCCTACACTCTTCCTTCCTTCCCATTAGCCTGGAGAAAGGTCCCTGGCCCTCTCCAAGGCCAGCTCCCAAAGGTGCTCTGTGACCTTCAGGACTTCCCTCTGTCTGTGTGGCCTCTTCTCAATCACCAGTTTCTTGCTCTCTGGTGACGGTTCCTTTTGGTACACAGCTATGTGCTGGCAGCTCCCATTTTTATCACCCATCTCACACTTGAGCTTTTACATTTGCTGTTCCCTCTGCCTGGAATGCTCTTTCCCTGGGTATCCGTGTAGCTCATCTCCACATGTTGTTCAAGTCTCTGCTCCAATGCAGTTTCCTTAGAGAATTCCCTCCTGATCACCCCGTCCAAACTCTCTGCTCCCACGTCTCTCCTGTTCTCTTTTCTTCCTAGCCCTGGCCACTGCCTGAGACCGCAGCTTCCCTCTGTCCGTCTGGCTGCCTCCTCCTCTTTGCTCACTTTGCTCATTACTTTAACTCCAGAGCCTGGAATAGAACCTGGCAACCACGTAGGTGCTCAGAGAACATCTGCTGGAAGAATGAATCACGTTTTATTGCTTTAAATACAGTATGGATGCTGATAGATGCCTATATCCTCAGTTCCTTTATCTCCCCGAGTTGTAGATTTATACATCCAAATGCTTATGTGACAGACACTCTATTTGGATGTGTAACAAGCATCGCAAGGTTAATGAGCCTTGGGTTGGATCCGTGTTTTCTGCCTACAACCTGATCCTCCCCCAGTCGTTAAGCTGAACACCAGTGGTTATCCTTGATCCCCGTCCTCCCCCTCTTCACACCAGTCTCCTGGCCAGGTCCACACCTCACTACTGCCCACTTTCTCATCCCCAGTCACTTCCACTCTTGCTCCC
This sequence comes from Homo sapiens, assembly GCF_000001405.40. NCBI lineage: Eukaryota > Metazoa > Chordata > Mammalia > Primates > Hominidae > Homo > Homo sapiens. The sequence goes on along the minus strand of NC_000008.11, from coordinate 21,625,573 downwards.
CCACAACTCAATCTGCACATGGCAGTCCAAGGATCTTTGAAAAAAAATTTTTTTTAATTGTACATTAGTTTTAGGTTTACAGAAAAGTTTCTAAGGTAGTGTGGAGAGTTCCCAGGCACCCGTCACCCAGGTTCCCCTATTGTAAACATCTTACAGTACTAAGGTACGCTCATCACACTAAGGGACCAACATTGGTGCATTGCTATTAATTACACTCCACACTTTATTCAGATTTCACTAGTTTTCTTTCTGTGCTGGAATCCCACATTACATTCAGTCATCATGTCTCCTTGTAACAGCTTCTCGGATTTTCCTCGTTACTGATGACCTTGACTGTTTTGAGGAGTACAGGTAAGGCAGTTTGTTCAATGCCCCTCAATTTGGGTTCATCTGATGGTTTTCTCATGTTTAGGCTGGAGTTATGGGTTTTGGAGAGGAGAAGTGCTATTCTATTCACATCACATGAAGGCTACCTAGCATCAGCGATGTGTTTCACTGTGGACCTTGGCCTTGATCACCTGGCTGAGGTCATGTTTGCCAGGTTTCTCCTCTGCAGCTACCTTTCCTGCTCCTTTCCCATGCTCTACTCTTCGGAAGCAGGTCACCAAGAGCAGATCACATTCAAGGGGCAGGAAGAGAAGAAAATTAAACTCCATGACTTGGAGTGGAGAACGTCTACTAAATATTTGGAGTTTTATAGGGGAGATCTGTTTCTCCTCTCTCACTTATTCATCCATTCATTTATTTATTAATTCATCATGTATTTATATCAGTGGACTCATGGGTATTTGCATCATACTTTGGGTCCCAATTCAATACTATTTTATTTACTTACTGTGCAAAGTGTTCCAGCTTTGGCCTTGGGGACCTGCTTCGGTTTGGCTCCCGTGTCACTTTGCCGTGCTCCCTCTGTTTAGCACATCCCTGCTTTCTGGCACTGGAAGGTGCCGTGGGCTCATCTGGTGTGTTCCCTGCCCAAGCCCTAGAATCAGCCATTATTCCAAGGAGCACTGGAGCCATTTTCTTAGAGAAAGGAAAATCTGGAAGCTGGGTGTGTCCATGGGCACTGGGCCAGTGTGCTGTTGAAAATGCTAAATGAAACACTTATTTTTGCCCTTAGAATAAAAGGCGCACTCCTTACCATAGTCATCTGGTTCTGAGTGACTTTTCCAGTTTTGTTTTGAATCATTGTGCAGCCACAATGGACTCACTCCTGTTCTTAAGCCAGAACCTTTGGACTTCCTTTGTGTTCCTCGGTTTTTGCCTGGCTGACTCCTTTCCAGGCTCCAGGTCTCAGCTCAAAGCCCCTGGACTCTAACTTCATGAGTGCCACAAGGGTAAAGGCCTTGTCTGCCTCATTCGCTATTGTCTTCTAGTCCCTGGAAAAGCCTCTGGCACCTGACCAAGCTAAGCAACCATTTATGGAATGAGCAACTATTTCCAAGCACTGGTGCCGCCATCTGCAGGCTGGCTCTCTGATGGGAAGCCTGTCTCTCCCTGGAAAGCTTTATTTCTTCTCTTAAGGCCTCGCTCAAAGGTGAGTGGAGCCCTGTCTGATTCCCCATGATCCAGAAAACTGTGGCTTCTGCTTTTGCTCCTGTTGATCTTTCTGCATGTCTCCGTGACAGCATCCAGCCCGGTAGATGCTAACAATAGTGAGCCTGCAAACATACCTCTCTTCCTCACGGGGCAAACTCCCCTAGGGTGCAAACCTTGACTTGCCCATCCAGCGCTGCTGTTCAAGGAACTCAGTAAATGTTTGTCAAGCGAATATTGGGACTCCTCATTTGGATTATTTCAGCCATCTTCAGTCTAACCCTTGCTAGGAAAGGGTGAGCTGGCCACTAAGGGAGCTGTCTCCAGCCCTCAGAAAGGGCATGGAAGACCGTGACAAATGTTGCCTCCCATTTGCTTTTTCCTTCTTTCCTTCTTTTGGTAGAAAGAATCAGAGGGTGGAAACTTCACTTCTAGCAAAGCTGTCTGATATTTCCCCAGGTATAAAGGAGGTCCCTTCATCCCTAGTCTTATCTTAAAATCTCCTTGATGTCTGTGTCTTTAAAAAAAATTTCCACCTCTGAAGATCAATAATATTGCAGAAGTTAGAGATCAAAGTTTTTCAAGTGGTGGGTGAGCTGAGGTGGGAGGTGGGGGTGGAGGCTGGAAAGAGGGTTTCTATTAAACTCATCCCTGGATGATGCTTCCAGATGCACGGAAGCTCATTCTGTCACCTGCTTGTAGTGCCCTCTTTTTCTTTCTCTCCCCTCTCCCCAACACTTTTCCTCCATCCCTCCCCCTCTTGCCCATAAATAAAGCCACAGCCTCAACAACATCTTGTAAAGCACATTAGAAAATGCCTCTAATAAATCCCTAACAGCCTTGGCCATAACCAGCTGAAAGAAAGGTGATCATGACACGGAAGTGTCAGGTTAGAACAACAAATTGGGCCATGTGAGCAGGGATTTATTCGTCTTTGTAAATGTGCTATAAAGGTCCATATAATTTCACAAATAAATACGAATATTGCTTAGTAAATGGCTCCTGAATTTAGAGCTCCAGGACCACTGGAAGTAGCACATTAGCACCAACGGTGCAATTTCAGATGTGGGGCAAATCAGCCCGGGGCACCAACCAGGTGGCACTGGGCCCTACCTGTGTCCCTTCTCAAATGTGTGCGGTGCCTCAGGCTAGGGCAGCAGGAGGGGACCCAGGGCTGGTGGGCTCTGGGGTTCTCATAACAGTCCCCGGGGCTTAGGATGATCAGGAAAGATCAAAGAGGAAGGCAGGCTCTGAGCTCTTCATCATCTCTAAAGATGGTGATTGTCAGGCTCAGGAGAGCTGGCAACCCAGGAATTGGTCCTCCCAGTTTGTCTGGGGCTAGGGGCTTCCTGGGATGCTGGGCTTCTGGTTTTAGAAGCGGGATGGCTGGTCACCTTTCTTGTTGGAGAGCAGTGGTACTGATCGGTGACCCCAGAAACTAGGCATGGGGAAGAAGAAGGGAAAAGAAGGTGGGGGGCGGAGGGGAAGGGCTTCAGAGAAAGTAGAATTGGATTAATATTGGTGTTTTTTCAACTCTGGCTGTCCTTGAAGCATTTTTAAAAACTATTAGTTTGTGGCCCCATTTCAGACCAGTAAACTGGAATCTCCGAGGGTGGGGTCCAGGATTGGTATTACTTAGGGGCTCTGCAGGTGATTCTGATGTGCACTGGGGCATGGTTCAGAGCCCTGGAGGCCCCTGCCCCTCCCCACCCCAATGCTGCTCCTTGAGTGCACCTTCGCAGTGCGTCATAGAGCTGTCCGGTCCATTGATTTCCTTTTGTCATGTTGCCTTTGTCCCTCCTACTCCCCTTTTTAAATACCAGGTCACATAGGCTCAGACAAACCATATTGGCTAAATCAGTCATGAAACCGCCAGGAACACTGGCTGACCCTCTCCCCATCTGGTGCTTTTCTGTTATAGACACAGCCTAAATAAGAAATGATGACCTAAATTTTCAAACCAAAGATGTTGCAAATAGGAAGGTCCATCCTCAGAAGCATTCTTTTTTTTATAATTAAGATACAGATGCAATGGGCCTTGGCAGAATGTGTGTATCATTGCCCCTTCTCCGTGCCTGCTGGTGGGACAGAGTGACCTGGAGCTTATGTATCATTTTGCTCTGTTGGCCAGCGGGGATTGGCTGGCAGGACCCACAGACCCTACATTTAAACCCCATATGTCTTCCTGCATACTTGCAATCTTGTTTTTCTGCATGGGACAGAAATCTGGATGGTGACTGCTATACTGGGTGGTGGGGGAGGCTCCCTATCATGACCTGTCAGAGGGGGTGGATGGGGGTGGGGGCCTCCCATTATGCTTAGAGAAAGAGAGAAGATCAAGGCTCCCAGAAGAGGAAGTTTGTTTTCCATAGAAACCTAACTTGGGTGTGCAAGCTCCTCCTGCTTCTGACATGAAACTGACTCTTGTCCATTCTTCTAGGCTGCATTTCTCTGAACTCCACCACCTGTTGTCTGCAGCCCAAATTCTGCCCCCAACCCTTGTAACGATAATGCCTCAATTACCCAGTGCTCTGCCCTCCCATAAAGTGATAGGTATCCAGGATCTCATTTGATGCTGGCTTGCATTGTTCTCTCATTATTTTACGAATGTGGAAAAGACATAGAGATTTAGATTCATAGCTTGGGTCCCAGTCCCATTTCACTTGATGGCTCTCTGACCTAGAACAAATCACTTACTTCCTTTGATCATTAGTTTTCTTCTCTGTGTAATGGGAATAATGGGACTGTAGACCCATGAAGTGCACAATGTTACATACAGTGTTGGGCACATATTTGGTGTTCATTGCATTTGGTACCTCTTTCCCTAGCTCCCTCCTTTTCCTCTATATGGCTGTTGAGATAATCAAATGAGGTAATTTATGTAAGGATCATGTGGAAAGTGCTATACTTATACTCAAGCCTATTCTAGTTATTACTCTTATACCTATTAGACCTCTATCCTCCCTGGCTATATCTAGAGACCAGACTATTTACTCTTCCATACTAGACCGTGAAGCACCTATACTGCTTTGCTATCTCTCAGTCTTCATGATGGGAGCATCACACATCAACTCTTCTCTTTCCTTTCTGAACTTCTATAGCCTTCCTTGCCTTTTTCTGGGGCCCAGTTCAAATTCAGCCTTTCAAGGTTCACATCTATTCTTTCCAGGAAGGAAGCCTGGGATCTCAGGATCTTGGAGCTGGTGAGGAAAGGAGACTTCAAGGTCTCTGCAGTGACTTATCACAGCTACCCCATCTCTGAGGACTTCACACTGATCTCCAACTGTTTGACTTCGCTCAGGCCATCTGCCTTGACTCTGCCATCCAAGCTGTAGGGTCCTCCTTTCTTATCTCTCCAAAGCCCACTCATCCCCCAGGATCCAAGCCTAGCCCTGCTTCCCCCAGCAGGGAAGAAGTAACTCTGACCTCTTTCATACTTACCACCTGTGATGTTCTCGTATCAGTCCATGGCCTGGATATCCTCTCTTGGTCCCCCTATGCTCACCCTTACCCTACTGTGTGCTCTGGGAGGCCAACCCCTATAGACTCCCTTGTCTTTGGCCTCAGGTTGGGTTTAGCCAATGGAATGACCCAAATGGAGATCAGAGGGTGGGAGGAGAGTGGATGGAGCATACTCATTCCCTGAGTGGTTGCCTCAGTTGCTACAACTCTTGTTAAGTGGACCTCTCCATGCCACCATCCTCTCTGTTTCTTCAGTTTCTCCTTCCTCTGGCCTCTCCAGGCCCAGGAGAGTTGTACATGTCATCCTTTGTGTATTTCTCTAAACCTTTCCCACATATTTCAAAATAGCATTCTCATGAAACTCTCCTCAGTTATCCAGCTTGAGTGTACCATCTGTTTCCTGCTGAGACCCCCGCCGATATGGCTTCTGACAATGAGGTATCCGATTGAACACTTCAGCATATATTGTTTTTTGTCATCCTCCAGCTGTCTATTCCATGCACATCAGGGTTAGGGTCTTAAGGGAATAGAGGACCACTATCTAGCTCTCTTTGGTGCCCACAAGCTTGGCATAGAACTTGCCACATGCTTGGCATGAAACAAACACACATAGAATTGTCCAGAGGGAGGACTGCCACATATGTGGGCTCCTAAGTCTCTTTTAGCCCTCCCTGCCATAGTGTGCAGTTCTAATGACTGACTTGGAGAGAAGTTCTGAGCAGGCTGGGTGGCCCGGAAGCCTGGACTTGGAAACCAAGCTCATACTTTGGGCTGAGAGAGGCACTGGGGCAGGACCCCTGTGGCTTGGAACGTGGATCCAGGTAAGCCAAGCCTCCTATCTGGAGAGCACAAGGTCAGCACTGGGTGGCAAAGGATGGCGTGGGCTGCCCAGGTGGTAGAGTTGTGTCTCCTTGAGAGCAGGTGGGCAGAACCTGGTGATGGAGAATCTGCTGTCTGGCAAAGTGTAGAGGCGTGATCACGAAATCCCAAGTTATCTGAACGAGGAGGGTCCTTAGGGTTGTCTAGTCCTGCACTGTCCAATATGGCAGCCACTTGGCACTACATTGTGGCTACTGAGCATTTGAGGTGGGACTGGTCTGAACTGGCATGTGATGCCAGTGTAAAATACATACCAGATTTCTTTTTTCTTTCTTTTTATTTTGGGACGGAGTCTCGCTCTGTCACCCAGGCTGGAGTGCAGTGGCGTAATCTCAGCTCGCTGCAAGCTCCACCCCCCAGGTTCACGCCATTCTCCTGCCTCAGCCTCCCGAGTAGCTGGGACTACAGGCACCCACCATCATGCCCGGCTAATTTTCTGTATTTTTCTAGTAGAGACGGAGTTTCATCGTGTTAGCCAGGATGGTCTCAGTCTCCTGACCTCGTGATCCACCCGCCTCAGCCTCCCAAAGTGCTGGGATTACAGGCGTGAGCCACCGCGCCTGGCCTAATACATATCAGATTTCAAACTCAGTATGAGAAAATTTAAAATTATCTCATTAATTTTTATATTGATGATGTGTCGAGATGATAACATGTTGTATATTTCAGTGGTCCCCAACCTTTTTGGCTCCAGGGACTGGTTTCGTGGAAGACAGTTTTTCCACAGATGGGGTGAGGGATGGTTTCAGGATGATTCAAGTGCATTATATTTATTGAGTACTTTGTTTCTATTCTTATTACATTATATGATGAAATAATTATACAACTTACCATAATGTAGACTCAGTGGGAGCCCTGAGCTTGTTTTCCTGCAACTAGACAGTACCATCTGTGGGTGATGGGAGACAGTGACATCAGGCATTAGATTCTCATAAGGAGTATGCAACCTGGATCCCTCACACGCGCAGTTCACAATAGAGTTCACGCTCCTATGAGAGTCTAATGCTGCTGATGATCTAACAGGGGGCGAGCTCAAGTGGTAATGCAGGTGATGGGGCGCGGGTGTAAATACAGATGAAGCTTCACTCACTCACCTGCTGCCCACCTCCTGCTGTGCAGCCTGGTTCCTAATAGGCCCTGGACAGGTACCAGTCTGTGGCCTGGGGGTTGGGGACTCCTGGTATATATGATGTTCATGATATACATTATTAAGATTAATTCCACACCTTCCCCCCCGCTTTTTAATGTGGCTACTAGAAAGTTTAAAATTTTATCCATGGCTCACATGACATTTCCACTGGGCAGCACTGATCTAGTCCAGTGCTCTCATTTACAGATGAGGAACCTAAGGATCAGAGGAGGGAAGCGTTTCCCAAGGCCTCATACCCAGTGGGGATTAAGTAGAGAAAGCTGGGAGGTCTACATGTTGTTTCACTGCATCAGTTATTTTTGTATAAACTATGGTGGGTGGAGAGAGAGGGGGCATGATCCCAGTGGTCTGTCTCAAAAGTTGACACCAGTTGTCCAGTCTTGGCATAGATTTGGGATGTTGACATAAATCTAGAATGCAGGCCTAGGACCTTTCTCCATGCAACTGGCCATGCTACTGTCCATGAAGCTCTTCCCTCCATGGTGGGTTCTTGGTCTTTTTGGTGGGGGTGGGTCTTCTCCATATGTGGCCTTGGTGCAGACAGCCTGGACAGGTCATGGCAGAAGAGCTGAAAAGCAGTTTAGAGAGAGCATCCTTCTCACCACTCAATATCACATCAGTGTTGAAGAAGTCTTGCCACACTTCTGGAGAGTTTCCTAAACCTGCAGGACTCAGCAACATTCAAATGGATTCTGCAAATATTTCTTGAGCAGATCCTCTGTACCTAGGCTGAGAAAAGGAGAAGACACAGCTCTTGGGCTCTGTGACTTTATCACCTGGGACAAGAGAATCCATTATACATGAAACAACTCAAGAGCAATGGCAGACAACAAGGCAAGTCCCAAGAGGGCATCCAAGCCTGCAATTGTGATATGGTGGGAAGCACGGTCATGACGATGGCCTGGTTTGGTGAAAGTATATCCAGCATAGAATCCTTATATAGTCTTGAGTCCTGCTATGAACAAATTCAGTGATTTGGGCAGATTGCATTCTCTCTGACCTCAGTGTTCTCATTTGTTCACTGGAATAATGCCTTCCCTCTGGTTCCTGTTCCCCAGTGAGGCTGGGCACGGTGAAAGTGCCACACCCAGCCCAGGAAGAGGTGCCACTTTGGGCTGAGGTTTCAGGACCTCTATAGGTAGAGGGCAGGTGGGAACTTCTGAATGTAACCCATGAGGGAAGCCAGTCAAATAATTTATCTTCCAAAAGAAGATGCTGCTGCAGGTGAAAGGGAATGCTATTAATATTAAAACTGGGACAAGGGATGGAGAGAATGATTGTTCTATGTATATGGGACATATGGCCACCCTACTGGGCAGAGGCCAAAAGACATAGCAAAGACATTGTCCAGTTTGGGCTTTGAGGCTAGTACAGGGAAAAGCTTTGTGACAGAGGTTGGAGGCAGGGGTAGATGGTGAGGGTCAGGGTAGGGGTGAATGCAGGGAAGAATTTTGTGATAGCACTGGATCAGACAAAAGAAGCAAGGCCATAGAGTGCTAGACCTGGTGCCCAGCATGGCACAGCCCTGCAGTGCTGGACACTTGCCTCCCAGGGCTATTGCAAATCTAAACTGAGAACACAATAGGAGGTGTGAAGTTTGGGGATCCAGTGAGGCACTTTTATTCTCATTCCTGGCACAGTGAGCATATTTTATGGGTGTCCCCTGGCTGCTGATGGAAGAAAGCCTGCTGCGCGGATACCCCAGAGGGAGCCCAAGAATGCTCCTCGAGTGAGGCCACAGCCACTGCTGCAGGATGTAGCGGTTTAAATGTTTGAGACCTTGGGTGCTTCCCCAGGGCCTCCAGCCCTGTCCCCATCCCAAACAATGGGATCTGTTGAGCCAGATGGCTCCCAGGCAACAGGAAGCCCTGGGTCCAAGCCCCAAACATAGAGCCTTGGAGGAGATGCCCCAGTGACCTCTAGCTGGAGAGCACAAAGGGGCCGATTTTTCCTGGCTATGGGGCTGGAGCGGGAAAAAGCAGCGCTGTGGCTTTGACTCTAGAGAAACGTGACTGGCCTAGTGTTCCAGCCTTTGCCCTGCAGCTCTCTGTTCCATCTGCTGACTTCATGGGATTGTCCTTCGAGTCCAGCTGGACCATGGTGCAAGGCAGGGGAGACAGGGCCTTTTCTTCCCCTCCCTGTGGCCCCTGGGGGTCAGGCCTGGTGCTGGGCATGGAATCCTTTTGGCTGCCCCCTGCACAAACCCATTGTCCCCACCACCTTCCTGTGCCCATCTTGCCCATGGCTTTCTCGCTGGGGCCTGCAGGGATTTGTGGAAACAACATACCTGAGCCTCCAGCCAGGTGAAGTGGTAAAACCCTCTCCTCTTCACAGGCCCCAGAGATTGGGTCTCTTTGCTTATTAACTCTGCGGCCTCCCCCGGCCCTGTGTCTTGGGATTCAACTGCACACATTTGGTTAACAGCAAGGCCGTCCCTGATGCCAGAGATCGCCATAGGCACTGAGGGGCCAGTCCTCACCCTCACTGTTTGATGGCATTTCCTCCTAGGAAGATGCCCAAGCAGAACACTTTGGCCTTTCGTGGTTGCCTTTAAATGGACCCAGTGGGATTTCTCTTTTAGAGCTCTCTGTTAGGAATCTCCCTAAGCTTGGTGCAGTTCCCCAGCTAGAAGAGGTCTTTGGCAGATCCCCTGGACTCTCTTCCTGCACCATGCTGAAATGTAGGCAGGGCTAGGCCTGTCTTCCTTACAGTTTCCTCTCTACTCATGAGTTGGTCCCATGGAGAAATCGACATCTTTCTTCCATTGATTGGTATCTACAGATAGAGCCCAACCAGGCTTCCTTCCCTCAGGGAAGCAGACCCATGTTTTAAGGGTACCTGGGATTGGTTTTAGTCAGAGATGGTATGAGACCCAGACACAGAAATGACTGTCACGAAGGAAGGAGAAGGGAGGCCCAGCGTGCAGGGCCACAGAAGGGAAGCACCAGGGGTGGTCGCAAGGCAGAAGAAGGGAGGGAAAAACGTGGCCAGGAGCCTTTACAGTGGTTTCCCTGGGACAGCTCAGGCCCAGAGCTGGCTAGTTTGAATAGTTACAGCAGCTCTGTGGCACAGGGACTGTCCCTAGTTGTCTGGTCCCTGGCCCTGGGGTGAGTCGGCCAGGTAGAGAGAGGTCCAGAGTGAAGTGTAAGAAGATGATAGGGGTAAGTGGTAAAGGAGTGGACTCTGGATTGGTTGGTTCGCTCTCTCCAGGAATTTGCTAGCTCTGGGAGAGGCAGCCCTCCAGTATCAGCAAGGCCCCGAGATGTCAAAGCATCGAATGCGGAAACTAGAAAATGTGGTTAGTGCACCCTGTCTCTTCAAAAGTCCTATAGAGAGCCAGGCACGGTAGCTCACACTTGTAATCCCTGCACTTTGGGAGGCTGAGGTGGGCGGATCACCTGAGGTCAGGAGTTTGAGACCATCTTGGCCAATGTGGTGAAACCTCATCTCCATTAAAAAACAAACAAACAAACAAACAAACAAACAAAAAAACTAGCCAGGCTTGGTGGCGGGCACCTGTAATCTCAGCTACTCAGGAGCCTGAGGCGGGAGAATCGTTTGAATCCAGGAGGCAGATGTTGCAGTGAGCCGAGATCGTGTCACTTCATTCCAGCCTGGGAAACAGTGCGAGACTCCGTCTCAAAAAAAAAAAAAAAAAAGAAAAAAAAAAAAGTCCTGTAGAGTTCCTGGCAATTCTGCTACAGTTACTTTCAACAAAACTTTATGCTTTTTGGAATCTGATTCAAGCATCAGGGTCTCTTCTGGGAAGTCTTCTGTCATCCTGCCCCTGGGAACCCCCCAGTGGAATTGCTCTCTTCTCCTGTAGAATCCATCTGTCTCTCTGGGGGACCCCTGCTGTCCTGTGCCGTAGCTTGGGGTTAGTTGTGTTTATGTTTGCTTTTCCCCATGAGCCGTGAGAGCCTTGAGGGTTCACCTGATCCCGTATCCCTTGCAGTGTCTGCCGCAGACAGGCCTGGCTCCACAGGCCTTGGCAGATCATTGAGTGAACATGGACCACAGGCCATTTGAGTATCTCCACACTCAAGGGGGCCGTAATATCTGCTGCCTTGGTGTCATTCTTCAGAAAGTGGCAGGAGACATGCGGTGTGGGCACCCGGCAAGCCATTTGTGTTCTTGTTACTGGTACCACAGGTAAGCATTTTTGTGGATGTCCCCTGGCTGCGGGTGTGCTGTGCCTGGAGGAATTCCTATAGTACATGACATTATGGAAGTCCTTCAAGCCTGGACTTCTATACAAAATATAGACCTTTTATTCAAAATATAAGACCTGCATTTTCTGGAGGAGAGAAGATCCAGGACATTAATCAGACTTTGGAATTGCTCCAAAGTGGGAACAGGTTAAGAGCTTTGGAACAGATGGTCCCTGCCAAGACTGTGGTCCAAGATGCTGGTGGCCACTTCCCGTCTCCAGGTCATGCCCTGCAAATGCCCTCTTTCCTCAGAGGGTCTCTGTCTCTGTCCCCTCCCTTCTCCCATAGGTGGGGCCTCTTAGCCCCCTAGCAAGTCAATGTCTCAATGTCTCTCAGGAGGGAGTGATTTAAGTCATTCCAGATTATCACCCTACAAGCTAATCTGACTCTGACCTTGTTCTCTGGTGACTGGGCTCCCATATTGTTCCTTGTGCCGAAGACCCCGTCCAGACGGCTTCTCCAGTGCCCTGAGGGTTGTAGAAGAGTGGCCTTCCTAGTCCCTCACCCTTGCTCCCTACTACCTCACCCAGGCTGCCCTGGTCTGGAGCAACTGCGAGCAGCTGAGACTCCGCAGGTGCTAATGGTTACAACAATGACAACCGCAGCAGCTACCACTACTATGGCTATTACTGTGCTCAGCAGTAATAACATACTATTAAGAATGACAATGGTAGCAGCTGACCTTGACTGGCAGCTCACTCTGGGCTAGGTCACTTTCTTATTTAATTCTCGCCACAGCCCTGTGACTTAGGGACTTTTATCTTCCCACCTTCATTTTACAGAAGGAACCTGGGGCACAGAGAAGCTAAGCTACTTACCCAAGGCCACACAGCTAGTAAGTGTGGAGCCAGAATTTAGACCCAGGCTTGTGCTCCTCCCAAGCTCACACCTGTAGCCCCCATGCAGCATTGCTGAGTGTTTGACTGCCCCCTTGTTCTATGGGCATTGATGTTCCAGGAACCAGCGTTCCTCTGCCCTCCCCCGTGACTCCCACTGTACCCTGTCCTTCCCTCCTCAACATGTCTGTCACACAGGACTGCTGAGGCCTGTTACTAGACAGTGAGCTTCTTATGGGCAGGGACTGGGCCATTCTTGCTCCCCATTTAGCCTCAGAGCATGACACAGAGCTGATGTGCAACATTCATGGAATGAATGGACCGCCCACCACCTGGTTCTTGTCCGGTTCTGTCATGAGATACAACCTTGGACTTGGCTCATGCCAGATAGCCAGTGTGCAAGTGACAGGCTGCCCCACTGTGCCTGTTTCATGCACCCCCACTCTTCACCCGTGTGAGCCTGGAAGGGACGGGAGGCAACAATGACAGTGTTAGGGCTTGTCAAGGCAGCCCTCCTCCCTGCTTTTGGCACTAGACTTCGACGAGAAGTGACATCTCCTCTTGTGTCTTGACCTCTCCTTTCCCCCTTCCCTGGGGACTTGACCCAGAAGCTGATAGGGAAGGACAGGCCTAGTTTGACTGGAATGAGCATGCCGGCAAAAAGGCAAGAGCAGCCCTCCCCACCAGGACTCAGTCAGCCTGGCCAAGACAGCTGAGGCTAGCAGCCTTGGGGTGACTGAAGGGGGCCTGCAGGGGCCACATAATTCGGGCCTGGATGCCAAGGGCTTGGTGTTTCTCCCATTTCCCTACTCAAATGAACCTTTGTCCTGATGGTCATATCCTTCCCCTGAGCAGAGGGGCTAGGGGCTCTGGGGTCTCTGCCTGACTGCATCCTGGCTTCTAGGCATAGGATGGAGGCTGTGAAGTGCTTGTCCCAAGTGTCAACTTTTGGAGCCATGCAAGCAACCACTGGCGGCCTCGTCCCAGCAGATTCCCAGGTCCAAGAAAGATGAGCCACCTGAAGCCAAATTCAAACAGGGTATGTGAGAAGAGGAGCCAGGAAGCACAGCCAGGCAGAGAAGTGGCTGGGGGAGCCGGTGCCAGAGGACGTTAGACATATATGCAGAAAGGAAGCCTGGAGGGATTCCTGAGCAGAAGCGGAAGCGACTATGATGGTTTTAAAACCATGCTGCAAATCTGGATATGCCAGAAGCTGTTTAAGGCGTGAAATCAGAGCAGACACCCATGGCAGAACCAGAATGGGTATTCCCAGCAGCCTTTCTTAGGGTCCGACTTCCGTCCTCCAGAAATCCCCTCTGCTTCTCTTGGTTCACACATCAATCCAACAACCCACCAAGCATTTGTTGATGGCTTTCTATGCATGCAGCATCAGTCCAGACATATGCTTACACTCTTGCTGGAGAGATGAGTTGGATGGTTGGATGTGTACACCCGCAAACATCCAACCAGTGGTCTCTTGTAAGGCATAGACTTGCGTGGGAGAGGGGGTTGGCACCTCTAAGGCACCGATTGGCAGCAGATGGATGCAGTTCTGGAAGTGAGCAGCAGCAGGGGCTGCAGTGATCAGGGAGGGTCATGCACTGGGGGGCTTGAAGGATGTGGTTCCATGAACAGGAGAGGAGAGAGGCCTCCAGATTGGATGGATTCCTGCTACACGCCCTGGTGCCACCAAGACCACAGTTCCGACTCCACTCAGGATCTAAGCATGACCCTGCAGTTGCTACAGCCCCTGACACGGTGCTGCTATGTCCTGTGGCTCACCCTGATGGAGGCTTCAGATTTAGGAGAGAGAATAGCACACAAGGAGACAGGGTACACAGTGTTTCTCTCCTTCCCTCCCTGCTCCTTTCCTCCCTCCCTTCTTTTCTCACATAACAGGTACATTTTATAACAGGAAACAAAAGACACATCACCCTGCCCTCACGGAGCTTACATGGATCCTTGTCACCAGTTCCGACCTTCAGTTTCTCCTCTGTAAAATGAGACTACTTCTAGCTCTGAAGCTTTTGAATTCAGTGGAACTTAGAGTGGTAAGCTGGGCTGGTTGCAGTTGTGGAAGGAAAGCTGAAGACCTGTCCTGTCCTGAGGGGATGGGCACACACACACACACACACACACACACACACACACACACACCATTGCACCACTAACATGGAAACAGAAAACATCAGAGCAGCCTCAGCTCCCTGTGGGGTGACTCATGTGTCCCCAGGCACTGGCTGGGTTCTTTGCACCAGGGTCTCCTGGGATGCTCATGCCACCCACATCTCTGCATCCTGGTGCTCTGTTTCCTGCCTTACTTTGCCCATGGGCATAACAAGAAGGCCTGCGATGCCTGTGTGTTTAGGTGAGCTACTCCAGTGATGATTTCCCTTTGCAGGAGACTAAACACGGAAACAATTATTGTTTAATTTCAAGTGAAAGGGGCACTGAAGGAGACATGGTGTGACCTTTTCTGTGCATGTATCTATAGATAGAGATATATAGACATTGAAATTTATTTCCCCAGGAAGACAAGTGCTACAGCGCAGCCAGCTGGGTTTGTGTGTGGAGCTGTGTTTGTGTACAGTGTTATGTGTAATTTATTTCCCCAGGGAAGAGCAGCTAAGATGGCGCATCTGATTCCTAGCAGAGGCTGCTTTTCCTTTTATTTCTTAAAAATAAACCAATCCGCCCCCCACATCTGAACGAATTGTCTCCTCCAGCCAGCTGCCTTATTTGACTGGATTATTTGAGCTTCCCGATGTCTCTGCAGAGACGTGGGCTTTGGTGTCTGCAACCCCCTGGGATCCAGTTGTTACCCACCATGTCTCTGTCGTAGCCCTGGTTCTGGATGGGAAAGAGGGCACTGCAGAATGGCTGGGGCGGAGGACACACATGGTGGGCCGGCTCTGCCTCTGTCACTTGTCCTCTGGGAGGCTTCAAGGGAGAGTTCTGAGTCTTTGCTTACTCTTTGCCTAAAACTGGCTTTTTCCTGCTGTCACCAAAGGGATGTCCTCAAGTCTCTGCCACCCCCACTTGCTAGTCCCCGACCCTCTCAGCCCCCACCTTCCTCAGTAAGAGCCACCCTGTGAGGCAGCTCTCTAGACCCTGGAGTAAATGAATGAGAGCTCTGGCTTCCCATTCCCTGCCCTCTTTTGTGACTCATGGCTGGGGGTTTAGAAATATTTAGAAGGCATTATTTAATTAGTTAGCAAATGCAATGCTTACTTTAATTTTGTAAATTCGGTGGGCATAAGTGCCCACCCACCTGTTCTGGTTGCCATAACAACTTTAAATTTCATCTGTGGTCTCGGCTGATGCTTCTCCTTTGACTGTGTGTATGTGCAGGTTTTGTTTGCTTGTGGGTGACTGTGTGTAGTTTCTCTCCTGGCTTTCTCTCCCCTCAAGCCCTTAGTCTGTCGCCTCCTCTTTGGTTTCTTCCTTCTTGGTGCCTCGCTGCTTCTTGATTCATTTCCTCAAGGGTTTCCCTCTATCCCCTCCCTCTGTGTTTGGATTTAGGGTGGGATCTTCTTGCATTGCTGGGATCCATGAGCCATGAGTTCTCAAAGGCTCCCTAAAGGTGTTTTAGGCATAGGTGAGTTGTAGCTGTCTACGTGGTGTGATTTTAGGGATACCAAGGAGAGCCCCAGATATCAAACTCAGGGTGCTTTAAATTTCCCTATTGGGAGTTTGTAACCTAACAAATATTTTCTTAGTTGACAAAAAGTTATGTTTATTTATGTGTACAGCATGGTATTTTGATATATATGTGTATTGTGAAATGATTACATCATGCTGAAGGCTGAGGAAACCCAGTGTGAATCCTCCCTCACCTCCCTATCATCAGCATCCCACTCATATCAACACCTCTGGGTACCTTGATTCCCCAGCACTTCAGGCGAGCTCTAGGGGGAGAGCTGCAGGTGTAGGGATGCTGTTGGTGTGTACTGGAACGGTAAGTGTGCAGGGGATATGGACAGGGAACTGACAGCGTCTATTCTGATCCTCCCCTTGCACTACTCAGACCCCCTCATGGCCCAGTTAACCTGACTGCAACCTGACTGTTTCTTTCAAATGTGACCGATCCTAATAAAATAAAAAAGACAACTAAGGGGCTAGTGAGACGAAGTTTTTGCTGCTGTGGTTGATTCTGAGGTTGTAAGTGATAATCATCATGTTGCTCTTTCACCACCAACTGGTTCTACATTCTCCTGGCACTCAGCCAGCATTTCTGCTACATTTTGCTTGCCTGGTGGGATGGACCAAGCCATTATCCCTGAGAGGCTGAGCCCCTGGCTACTGTGACTTTGTCAGGCCGTTGGTTGAGAGAGTTGCCCATTCATGCTTATCCCTGGGCGCAGAAGCACAAAGCAGCATCCCCAGCAGATCTCTTGAATTCCAGACCTGTTCCTTTCTGCCCCCATGATGTAGCAGAAATCCTAACTGCTCATGGAATCAGGTCAATTTCCCCTCCTGGTTTGATAATTTCTTTCTTTGCTTGCTGGTATGCTGGCATGAGGACCCCAAAATGACCAGGGAACAGCCCTCACTTTAGGATTAGAGGAACCCTTACTGTGTCTCCTGCTTCAGGTATTTCCCCCCGACCCTGGAATCAGGTTCATCAGATCCTAAATGTGCAGGGACAAGAGGCATGGATTCCTCCGGTGGGTCACTGGGAATGGTGCTAAGAAGGGCTACCTCTTCTGCCAGCCCTTGGTCTTCAGACCCATGTATTTAAGTCACTGGGGATACAACACCGCAAAGTAGTCATTAGTTCAAACAGTATGCTGCATCTTGACTAGTGTCCCAACCCCATGGATGTTATTACCAAGCTGGTGCTTAGCTGAACCTTCATGAGGCCAACCCAAAGCTCTATCAGATTGGTGGCTTCTGAGAGATGGATGTATTGGATGTATGACGGGACTACTGGGCCCTGTGGTTGTGTGCTGACTGCCACACCTCTCTCGCTGCAAGGTGCATCTTTTGGCCCACAGTGATATACTGCAAGATCCCATATAGTAAACCAGATACTCTATGAGCCCTTGGACACTAGTTCTATTCAAGACACTGCAGGTCCAAAAGGCAAAGCCTTTCCTAGAATATGTGTCAATGCAGTAAGAACAAAACACATTTTCCAGGGTGAGGAATTCTGACATCATCAACTTGCCATAAAGTGGCTGCAGGGTTTCCTTGAGGGATGGTGTCAAACTGAGGACTCAGCATTGGGAATGAGGGACCATATGAATCTCTGGAAATAACTGGACCATCCTCAGTAAGAAGAAGCCCATGCTGTCTGGCTCATGGCCTCCTTACCTGTTATCAAAGCTTCATTCACTGGGGCGCTTAAGGGCAGCAGTGGGCTGACATCCTCAGGATCCTGTCTGTTTGGTTGTTCAATGCCTGCTCTGTGGGAATGCTCTCTAGTGGACAATGAGAATGATCCACCCCATTTTTCCTCATTTTGCAATCTTGCCCTTTCCAGGCTCTTGACCATAGCCAGCTAAGCCATTCTCTACTGCTTGTGGGTATGTGACTGTCGTAACCTCAGGGCCCTTCTCCCGCCACATCAGGTTGGGGATCAGTTCAAGTGTTCAAGGCCCTCTCCAATGGGAAGATTTCCCTTCACTGCTGAATTTCAGGGCTACCCTTGCAGCAGGCTACTGGGAGATAGTGGTACATTTTTGGGTTCAACCGGAATATGGAGTTGACTTATCTGTGAAGTAGGCCCAAGGTTTTCCTTCTCCATCAGCTGGTGATAGAGAACTCCCTACAACCAGGAGCTGAAGGAAACACATTGGTGCAACATAAGTAGGTGACATGAGATCTGGGTCACCTGTTTGTGTCCTTTAGGCCTGCTAGGGACTGATCTTGAATATGCTGTTTTCATTAAATGGTGGAATTCTCCAGTGTCCACACAACTTATGACTTGGCAGGTCTAAACATACCCAGACCATGATGGACAGCTCTGGTCTCATTGTTCCTTGATATCCCATGGTCAGGTGATTAGTCCCTACTACAGCCCAATAGCATGCCTAAACCTGCCTTTTGAATGGTGAGGTGTTTTTTTTTTTTTTTTTTTTTTTTTTCTGTAGATAGTTCAGTCTTGCTCTAGAATCCTAGGGTTTTGTTCTGTAACTCCCCTGCTTAATCTCACCAAGACTCCTCAAAACATTGTCATCTATCTCAGATATTGCTAGCATCCTGGAATCTGCCAGGTCTTAAGGTACCAAATATGAAGCCACTACCTTAAAGATGGGATGTTCAAGGTTTAACGATTTCTTCTTTATCTTGGAAGAAATACCACAGTATGCCCCATACCACTGGACCTTTAAAAACTTTTCTGATGTGGCAGGCCTCTGAGTCTTTGTAGGGCTTATCTCCAACCCCTGATGCACACATCTTACCAGGACTTCTGAGTTCTTGCCATTTCCTGCTCATTTGAATTGTTATTATGATGCTATCAGTATAATAGGCCCGTCTGATGTTCTGTGGAATGTTGAGAAAAAGATGGTTCCTTTGAACTGTATGGTGACAGAGAGCAGAAGAGTTAAATAGGTCTGGGCAAAACCATTCATATGTACAGTTATGTATGGCAAGTGAATGCAAACTTGTTCTGATCTTCCTCGAGAGAGACTGAAAAAAATGTATTCATCACATTGTAAACCACATACTAAGTGCTGGAGGCTGTGCACATCTATGCTACTGAAGATGTCTGGCAAAAAGACTTGCAGTTGAGGCTACTGCTTGGTTAAGTTTATGGTAGTCCATTGTTATCTGCCAGGAGTCATCTAATTTTGCTGATGGCTTATATGGGGATATGATGGGGACCATGACCCTGCATCCTTTAAGTCTTTGAAGGTGATACCATACTAGTCTTTTTCATTCCATCTAAGGTGTAGTATTGTTTTACTCTCTTGGCCTAGTGAGCATATGTTTATGTGTATGTACGTGCATTTTAGTGTGTGAGTGTAGGTGTGGGTGTGAGTATGGGAATGCCTTAGTCTGTTTTCTGTTGCTGTAACAAAATAGCATAGATGGGGTAATTTCTAAAGAACAAAAATTTATCCTCTCACAGTTCTGGAGTCTGGGAAGTCCAAGATCAAGGTACTGGCAGCTGATGAGGATTTTCTTGCTGCATCCTTACATGGCAGAAGGCAGAAGGGCAAAAAAGGGACAAATGCTGTGTTCCCAAATGGTAAAAGATCAGAAGAGAAAATCTACTCCTGCAAGCCCTTTTAAGATGCATTAGTCCATTCATAAGGGTGGAGCTCTCAGGACCTAAATACATCCCAAAAGATCACACCTCCAGGCCGGGCATGGTGACTCATGCCTGTAATCACAGCACTTTGGGAGGCCGAGGTGGGTGGATCACCTGAGGTTGGGAGTTCGAGGCCAGCCTGACCAACATGGAAAACCCTGTCTCTACCAAAAATACAAAATTTGCCAGGCGTGGTGGCACATGCTTGTAATCCCAGCTACTTGGGAGGCTGAGGCAGGAGAATCACTTGAACCCGGGAGTCAGAGGTTGTGGTGAGCTGAGATCACACCATTGCACTCCAGCCTGGGCAACAAGAGTGAAACTCTTTTTCAAACAAAACAAAACAAAACAAAACAAAAAAAAACACTTCCAAATACTGTTGCATTAGAGATTAAATTTCAATGTGTAATTTGGAGGAGGACAAAAACATTCAAACTATAGCAGCGGTAAGAGTATGTGTATGTGTGTGGGTGTGGGTGTTTGTGGGTGTGAGTGTATGTATGTGGGTGTGTTTGAGTGTGTGTAAGAGTATGTGTGTGTGAGTGTGTGGGTATGTGTTGCTGGCAGGAAAGGTGGGGAGGCTTCCACTTGGCCTTTTCTACTCCAACAAATACTACACAGGCCAGGAAGCCAATGTGAGAGGTCTGCCAACTTCTAGGTGCATTCATCTAGATTATGCATAAAAGGACCTGAGAAATGACCACAGAGTGAGGCTGTAAACCCACTGGACCCTCTATGAAGTGAACATCTACTGGGAGTCCATTGATTAAATAATATTTCTATGCTTTCCACTCAAATAGGATGGTGTTTTTGATCCCTTGGTATCAGTTTCAGTCTGTGCAGATCCTGTATCCAGCAGTCTCTGAAATTTCTGGGCATTATCTTTTTCCCATTATACGGTTACTCTGATAAATGGCCAAAAGTCCATTTAGGGTAGGAATGAGAGTATTGGTACTGTATATACTTTCTGTGGCATTTTCAGTACCCTTTATCAAAGGGGCCCTGATCTCTTCTTTCACCGATGGGCTGTGAGTCCAAGAACTATCTCAGATCTGGAAACTGGATGAGGGATTATAATGTTCTATTCTAGCCACTGACATCAGCCTTCTCACCCCGTCTTGATCATTTTAGATTATATAAGCCAAGCAATACCTTTGTTGGCAAAGAACATCTATCTCACCTCTGGAAACATCGAGGATTATTAGTCATTGCAACAAGTCTCCCCCCACCCCACCTCCTCCTGGTTATGATTCCAGCCTTGCTGCCCATCACGTAATTGCATTCACTTTGCTTCTGACGTTGTCCTGGCTATTCTAGAATCCCAGCCCCATTGACATTTGGGAGCCACGGCAGCATCTCCCACTGTTTTTCCTGGCCTCAGACAATAGCCACCACTGAACTACTGATCACAGTGCCCCATTTCTTTATTGCTTTATTGAAGGCAATGTCCTCCAGGCCTCCCTGGAGAACATAGTTAGCGTGTTCCCTGGTATAACACAGTAAATTCAATTCAACAAGGTGCCTCTCTGAGCCTTTTGTTCCTTTCCTCAATACCCTGCCAAGGCAGTTCTGGCATTTCCACCTCATATACTATAGGCTGTTATTGTTTCCAAGCTTCAAGGAGCCATGCCAACAGTGCATTAGGACTGGCTCTGAATGTCTTTGCCAGGGCATTCAATCTTGAGTCATAGGAAAGTGTTCTCATGTCAATGAATTGTCCACAACCTAACCTTGTATTCCACCCATGCAGTCCAGCACACTCAAGATTAATTCCCAGGCATATTCTCCAAGTTCCTGCTGGATTTGCAGCAGCTTCTTTTTTTTGGAATAATCTATTTCCTTCCATAAGAAGTGACATATTTGTCTAGTCAATTCATGCTGAGACTTGTTCTTAGATATTGGTTTAGAAACAACAAGGGGAAGTGCAGGCAGCCCTGGGGGACAGTAATCATCATTTTGTGAGTCATTAGCTTTTAGTGAGGCTTTTTCATGGATCCAGGCCAATAAACAGTGTCTCCTCTCCATGGGGGAGGTGGTATTTCTGCTGGCCCAAGGGATTAGGGGAATCTGGGACTTCAAGGTTCTCAAGTGAGTCAATCTAAATGTCTTTATCACAGGTCTCAGGGTTCCATTCATTTCTAATGGGGGCCATCCCATTAGCATTGAAGGCTTTGAATGCAGCTTTCTTTGCATCTCTGCCACCCTGTTAGTCATATATTGAGCCCAATTTCTGTTCAGTCTGCCTCTCAGCTGGAGGAGACGAGGTTCTCTCTAACATGCTCCTGGAGACCTTCTGAATTTCAAGTTGATAGCTCAGTTGGCCTGAACCTATCATATTTTTCCTTCAGAACTTTGGGGGCAGTTAACAACACTTAACTAACTTCACAATTGTCATAACTAAAATTACTCCCGTTGTTTTCAAGTCTAGGCCAGTACTTCTCAGACTATTTGTTGTAAAGGAATAGTTTAAGCAATACTTTGTGGACTGATGAATTTCTAAAAAAAAAAAAACAAAATAAAAAAGGCATATGGTTAGGCACAATGACTCATGCCTGTAATCCCAGCATCTTTGAAGGCCAAGGCAGGAGGATCACCTGAGGCCAGGAGTCTGAGGACAACCTGGGCAACATAGTGAGACCTTGTCTCTACAAAAAGCTAAAAAATTACCCAGGCTTGCTGATGTGTTCCTGTAGTCCTAGCTATTCAGAAAGGTGGGATGAGAGAATCAACTGAGCCCAGGAGTTGGAGGTTACAGGGAGCTATTATGGTGCCACTGTACTTCAGCCTGGGTGACAGAGTGAGACCCTGTCTCTAAAAAAATTGAAGAAAGCCTATGGACCACACTTTGAGTAACACTGTGCTAGACCTATTGTATAAGCCAGTGCATTTCCTTCCACTTGGACTCCATCTCAATGCGTTTCACTACAGGTGAGCATTTTAGTAATTGTGATGCCATGGTGTGCCAGGGTTGTCTGCACCCCATCCCATTTGTCACCAGCCATGGGGTCCTCATTAGCATCTGGTTGGCATGTGATCCTATTCTAGCACCTTATGCTGAAGATCTGCTTCCTACTCTTATTCTGGCACCAAATATCTTAGATTGGGTTCTCCCAGAAGCATATTCTGAGCCAAGTAGATGGATGCATGTAGTTTATTTAGGAGGTGATCCTTGGAAACACAGTAGGGAGTGGGGAAGTGAGACAGGGAAGGAAGAAAGCTGAAAAGGATGTATTATTGTATAAATTCCCGCTGTGAGAATCTGGGCTCAATTCTACTGGGAAACTGGAAATAGATTAGAACACTCCACAGACTTATTTTGCTCAAGGATTATTGGCTGATGGCTACTCCAAGAACATTGACTCTCAGCATCTCCTGTAGATTTGCAAACTGAAAGAAATCCCTCAGGCAGGGAGGTATATGTGCTTGCAGCAGGACACCACTGGCATGTACCAACACGGGGATATGGACAGGTCATTGACAGCATCTGCTATGGAGAGGTACCAGAGGTCCATTCAAAGAGACAGAGGCAAGGAGGTCAATCCTAGGTGCATGCCAGGGCAAGGTGGAACCTGGAAATGAAAGCCAGCCCATGTCAGTCACTGATAAACTGAATGAAGGGTACGGGAAAGAGCAGAGTGTTATTTAAAAAAATGTGGTGCAGTTCAGGTTTGTTTGTGACCAGAGATTTTTGCAACTGGAGAGTAGGGTCTTACTACTAAGGGTGGAAGGACACAATGTGATGTGTTACAGACTGGGACTTGACAGGGCTATCTGCCTCCTAAAGAGTGAGATGGAACAGAGCTCTACAGGCCTTTTGTGAGTTAACCTAATCGTTTGTGTGTGGGGTGTGTGTGTGTATGTGTGTATACGTGTGTGTTTTAAAGAGAGATGGGGTCTTGCTATGTTGCCCAGGCAGGAAACAAACTCCTGGACTCAAATGATCCTACGGCCTTGGCCTCCCAAGTAGCTGCAGCAACAGGTGTGAGCCACTGTGCCTGGCAACCAAGTGACTTTTGACTTGTCAGTGAACCCCACCATCCTACAGAGGTATCTCCAAGGCATGGGGTGGGTTGAGGGCATAGGGTGTGTAGCCCCCACTTTGGCTTCAAGCACAGTGTCTTTAGTGGTTGCTGTCTTCTGATCAGATTTTGTTTGAAATGATGTTTCTGCTTCTAAAAGACTGCTTGAAAACCACTGATCTAATCTGTGGAGTTCTGTTTTATCTACTTTTGGGTGAATCCATTTGGCATGTCAGAGGGTCAGGGCTTGG
The DNA here is from genome assembly GCF_000001405.40 of Homo sapiens. NCBI lineage: Eukaryota > Metazoa > Chordata > Mammalia > Primates > Hominidae > Homo > Homo sapiens. Next base: position 21,601,968 of record NC_000008.11, on the reverse strand, counting down.
GGCAGCCGATACCCTGTGTGGGAGGCCCTGGCACTTGGAGAATGTGCCCAGGTCTCCCTGAGAGTAATTGTGTCTTCAGATGCCATCTGCGGGGTTTGTAAGAAAAAATAAATAAAAAGAAAGTAGTGCTGTTACTTCAAACTTCTGTTTCTTTTGTTCTCTCTCTGTAAACCCAGAGTGGGCAGGAACATTCTTTAGTGGTCGGCATGCATCTCCTGCAATAACACCTAGTTACCTTGGAAAGTAAACTTGCAGGAGGTACACAGGAAGTCCTGGGCAAAGGTGCCAATCAATTTCCAAGTCTGACGGATTTCAGGGGGTCCCTTATCTGCCTTCTCTCTAAACCCTAGCCTTCCCTCCCGTCTCCTTTCACAAGAAGGTTGCATTTGGGCCTGGCAGACACATGCTTCTTCCTCATGGCCTCTGCATGCCTAGCACCTTGGACAGGGACAGGCGAGGCCATTTCCAAGACTATTTCTTTCAGGGGAACAATTTACTCTTTGCTCTGTGCTTGTCAGCAGAGCTCTTAAATTTCCAGGACAGTTGGATGAAATTGGATGTAGCCAATTTGCATCTTCAAATCGGTTTTGTACACACGGTGCGTGTACTCATGTCTCTGGGGACGAGAGAGGAATGGTGTTTGACAGCTCACAGGCCATGAGATGACAATTGTCTCTGCTTTGTCTTTGAGTCTGGGCCTAAGTATCCTTTTGCCTCAGTTTCCTTTTAGGAAAAAGGGGGTGGTGGGCTGAGTGATCTCTGAGGTCTCTTTTAGCTTTAGTGTTCTGTGGTTTTATGGCTCTGAGGAAAGAAGATGGTAAGAAAACCAATAGTCCGTGTTCCACTATGTAGCTGAACTGCAGCCCAAGTAGAGAGAGTCAAACTGTTCTTTGCACAGTCTTGGTTCAGACCAGCCTCAGCGTTTGGACATTATCATGTAAGCAGGTCTGGAAGTGTGGAGGGTGAAGGGGCAGCTGCTGTGTGCTCAAGATGACCTCTTGCAGCCTCTGTGTAGCTGGGATTGGCCATGGGCAATGCAGAAGGTCATTTGATCTCTTAGAACCTCAATTGCCTCACCTGCAAAGGGAAGCTGAAAAGAATCACTCCTAGTCTGGTTGAAAAGAATAACCAGGAAGTGCCTGAGATGTCATAGGCACTCATCAGTGTTAGCTTCCTGATCCTTTCCCTTCCTCTTGGGTCCTGATCTGGAGTGGTACATTTGAGTAAGAGCCCTCCATGGGTACATTATTCTCACTTCTTCATCTTTATCTCCTACAGCTCCCAAAGCTCAAGGACTTTTTTTTTCCCCTGCAGTTGTCCTCTCTCTCTCTCCTGCATCATTAATTTTTACCTCTCTACATTCTATTGGAGTGTTCGCATCAGAATACAAACATGCCATAATATCTTCAATCTTAAAAAAAAACTCCCTTGACCCCCACGTCCCTCTTCAATTACTGTTCAATTTCTCTGCTTGCTTTGACAGCAAAACTTGTCGATACTTTCTGTATCTACTTTCTCACCTCTAATTCTCCCGTGAACGCATTCCCATCAAGCTTTCATTCCTACTACCTCACTGAAATAGCTCCTAGCAAGGTTGCCCATTACTAATTTGACTGGTCAACTCAGAGTCCTCCTGTTGACCTGCTGGCTGTATTTGTCACAACTAATCACTGTATTATTTGAAATACTTTCTTCCCTTGGCTCGCTCTTGTTCTTTAACAGTTGTCTTTCTTGGTTTTCCCTTATCTTCCTTACTTTTTAATGCTGGAGTTCCCCAGGGTGCTCAGTTCTAATAGCTCTTCTCTGGGTTCCTCCCCAAATTTATATCTCCAGTCCCACCTCTGACTTCCCTCCCTTTATTACAGACTGATATATCCAGCTTGCCCAGTGTTGCTGCTTGGTTGTCTAGCAAGTACCTTAAACTCACCATAGACAAATCTGAGTGCATCTTAGAAACTGACAACTCAGACTTCCTCATCTTTGTCATGGGAAAATTATTTTTTTTCCAGATGTCCAGACCAAAAAAAATCTAAAAATAATTTTTGACTTCTCTCTTCCTCTCCCTCTCTACATGCAACCTGCCAAAAAAAAAAAAAAAAATGAGGCAGCTCTACTTTTGAAGTAATCCTTCCTCCCTTCCTCCTACCCCTTCTCCTGAACTCTACCACAGTCATCTCGGAGCAAGTCACCATGATCTCTTGCCTAACAATTTCAACAGTCCGCTAACTGGTTTCCTTGCTTCCATCCTTCCTTTTTATAGTTGGGAATGATAGTCATGGTTTAGATGTTAATTTTAAAACATAAATGGGATCATGTCACAACTGTGCAAAACAATCCAAGCCATCCCCATCTCTCTCAGGATAAGTTCTTTTTTTCTGTGGGAAAATGACAACTAGTATAACATAAATGGATAGTATATTGAAGACAACATTGGATATAACATTGTAATGTAAATTATGTATTCTTAATGTTTATTAATTGGGAACCTCTATGCCAGGGATAAAAATTGGTGGCCTTTGGGTCCAAATTCAAACTGCAAATACATTTTATTTGGCTTAAATATTGTGGTTGTCATATTGTTTTGCCTGCTGTTTTGGCTTGAATATATTTAGTCAGCGCATTTAGCCACAAACTCTACTATAGTCTCTTATTTTTATACCAGTGTTATGTTACTGGCTATCCCATAGGCATTTGAGATTTTATTCTATATATATTTCTACTTATTTTCTTCTGCAAGCAAATACTTCCTTTTTCCAATGTTATTTTTATTTTTGTTTTAAGTTCTGGGATACATATGCTGAACGTGCAAGTTCGTTACATAGGTATACATGTGCCATGGTGGTTTGCTGCACCTATCAACCTGTCATCTAGGTTTTAAGCCCCACATGCCTTAGGTATTTGTCCTAATGCTCTCCCTCCCCTTGCCCCCCAACCCCCTGACAGGCCCCAGTGTGTGATGTTCCCCTGCCTACGTCCATGTGTTCTCCATTGTTCAACTCCCACTTACCAGTGAGAATATGCAGTGTTTGGTTTTCTGTTCCTGTGTTAGTTTGCTGAAGATGATGGTTTCTAGCTTCATCCATGTCCCTGCAAAGGACATGAACTCATTCTTTTTTATGGCTGCATAGCATTCCATGGTGTATGTATGCCACATTTTCTTTATCCAGTCTATCCCTATGGTAACTTTTCTGACACCTGCTTAAAGCCCAAAAGGTCTGAAGGATTGTGAAGCCCTGTTTTCACGGTCTGTATTCATACTGAAAATCAGGATCAAATGAGCTTTTGCCCTTCTGTTCCACTGGAGGTTTCTGTGCTCCCTGAGCTCACCTTAGGACACTTGCGTTACTGTTTGACAGTGTACTGCCCCAGTTAAACTCTCCACCTGGCACTGTCCCTGGAGCGGGTTGTGCCTGGGTGGCGTGCAGCCAGGTGTTTGGTGCCAGATGCAAGAGCCCCTTGGGGCTTGCCCCCCACCCCCACCTCACCGGGTCAGTGAAAAAACGATAAGTTCTACATGATCTAGGCCTTCTCTACCTCTCTGACCTCCTTTGCCCTTTGTTCACTCTCTTGCAGCCACATCATACTCTAACGTGCCCAGCACAGTCCTAGTCTAGGGCATTTGCATCTGCTCTTCCTGCTACCTGAAATGTTCTTCTCCAAAGCTGGTCACATTGTTCACTCCTTCACTTCATTTGGGTCTACACAAATGGTACCTTCCCAGAGAGTTTTCCATGAACCTCCTATCAAAAACACCACCCTTTGTCATTCTCTATTCCCCAATTATTCTTTTTGTTTTTTAAATTTGAGAGCTTTATTAAGGTATAATTGACACACAGTAAACTACACATATCTGATAAGTTTTGATATAACATATACATCAGCAAAACCATCCCCACAATCAAGGTAATGAACCTATCCATCACTGGCAAATGTTGACTTGAGCTGCTCTGTAATCCTCCCTCCTGCCTCTCTCCCATACACAAGCAATTACGGATCTGTTTTCTGTGACTATAGATTAGTCTGCATTTTCTATAATTTAATACAAGTAGAATCAAACAGTATATATTCCTTTTTGCCTGGTTTCTTTCACTCAACACAATTATTTAGAGACTTCTTCATGTTGTAGCAGGTATCGGTAGTTCATTCCTTTTTATCGCTGAGTAGTATTCTATTGTGTACCTGTCTATTCACCTACTGCTGTGTGGGACATTTCTAGTTTTTGCTGTTACAAATAAAGATGCTGTGAACATTCATGGGCAAGGCATTGTATGAACACATGTTTTCCTTTCTCTTGGGTACATGCCTAGGAGAGGAATGACTGGTAGGTGTATATTTAATTTTTAGGAAACTGTCAAACTGTTTTCCAACAAAGCTTTTTACATTTTACAGATCAACTAGCAGTGAAGGCGAGTTCCAGTTCCTCCATGTCCTCGCCAACACTTTCAGCAACTTTAAAAGGTATGTAGTGATATCTCATGGTGGTTTTAACTTGGATTTTTCTAATTACTAATTATTTTAGTAATCTTTTTCATGTGCTTATTATTTTAGCATCTTTTTCATGTGCTTATTTGCCACCCATATACTTCATTTGGTGAAGCATCTGTTCAGAAGTTTTGTCTGTGGACAGTAATGTGTCACCTAATGATGGGGATACATTCTGAGAAATGTATTCTTACGTGATTTTGTCATTGTGAATACATCATAGTGTGTACTTACATAAACTTAAGTGGTACAGGTTGAGCATCCCTAATCTAAAAATTTGAAATTTGAAATGCTACAAAATCTGAAACATTTTTGGAGTGCCGACATTATGCCACAAGTAGAAAATTCCTCGCCTGACCTCATGTGACAGGTTGCAGTCAAAACTTTGCTTTATGCCCGTTATTATACAATACGTATAAGATTACCTTCAGGATAGTCATGAAAGGTTTATATGAAATGTAAATGAATTTTGTGCTTAGACTTGGGTCCCATCCCCAAGATATCTCATTATGTACATGCAAATATTCCGAAATCTAAAGGAGTCTGAAATCTGGAACACTTCTTGTTCCAAGCATTTCAGATAAAGGATACTCAATCTGCGTAGCTTCCCATACACTAGGCTAGATGGCATAGCTGATTGCTCCTAGGCTACAAACCTGTACAGTATGTGACTGCACTGAATACTGTAGGCAACTGTAACATACTGGCAAGTGTTTATACATGTAAAAGTAGAAGAGGTGCGGTAAAAATATGGAATTATAATCTTGTGAGACCACCATCATATATGTGATTTATCACTGACCAAAACATTGTTACGTGTTGCATGACTATTAGTTTTCTGGTGCTGTATAACAAGCTATCACAAACGTAGTGGCTTTAAACAACATTCATTTGTTATCCCACAGTTTTTGTGCATTGGGAGTCTGGGCACAGTTTAGCCGAGTCCTCTGCTCAGGGTCTTACCAGGTTGTAATCAGGGTGTCAGCCAGGCTGATTTCTCATCTGGTGGCTAGGCTAGGGACAAATCCACTTCCAAGCATATCAGGTTGTTGGCAGGATTATCTTGGAGCAGTGTGACTGAGGGCCCTGGCTTCCTACTAGCTGTCTTTTAGCTGCTAGACGTTGTCTGCCATACCTTGCCATGTGGCCCCCTCCATAGGCAGTTTAAAACATGGCTTTTTGCTTCTTCAAGGCCAGCAGGCAAGTCTGCTAAGACGGAGTCTTACGTAACATAAGGTAATCATGAAGTGATAGCCCATCATCTTTGCCATATTCTATTGGTTAAAAGCAAGTTGCAGAATCTATGTGTACTCAAAGGCAGATGATTAAACAAGGGCATGACTCATTGGAGGTCATCTTAGGGTGTGTTCACCAATCCATTATTTTACTGGGTTATCTATTTTCTTCTTTTTGAATCTTGAGAGTTCTCTATATACTCCGGATACACATTCTTTATCAGATGTATGCTCTTCCTCCCAGTGTGTGGCATGTCTTCTCATGCTCTTAACAGTGTCTTTCAAAGATCAGAAGTTTTAAATTTTGAAGTCTGATATATCAATTTCTTCCTTTATAGATACTGCTTTTGTGTTAGACCTAAGAAATCTTTGCTTAACCCAGGGACAAAAGCTTTTACTTATATAGTATTTTCTTCTAGAAGTTTTATAATTTCAGGCTGTATATTTAGGTTTATGATCCATTTTTAATTAGCTAGAATCATGTTTGACTTCTCTCTTCCTCTCCCTCTCTACATGCAACCTGTCAAGAAAATGAAGCAGGTTGTATATCATGCTAAGGTATGGATTGGAGTTTACTTTTTTTCCTATAGACATCCAATTGTTGGGATATTGGTCTGTAGTTTTACTGAAATATCTTTATCTGGTTTTGGTATCAGGGTAACCCTGACCTCAGAGAATGAATTAGGAAGTGTTTCTCTTCTTCAATTTTCTGGGAGAGTTTGTATTGAATTGTTATTATTTATTCCTTAACATTTTGATAGAATATACCAGCAAAATCATCTGCATCTGGAATTTTCTTGGTGGGAAGAAATTTATTTAATACATATAAGTTTACTTAAGTTACCAACTTTTTCTTCATTGAGCTTTGATGGTTTTTTTCTTTCAAAGAACATGTCCATTTTATTTAAGTTGCTTGTTTATTGGCACGAAGTTTTTCGTAAGATTCTCTGATTATCCTTTTAATATCTGCAGAATCTGTAGTGATATAACCTCTCTAATTCCTGATATTGGTATTTCATGTTTTCTCTCCTTTTTCTTGATTAATCTGGCTAGAAATTAATCAATTTTATTGATCTCAAAAAACATCTTTTGATTTTATTAATATTTATATTGCTTTTCTGTTTTCTAGTTCATTGATTTTGGCTGTCATCTTTATTATTTCCTTTCTTGTACTTATTTTGGGTGTACTTTTCTATAAATATCAATTAGGTACCGTTGGTTGATAAAGTTGCTTAAATAGTCTATGTCCTTACTGATTTCCTTTCTGTTTGTTCTACCAATTATTGAGAAGTAAGCATTGAAATTCTTTACTAAAATTGGAGATTTGTCTATTTCTGCTTACGGTTTTGTCAGTCTGTGCTTCATGTAGTTTAAAACTTTATTATTAGGTGCATTACCTTTTTGGCATTGCTGTGTCTTTTTGATGAATTGGCCCTTTTATCATTATGAAATAACCTACTTTACCTTTGATTATATTCTTTGCTCTACAATCTACTTTGATAGTAGTATAGCCATTGCAGTGTTTTTTGATCAGTGTTAGCATAGTACTTTTTCCATGCTTTTGCTTTTAATATAATTGTGCTTTTATATTTAAAGTTTCTTGTGAGCAGTACGCAGCTGAAAATCTCTGCTTTTTGTTGGAGTATTCAGACCTTTGCACTTAATGTGACTATTAATATAGTTGCTTAAATCTATTATTTTGCTAGTTTTTTATATTTGTTTTATCTATTCTTTTTATTATTTTCTTCTTTTCTACTATCTTTTGGAGTAATTGATTATTTTTATTATTTAATTTATAAAGTGATTTTCTATAACTCTTTGTTTTGTTATTTTAGTGGTTGCTTTAGGATTTTTAATATACATATTTAGTTTATCATTCTACCTTTAAGTGGTATTATAAGTACCTCATGAATAACATCAGAGCTTTATAATAATATACTTCTATTTCTCTTCTAATGTTCTTTGTGCTGTTGTTGCTACACTGTTTACTTTTATTTATGTTATGAACCCCAGGCTACATTGTTATTATTTTTATATAATTAGCTATCTTTAAAAGATATTTAAATAATAAAAAACAATTTTACATATTTCCCTATGTATTTGCCGTATCCAGGGCTATTCATTCTTTTCTGTAGATATCTAGTTCCATCTAGTATCATTTTTTTTTCTGCTTGTAGGACTTTCTTTAACATTTCTTGTACTCTGGATCTTCTGGTGATAAATTCTCTCAGCTTTTTCATGTCTCAAAAGTTATTATTTTGCCTTTGGTTTTAAAAGATATCTTTGCTTCTGCAGAATTCTAGGTTGACAAATTTTTCTTTCAGTAACTTAAAGTTGTTGCTTCACTGCTTTCTGGCTTGCATTGTTTTTGATGAGTTATCTGCTCACATAGTATCCTGTTCTGCTGTACCCAAAATGTGGGCTTCTTTTTCTGGCTGCTTTCAAAGTTTTCTCTCTATTGTTGGTTTTGTGCAATTTGACTATTAGATTTGGAAAATTTCTAGCCATTATTTTTTCAAATATTTTTCTGTCTTCCCTTTTTTCCTCTCCTTCTTTGACTCCAATTACACATACGTGAGAGCACTTGGAGTTATCCCATAACTTAGTAATGCTGTGTTTATTTGTAAAGTTATTTGTCTCCCTGAGTTTCATTTAGAATAGATTTTATTGATATGTATTCAAAATTTGCTACCATTTTCTTCCGAAATGTCTAATGGGATTTTAATCCCACACTGTGTAATTTTATCTCACACATTGTAGTTTCCATCTATAGAATTCCAATTATCTTTCTATCATTTATGTCTCTACTTAACTCTTTGAATTACAGTCATAATAACCATTTAATGTTATTGTCTGCCAGTTCTAATATCTGTGTCATTTTTGAGTTGATCTCAATTGATTGATTTTTTTTCTCATTGTGGGTTATATTTTCCTATTTCTTTGTATGCCTGGTAATTTTTGATCAGTTGTCAGACATTGTGAATATTACTTAGGTGCTGGATATTTGTGTTTTCATATAAATATTCTTGAGCTTAGTTCTGTGGTGGAGTCAAGTGACTTGGAAACAGTTTGACTTCTTTCGGGTCTTGGGCTTAAGATTTGTTAGATGGAACCAAAGCAATGCTCAGTCTAGGCATTCCTCACTACTGAGGCAAGGCTCTGAGTTATAAGGTTTTACAGTGCGGCTGATGGGAATAGGCACTGTCTCTGGCCCTGTGTGAGCAGTGGGCACTGTTTCCTTCAATCCTTTCGGATGGTTCTTTCCCTGGTCTTGGACATTTTCCACACACATACATGCTGATCAGTACTCAGCTGACTACTCAGTAGGAGCCCTGTCCTGATATCCAAAGTTATCTCTCCTTGCATCTCTCTCTGTTTCTACTCCATTTTGGCAACTATCTGCCTTGGTTTCCCTGGACTCCAAGCTCTCTGTCTCTTCAACTAAAAATGTCTTCTGGGCTCCATCTGTTCCTCCTCCTTGTGCCTTGACCTAGAAATTCTCTCAAGTTGGGACTACTGTAGAGCTCACCTGTTTCTTGTCTCTCAGGAATCATTGTCCTTTGTTGCCTAATGTTCAGTGTCTTCAAAACCATTGCATTTTATATTTTGTAAATAGTTCGAATGTCTCAGAAAGAAGGGTCATGGTCCTTCTTACTCCATTCTGACTGGAAACCCTGGTTTCCTTTATTTTTCTTCATAATTATTGTCACCACTGATGTTATGTATATATTTTTTTTATTCCTACTAGAATGTAAGTTCCATGAGAGCAAGGATTTTTTGGTTCACTGCTGAGTCCCTTTCACCTACAATAGTGTCCGTTATATAATAGGTGCTCAATAAATATGTATTAATGAAGGAAAAGATGAGTCAATAAATGAATGCATCCCAACACCCTGCCACCCTGGTCTCCTCATGTCTTCTCCTTCTGCCAGATCTCTGCCTCTGTCCTTCTGCTCATGCTGGTTCCTGCTTGACGAAACCCTCCTCTTTCCTCTCTGAAATGTTTTTCTGTCTTTCAAGCCCCAGCTCCCATGTTTCTTCTCCCGTAATTCCTTCTCTGATTGTTGTGGCTGACTCAGATCTCTCCTTCCTCCAAGTTCTTTCAGCACTTAGAGCCAGTACCATGTAAATTACAAAGTCATTGCTCCTCTTTTTGGGTTATGCGAGCTCTTTGAGGGCCTTCCCCTGTCTTCCCCTGTTTCCCACTATGTACCTAGCATAGGGCTAGTCTCAAGAAATACATATTGGTGATGGCTGGAGTCTCTTCTCTTTGCATAACTTGTGAGTGGATAGATTCCCCTGTTCTTCCTCTATCTCCAGTGTTTCCACAATAGTCCCTCTTTCAGGGGCTGGTGTCCTGTCCCTTTTGAATTTTCAGGAACCAGAATGTCTGGAATTTAGAAGACCTTTGAGATTTAAGATCAGAGCAAAGGGTTTGGAAACAGGCTGTGGAAGACAAGGGGATGGCAGTTGGGATGAGGGACAGATATTTGATGAACATGTATTTTATGCAGTCACTTTGTCTATTATTACTTCTCATGCCACCATAGAACCATAAGCCTCATGATGCTAACATTAAGGTTGGCATGTTGAAACAGCGTTGCTTGTGAGTGAAGACCCATAACACAGAGAATGCCTGGATTCACAGAAAATCATGCTGCTAGGAACAGAATGGTGTCCCCCCAGAATTCTGGGCCCCTGGTGTGATGGTATTTGGAGACGGAGTTTTGGGGAAAGAATTAGATTTAGATGAGGTCATGTGGTTGGGGCTCATGATGGAATTAGTGACTTTATAAGAAGAGACACCACAGAGCCTGCTGCTTTTTTCTCTACCGTGTGAAGACACAGTGAGAGGGGGACTGTCTGCAAGTCAGGAAGAGAGGTTTCACCAGAAACTGACCATGTTGGCACCCTGATCTCAGACTTCCAGCCTCCAGAAATGTGAGAAAATAAATTTTTGTTGCTTTAGCCACCCAGTCTTTGACATTTTGTTATAGCAGCAGCTTGAGTGGACTACGATATATGCCAATCAATCAGTGTGTTGTGATTTAGGAGGATTGGCATGAGGGAGTCATATCCCGGGAGAGAAGATGCATGTGACTTCTCTTGCTCAACCTTGATGAAGAAACAGATAGTGCTGATACCTGTGAGAGTCACCCCAGTCTATTGTCTTGTTGCTCCATCTCCTTTCTTGGTTGAACCATGGGAGGGCCAACCTGCATCGTGGCTCTTCCCAGCTCCCTTGCTGTAGCATGGGAGCCATGGTCACCCTGATTGGGCTGTTAAAAATGGATTGGATGCCCCCAGCTTTGCTCCTGGCAGCTCTTAGGGGACAGTGTCCTCCTTTTACTAGATTATGGACACAGTGCTTTGTGCTCTCACTGCATGAGGTTATCTCTGACAGTGAATGACAAGGTTCTTTGGCTTAATTCACTAGTGGAGGACAGAGTCCCTGACAGGTAGCTCAATCCACTTTCAGCTCTGAATCCACCTAATCATACTTCAAATCCCCATCAGGTCTCTATGAAGTTCCCCACTGAAGTAGCTCCCTCAGCTTGCGGTCTCCCCACCACTCAACCGGTGTGATCACCCTCCCCTTTGCTGCCATCAAACACAACCACATTTCCCCTTTTCTGCTCATTCCTGATGGAGGATGGTCTCACTACCACCCCTCAGCCTTCTGTGCAGAGTATGTGATTCTTCTCTTCCTGGTAAGAGCCAGTATGCGTTTTCCTCTGTTCATCTCCACAGTTAATGCTTCCAGGGCTATCTCAATTCCTTGAAGAACCTCCCCTTTGGCTGGGATGTTCTTGCCAAATAGGAGGGCTGTTGCTTCATAGAAAGAAGATACCTTGGTAGGTGCCCAGCCAACCAGCCTAAGTGATGTCAGCATTGTTTAGACCTGGTACACATCCTGGAATGAGCTCTACAATGGTTACAATTTCCTTCTGGGAATGTGGCCATTTGGGACCCTAAAGATAACAGCTTGGATGTTTTTCCTGTTTGAAGTTGTCTTTTTGTTTGTTTGTTTTTTAAATAAACCGTTTCCTTTTGAAAGGAATCTGGATTTTACAAATTCACCTGCTCATATTTATGGTTTCAGGTCTTTTATCTCTCCAGCCATCAGGGAAAAAATAACTTTGGCAGCAGTAAAAGTAGACTGGCCACTCTTATCTCTGTCAGACTTGGGGGAAACGTTGTCAGATTGCCTGGCTCACATGACAGGGATATTTTTCTTCTAGTCTTGATCCTGTTCCCTGGCAAGTTGGATGTGATTTGTCTTAACACTCAGCTTCCCCTGCCAGGACATGCACAGCATGTTTGGACACATGGTCTTTTAAAAATGTTATTTTGAACGTTATTCTTATTCATCTTGGGGCTGATTGTTTTGGGGGTCTGGAGCATTAGATTTGGCTGCTAGTCTGCTTGAGCCTCACTGGGGTCCTCTGGGGGATGGGCGACTCACTTCTCTGTGGGATGAATCCCCCAGAGACAGTTGGATCCATTGAAAGAAAAATTTCCTAACAAACCCAGTTATGCATAGAACCTGTGGTGTTGTATGGTTGTGGAATACATCTGGGGGAAATTTTACCTATACCTCTTCTCGACTGTGCTACCTCTAGCATGATTGACTCTTGTTGTCAGCCCATCTTGAGTTTACAGCACCCAAAGGGTATAAGATCTGAATCAGGTAGAAAGAGAGTGTGCCTCTCTCTCTCGCTCTTTTTCTTTTTTCTGAGACCGAGTTTCACTCTTGTTGCCCAGGCTGGAGTGCAGTGGTGCGATCTTGGCTCACTGCAACCTCCACCTCCTGGGTTCAAGCAATTCTCCTGCCTCAGCCTCCCGAGGAGCTGGGATTACAGGTATGCGCCACCATGCCTGGCTAATTTTGTATTTTTAGTAGAGACGGGGTTTCTCTATGTTGGTCAGGCTGGTCTCGAACTCCCAACATCAGGTGATCCACCCACCTCAACCTCCTAAAGTGCTGGGATTACAGGCGTGAACCACCGCGCCCAGCCCGGGAATATGCCTCTCTTGTGTAAGCCTTGGGCATGGCTATCCTAGAACCTACAGGTCCACAACTTTGACCTGGAAAGTTTATGAGGTTGGGAAGTGTAGGACAGGCAGAAGAGCTTTCTGACGTTCTGGGATTTCAACATATTTCATCTCTGAGCCCTTAAGGTAGATGTCTCACTTCCTAGCAGAATGTAGAAAATGTAAAGTTGGGTTTAGGTACCAAGTGTTTCAGTAAAAATGAGCTTTATCCTCCCTAGTTTGAAAAGAACTTTTTAAAGGGGTGGAAAAATGGTGTCTGAATTGGTGAAGAACTTTGCAAACAAAAAATCAGAAGCCTCCAACGAGGACCTTATCAAATTTAAAGTCAGTTATAAATTTTACATTGGTTGGAAAACATTAAGTTGTAGTAAAATTTAGTGAGATGACCTTAATGTGGTTGATAGTTCTGGCAATAAAAACAGATTTTAGGACAATTACCTGTGGCACAAACTTGGGGAGTAAGACTCTGGGGCACTGATTCCAGTTGAGAGTTGGAGGCTTAAAAGCATCTGTCCCAATTTTTGCAGAGACTAGTTTGCTCTTGGTCCAGCCCCTCACGTTGTATAGTTAATTTAAAACCTGTTGCTGAATACAACACCAGAGAAAGATCATTTGTACCCAGAGCTGTTAATACACTTTCTTCTTTTTGTTTTTTTAGACAGAATCTCACTCTGTCGCCCAGGCTGGAGTGCAGTGGCGTGATCTCAGCTCACTGCAACCTCCGCCTCCCAGGCTCAAGTGATTTTCATGCCTCAGCCTCCTGAGTATGTAGGATTATAGGCATACACCACCACGCCTGACTAATTTTTGTATTTTTTAGTAGAGACCGGGTTTCGCCATGCTGGCCAGGCTGGTCTTGAACTCCTAGCCTCAAGCAATCCCCCCACCTCGGCCTCCCAAAGTGCTGGGATTACAGACATGAGCCACTGTGCCTGGCCAAATAAACTTTCTGAAAGATGGGTTCCGAGCCATAATATCTTGCTCACTTTTATTGAATCTATGATTGTATTTTATCCCATCACACACACAAAAGACATCTCTTTACTTCTCCTAAAAGATTTATCAATTTTTGGATATTTTATAGATAATGTATACTTGATGAATGAGCATGAAGCCTGGGGTTTCCAGGCCAGTGTTTTATGTGAGAAGCAGACAGGCTCTTTGATAGGTCTTTCAACCACAGACCATGTTTTTAACCAATTATCACCTGGTGGTGAAGTCCACCAGGAGCAATATCCGATCATGTGTGGTTTTTGTTGACTCTTCCCAAGCCTTCATATTGATTAAGAACGGATACATGAGCTCATCAAAGACCCGCAGTTCTTGATGCTTCTACATACTTGATACTATTATTGTATAATCACAGTCAGGGGCAGTAGATGGAGCAGTAAAATCAGGGAAGTGTTTTGAACCCCACCATTTCAATTTGTTTCTTAATGATTTGATATCCCCGTGGATGAGCGGGGCATGAGCCCACTGCTATGATGAATGGAAAGACACACATCATTTTTATTCAGATCACACTTTCCACTGCGTTGAACTTGGAGTGGACTGGAGAGACAAGAGGTCTGATAACTACTAGTAAACTGCTGGAAGGAGCCCTTCAGAGCAACAATCACGAAAGCAACATTACTAATTTTGGTAGATTTTTCTAGTACTTCAACTGCTTAATAAGCAAAAATAGTGTGTGGTTAGGAGCATGAACTTTGCTTCCAACTGCTTGGGTTCAAGTCTAGGTTTTGCCACTTGTTAGCTGTGTGGCCCTGTGGCTCATTTTCTTCTTCTGTACACTGTGAATAGTAATAGGTCCCACCTCCTTGGTGAGCTTATGTGACTTATTGTAGGTAGGGTCCTGAGAATAGCTTGGCATATGTAAGTGTTTGCTTTGAAAGCCTATACATTTTGCTCTTGTGCACATCAACTTAAAAAATTCCAAGCTAAGTCAGAATGGCGATTATTAAAAAGTCGAGAAACGACAGATGCTGGCGAGGCTGTGAAGAAATAAAAACACTTTTATACTGTTGGTGGGAATGTAAATTAGTTCAACCATTGTGGAAGACAGTGTGGTGATTCCTCAAAGATCTAGGACCAGAAATTCCATTTGATCCAGCAATCCCATTACTGGGCATATACACAAAGGAATACAAGTCGTTTTATTATAAAGATACAAGCATGCCTGTGTTCATTGCAGCACTATTCTCGATAGCAAAGACGTAGAATCAACCCAAATGCCCATCAATGATAGAATGGATAAAGAAAATGTGGTAGAAATATGCCATGGAATACTATGCAGCCATAAAAAAGAATGAGATCATGTCCTTTGTAGGGACATGGATGGAGCTGGAAGCCATTATCCTCAGCAAACTAACACAGGAACAGAAAATTAAACACTGCATGTTCTCACTTATAAGTGGGAGCTGAACAATGATAACACATGGACACGGAGGGGAACAACACACACTGGGGCCTGGTGGAGGAGGGTGAGAGGAAGGAGACCATCAGGAAAAATAGCTAATGCATGCTGGGCTTAATACTTAGGTGATGGGTTGATAGGTGCAGTCAACCACCATGGCACATGTTTACCTATGTAACCTACCTGTCCTGCACATGTATAACAGAACTTAAAATTAAATGAAATTGAAAAAAAATTCCAGACCGAAATCCTTATGGCCATTCTCTATGGTGTAGCCTTGCTCACCCGTTTATCTACATACTGGAATTGACCCAAGACTCCTTTACAAAGGAGAATCTTGGCCTTGCCTTTTGGATGGCACTGTCAATTGGAGGAGGGATGGCTTCCTTCAGGCTTTCTCCTTGAGGGCTGCTCAGCTCAGCTCCAATAAGAGGACTTCACATTTACTCTTGGCTCTGTTGCTGGTTGAGATGCATGGGTTTGATGGGCAGCCCAGGTTTGTGGCACCACAGGTGCTTCTGAGGAGTAAACAATACTGAACTCATTGTTGAAAATTAAGTTAGCAAAGAAAAAAGAACTCAGCTAAGAGAAATGATACCTTAAAGAATTTTTCAAGTGACAATCTGGAGTCTAAAGTTTACATAGTCTAAAATGTGTCCCAGATCAAGTTGTACCACTGGAGTCGGGCACTGAGCTCTCATCACTCTGCCCTTCCCCTGACCTCTCCCCTGAATTCAGCAGCTTTTACTGAATGAGGCTTTGATGGGATGCTCCCAGCCCACAATGGAGTGGTTGAAAAGAAAATGGGGTGTTTACTTCAACGATGTTGCTCATTACATCATGTAGGGGCCTCCTTAAGAGGTGTCTAAGAAGGCATTTTCCCCTCTGCTCTCAGGGCCAAGTGCACCTCTGTCCTGATCACCTGGTGTTTCTCTTAGGAACCCTGTGAGTTGTATAAAAGACCAGCCTTTCCTTTTCACACTGGTTTCTATGATGCTTGGAGTCACGTGCATGGGCAACTCCTAGATCTTTGTCATCCTCACTTTTTCCAGCCTCGATTCCAGCTTTTGATTATCCCTACCTTAATTCCCTTTCTTCTCTTGCTATCAGTTTTAACCTTTAGCTTGTTTCTCTAATGTAATCTCATCAACCTCCTTAAAGCCTGTCTACAGCAAGGTGAGGACCTTGCTGTATTTATTACATGAGTAAATAAATAACTCAAGGGAGTGGGTGTTGTCATCCCCACTTTAAAGGTGAGGAAATTGAGGCCCTGAAGGGCAAATAAGTTTGCCCAGTGTCATGCAGTACTAAGTAGATGGTCTAGGTCAAGCTCAGGCCTGGCTGACTGTGCAGCCTGGTCTCTTCTCACCCCCTCCTCAAGCTCAGAAACATAGGTAGAAATTGCTGTATTAGGGGATTTGAGGAGCCACTGATGCAAGTGGCCAGTGGGTGAAACTGATGAGAAGTGAAAGCTACACTTCCATTTTACATTGAGGAAGGACACATTTATGGAACATTTGGTCATCAGGGTACAAGTAATCTGTAGGGTGAATCTCAATTGCATTGTAACCTTGATTAACTGAGACTGGTTAACTTGGGTAATTGAATTGTCAAGTTAACTAAGAGTCAACTCAATATACTGTGCTTTTCCACCCTGACCATTGAAGTTTTCTGACGATTTTCTGCTTCCATTACTATAATGTAATGTACATGTTAGGAACATAATTATAATTCTATACTCCCTTCAACATGTGGTGCATTTCCAAGGACATAGTAGGTCCCCAGTCCTGACTCTTGATTCTGTTGAATAACAGTTTTCTTGGGCCTTGGGGTCAGCCTCATAGCTATCAGTTCTCTCTGAGCAAGATAGCGACTGGATACACAGGCTGGGCAGGACACTGACCCACTGCAAGCATGCCTGCATTCCTCCATGCACCCGTTCAACTGCCTACCTAGTCCACTGACCTGAAATGACAGTCAGATACAAGTGTATTGTGCTGTGATTTGCTTGTTTCACTTAAAATAGAAGCTCTACAATTTTATTTTAGTTACTTGAGAGTTTCAGTTGGCAGGGTTCTGGTTAATCAAGATTTTGTTTGCCTGTATGGGTTTCTCATTATCCATAACCATATATTGAACATCTTTTGTACACAGAAAAATGTGCTGGGCTAGGAGAATACAAAGATGTATGAAGATGAGGCAAGTTTCTATTTCATGGTGAGGAACAGACAAACTGGCTGTGGCTGGCTTCTATGTTTAAGGTGATATGAAACCCCCTCCATGGTATTTCAGAAAGAGCACAGGCTCTGGCCTTGGATTCACCAGTGACTTCTGTAGGACTCAGGAGAAGTTTCTTAACCTATCTGAACCTCAGCTAGTTTCTTAACCTATCTGAACCTTGTCTGTAAACTATGGATACAAATATCTATTCAGAGATTTGTTAAAAAGATGAGATGTAACATATGTAAAACCCTAGCCCATAATAGCTGCTCAGTAAATGATAGCTGGTAATATTGTCCTTCTGAGCAGTCTTTGCCTAGAAAAGCAGGGAAAACATTTCTTCCCATTCCCTTTTAGAACTGTTTCAAGAATAGGTGGCATAATTTCTGTAAGGTCCCCTTCGATTTCAGGTCAAAGGGCCAAGGCCACTGTAAGCCACAATCTATGGATGCTCTTGTCTATAAATATCCCCAGCCTGTGTAAATACACAATTGAATGCAAGCGTCTGAATCATAGTGAAGATATGCATGCCCTGCCGTCAGGCATTGTACAGCAGCCAGCGTCTGTCTCGCACATTCATCAAGCCGCACAGCCGCCCAACAGAAAGAACATTGTGCACTGTGCTTGTTCTGCACACTTTATGCAGAGAGAGAGCAAATCAATAGAAGAAAATGTGGATTTGTTCTGCCAAGGAGAGGGGTGGGGGCTGCAGGGTTGGTAAGGAAAAGGGAAATGAAAAGGGGGGAAGGATATTAAGGACAAGGGAAGAATAGAGTCTTAGTCTATTTGGGGTCTATAACCAAATACCATAGACTGGGTGGCTTCTAAACAACAGATATTTATTTTTCACAGTTCTGGGGGCTGGAAAGTCCAAGATCAAGTCGCCAGCAGATTTGGTGTGTGGCGAGGGCCACTTCCTGGTTCATAGATGGCGCCTTCTTGCTGAGTCTTCACGGTGGAATAGGAGAGGGATCTCTCTGGGGTCTCTTTTATAATAGCACTAGTCCCATTCATGAAGGCTCCAACTCATGACCTCAACAGCCCCCAAAGCTTTCACCCCTAATATCACCTTGGGCTTTAGGATTTCAGTATAAGGAAATTTGGGGTGGGGGGAATAATTATTTGGCTCCACCCTCATGACCTCAACACCCCCCAAAGATCTTACCCCTAATGTCACCTTGAGGGTTAGGATTTCAGCATATGACTTTGGAGTGGGGGGCATAATTATTTAGTCTATTGCAGATAATAAGAGAAGTGAAGGCTGAGGGCAGACACAAAGTAATCACCTCTCTGGTGTTTTGTAACTCCTTAAGTTCAGAGAGGTTCTTTGCACATCACAGATTGCAGTGACACCCATGGGGCTGGAATAGGGTGTGGAGGACTTTTCTTGCTCCGCCACGTTGGTTTTCCCTACCAGGGACAGCCTGACCCTTCCTCTTATCTTTCACATCCCTCTCCCTCTCTCCTTTTCTTCCCTCTTTCTCTTATTTCTTAAGTTTCTCCCCTCCCCTTCTTTCTAGCCCTGCTCCCCAGCACCCCTCTTGGTTGTTCTCCTTTTCCAAACCCTAGGGTTGGTGATACCAGTGTCTCCCTCACTAAATGAGCTTTCCTACTGCCCCCATCTTCTAACCAAGTCGTTAACATCTAGTAGGTCCATGGACACAGGCTCAGCTTGTTGTCAACATCCAAGCCCCGTGCAGGATGATCCTGAAGGGAGAGGTGGACATGGACATTCAGGGAGACAATGACATCCAGAATGGCTGTCAGAGTGGCTGACTGCTAAGAGCAGCCTGGGATGGTGCAGGGTGAGGGAGGGCAGGATGTGGCTGGAGAAGGAGCTGACCTCCTCCAAGGCCCAGTGGATGCTGGGGAGTGGCCTGAGCCCATATAGTACACAAGCATGGCCTGCCCAGGTCAAAGCCAACAGGGAGGAAACATGGCCAAGAGGAAAGATCCCTGGATCAGGATGTGGGAAGGCCCAATGTTCTCCCGGAATGGCTTTGAGACTCAACATTTCCAACTTTGAAATGGGTACAATGACCCTGGCTCTGCATGCGTATCTTCACCCTGATTCAATATTGAGTGCTAATGACACTCAAATGAGGTCAAGTGAGGTAAAGGGCTTCACATCTCTCTCTCTCACCAAGAGGTGTGGCATGTCGGTTCACAAGAACACTGTAATGAAGTCACAGACTGGGGGCCTTAAACAACAGAAACTTATTTACTCACAGTTGTGAGGGCTGGAAGTCCAAGATCAAGGTGCTGGCAGGGTCGGTTCCTTCTGAGGCCTCTCTCCTTGTCTGGCAGATGTCTCCTGTTGCTGTGTCCTCATGTGGTCTGCCCTCTGTGTGTGTCGTCCTCATTGCCTCCTTTTGAGGACACCAGTCACATTGGATCACGGCCCAGCCTAGTGACCTCATTTTACCTTAATTACCTCTTTAGAGGGCTGATCTCCAAATCTAGTCACATTCTGAGGTACAGGGGATTAGGGCTTCAACGCAGGAATTTGGGAGGGATTCAGTTCAGCCCATAGCACATGGCAACTTGTGTTTGTATTCTCATCAGTCCTCCCTGGATTTAGGGTGTGTCCAAGTGATGAGAGCGTTTTCATCCCTGGCAGATGGGAGGATGGAGAGCAGGTTCCAGAGGGTTTTGGGGTCTGGGCCAGCCCTTAGGGGATGGGAATGGGTAGGAACTGAGTGTCTTCTGCTAAGCCTCCTCCCATTAGTGGCCCATCTTCCTGCCAGGCCTCCCCTGCAATGGGATGTCCATGTGTCCATGGGGCTTCTACTGTGGCTCAGAATGGATGGCTCAGGCCCAGCTCTGTCCACACGTCCCCTGAGGCCTACTCAGAGGTAATAGAACTGGCTGAGCTGTTACCAATCATGGCCCCAGCCTCCGTCTCCTCCACCTGTGTGCCGAGAGGAGGACCTGGCAGTTGTGGCTCATTGGTCTGCAGGGAGCTCTGTCTTCCTTTTTTGTCTGAGTAGGAGAGAATCCTCTTCTAGAGGCAGTGATGGGGGATAAGACAGCACTCCTAGAAACTGGGTCTGTACATGCTGTCTCCCCCATTGGATTCCTGTGGAGCTGGGGCGCTGCCAGGCTCACCCTGGGGGACCATTGGAACGGGGTGTGAGGCAGCTGGTGCATGTTGCGGGAGTTAGAGGTGAAAAAGAGCCTGGACCCTGATGCCTGCTTCTTCCTTGGAGTCTCTGGTAGAGGGGGATTGGCTGCAGCAGCCTTGGGTGGCAGCTGGGAGAGTCTACATAGTGGGACAGAGTTCTTCCGGACGGTGGGTGTGGTGGCTGCTCTCCCGAGGTCCCGGGGTTCAGGCGAAGGACCCTGGAGGGTAGAGCAGGAGGCAGGAGCTTAAGGAGGGGAGTCCTGGCAGGGGAAGGGTTGAGGACATGGACCTCAGGAGGGTGGGAGGGAGACTCCCTTGCCCTCCCTGTCATCACCAATGGAGGGCCAGTCCAGTCTGGACACCACCCGTGGCACAACAAGCAAGATTGTCAAGAAAGTGATTCCAGGAACTCTCTGGGTGCCGGGTGTCTGGCTTCCCCAGTCAGTTCTGCAAACAGTAGGCACCCCTCAACCTACTTGGCACCAGAGCAATCTCTTTTACCACCAACCACGTTGCTCCACATCTGCTCAATTCAAAGAGAGAGCAGACTGGGAGGACTGTGTCCACTGCAATGGGACACACTTCCAGGTCCAGGCTGGGCATCTCGGTGGGGCGATGGGAAGGAGGTCTGTACCTTCCTTCCCTTCTCTGGTCAACTTCGACTTGCTAAGTTTTCCCTTTCTCCAAAAAAGCTGTTTCCTTACTTCATGCCACGTGATGTTATACAATTGTCCCTAACCTCAGCACACCTGGTCATGACCCAGAAAGGACCTAACTGGCGTGAAATGCCCTGAAATAAACTATGCACTCAGACAAAGGTGGCCCACAGTCCACGGAGCCAGGCTGAGGCAGCGAGAGAGACCCAGAAGAACCCCTTCTTAGCTCAGGCTGCCCTAACAAGATAACACAGACTGCGTGGCTTAAAAAACAGGCATTTATTTTCTCATGGTTCTGGAGGCTGGAAGTCTAAGATCAAGGTGCTGGCAGGGTTGGTTTTTGGTGAGGCCTCCCTTCCTGGCTTGCAGACAGCTGCCTTCTGAGTACGTCCTCACCTGGTTTTTCCTGTGTTCAGAGAGAGAGGGAGAGAAAGAGAGAGATCTCTGTTGTCTCTTTTTCTCCTTAAAAGAACATCAGTCCCATAGGATGAGGGCTCCATCCTTATGACCATATTTAACTTTAATCCACCACATTACAGGCCCTATCTCTAAATACAGTCACATTGGGGGTTAGGGTTTCAACAAACAAATTTTGGTAGGGATTCAGTTTGGTTCATAACAACCTCCCTGCCCTTGGAAGGCAGCCAGTTAGAAAGACGCTGCCTCTCATTCTGCCTCCCCACCCCAACACAGGAGAAGAGGGAGAGGGAATCTTCAGATGGTCCTCACCTCTCTATCCAGGACTCCAGGGAGAGGAAAAGGAAGGACAGCCACAGCCTCTGGCTCCTTCAGGTCCTGGGCTGAAAGCTGTCCAGGGCTGGGGAGGGAAGGAGCTTTAAAATGGACCCAGATTGAAGCTTAAGATGAACTGAGGTTTTAATAATCATAATTGACCAGAAAGTTATAAAATCTGTCTAAGGTGCCATTAAGAGATCTGCTATGCACCAAGGGAGACTGGATTTAGCACCGTGTGGAGGTCAGATTGCTAATAAGCCCGTTCTATCACTGTGAGAGACTAAGTCCTTCACTATCAGAAAAACTTTCCATCACCAGTGGACTCTGCTGGACCGTCCACCCCTTAGGTGGTGTTGCTGACATGGGCTCAGAGGGCTGGGCTCCTGGGGCACAGAGCCCGGAGGGGCTTGCCAGAGAAGAGACTCTGAGCTGGGGACATTGGAAGGAATTAACAGTCAGAGGGTACCAGCCCAGTCCATGTTGAGGGAGACGAAGGGGAAAGGTGCTTCTAGCACAAAGGCCTGGAGGCAGGATGGGCTTTGGTGTGTTCCAGAAACTGTGGTTTCACCTAGGGCAATGATTTCCTGGCTTTGGAGTTCACAGACCGTAAGAAACAATCAAAGTTGGAAATCAATACAGGGTTACAAGCTTTGTGTTTTGCCAAGAAAGGACACAAAGAAAAAAAAAAACCCTTGCTATCTATTATTACCACCCTTCCCAAAAAGAACGAATACTTTAACACCTCCCTCCACCCCAAATCAAAGAAGAGAGAAACAACATAATCTCAGAATGACATATATAGTCCTTTAAATTGAATAAATGTAGCTTTGTGAAAAAGTCACTGCATTGACTTTTTTTGGGGAACTAATTTTGCTGAGGCTGATGTAAACCTCACTAATCTGAGCTGAAGCTTGGCTGATAACACGTGTGAGTGTGCATGTGTCTGTGTGTGTGTTTTGAGTGTATGAATGAGTGTGTCCGTAGGTTTGTGTGAGTGGTGGGGGTGGAAGAGAGGGACATTACCCATAGGACCTTCACCTGCTGGAAGCCCTTCCCCAGTTCCTAGCGATGTTCCTCCCTCTGTCCCTTCTCTGCCATCACCCTCGTATGCTTTCCCTCCCTTCTTCTCCCACTCCCATTGCCATCAGGGAGCTGACACCCCAGGCCCATCCCCTAGTCAGAGGAGAAGCCAGTCAGCAACCCCGCCAGACTTCTCACTTCCTGCCAAGAAGAATTGTCCCTCCGTAAAGGAGCTTTGCATCCTTGTGACACACAGTCACTCCAGGGGAGCAAAATTGGGCCAAGTCCTTATGCAGCAAAGGACTCAGCTCCCTCAGGGCCTGGCACTGCTTAAGCCTCTCACATGGTTTATGACCTTGAGTCAGCGAGGCTGTCCTTCAGCCCTGTCAGCTGGGACAAAGCCACAGGTGCCCCCGAGACTTCTTGGAGTGGCCCTTTAGCGCTCCATCCTTGTCCCGTGGGGAACAGTTGCCTGACCTTGATCCTAACTCCTGGATTGGGCTTGAGGTTCTCCTCTGCTCGTCCCAAACCAACTCTTGACCCCTCCATATCACCCCTTCCCTAGGGGAATACCTTGCCCCAATCAGGCTGATTGGTACTTAATCCCTCTAAAAGTTTACATCATCTCTTGCCTTTATGTCTTTGTTCTTTATAATTCTCTTCTTCTGAGGAGACTTCCCTTCAAAACCAAAGCCCAACTTCAAAGTTCAGCTAAAAGGCCACCTCCTCCAGGAGGCTTCCTGTACTACTTCAATGAACACTAACTTTGCCCACTAAGATGAAGGGAAGGTAGGAACTGTGTTACAACCTCTGAAAAAAACCTCCTCCATCTTTCAAAACATGTGCTTCCTGCCCTGGGCCTCTGACTTGCCTCTCAGCTCAGTTTCCTTGTTTGAGATTTAAAAATTCAGGCGAATCTTCTCTCCTGGCCCCCAGTGCTGATTCTTCCCAATCATTTTTTGAAGCCATACTCTTGTTTTTACTGTTTTTAAGTTTGCCTTTTCATGAAGCCATTTTTTAACGCTTATTATTTCTCATTGATTTTACTTTCTCGTTTAGCATTTGCTATAAAAGAGGAAACAGGAAGTGGCTGTGTGAGACCTGGCCTTGCCAGGTCGGGGAGACGGGAGCTGGGCTGGAGTGGGGGGATCCAGATTCCATCACATTTGCACCCTTCAGCCACCCACAACTTGGGAATCCATCCCACCTCTCTATGCCTCAGTTTTTCTCATGCGTAGAGATTTAAAAACCCTGAGTACACTGAGTTGTTGTGGGTATTAAATTAGAGAATGCTTGTATGGTATGCAGCACAGTGCATGGCCCATGCTAGGTGCTCACAAAACGAAATTTCTCCTTCTCATTTCTATTTCCCAAGCAGAGTCCTGAGCTGATCTTTCCTGAAGCTTCTGTGTGAGCCGGGGCAGCCACGAACCTGTGAGGTGCCTTCCTGAGAATCAGAGAAGGACGCTCCCTCTGGGTGGAGCAGGACACCACATGGGGGCAAATGGAGCTTTGCAGAGGGAGGGAGTCCCAGGCCCGTTCCCCACCCTGGTTGGGCAGCGGCCTCATAGGTGAGGGAGGAAGGCAGCCAACCTCGTGTTAAACATCCCCAGTTCTTGTGGTGGCAATGATTGGTAGGTGAGCCACAAGGCTGGCTTCAAAGGAGAACTTTGGCAAAGGGGCTTATGTTCAGAATCCTCCAGAGGGAGAGAGGCACTGTTCTCTTTTCATGCATATTCCACCATCCTCACTGTGAATGCAGGCTCCTTGAGAAGAGGGACTTCCGCTTTGTTCTCTTTATATTTTCTCTGCTGGGCGTGGTGGCTCACACCTGTAATCGTGGCACTTTGGGAGGCCGAGGTGGGAGGATCACTTGAGGGCAGAAGTTTGAGTCCAGCCTGAGCAACACAGTGAGACCCCGTCTCTACCAAAAGTAAAAAAAATTAGCCTGCCACGGTGGCACAGATACTTGGGAGGCTGAGGAGGGAGGATCTCTTGAGCCCAGGAGGTCAAGGTTGCAGTGAGCTGTGTTCATACCACTGCATTCTAGCCTGGGCAACAGAGTGAGACTGCATTCATTATGCCTGTGGCTGGGCATTTTCCTCTGCTTGAATAGTCCTCACCTAGCTCCTTGCCATTTGGCTGATTCTGTCTCATCTTTTGGGACTTATTTCATATGTCATTTCCTCCAGGCAGCCCTCCTTGCTCCACAGGCTGGATTAGGGGCAGGGAATCTCCTCAGAAGATTCTGATTCAGTGGGTCTGCAATGAAGCCCAAGATTTGCCTTTGCTCCCAGATGATGCTGATGCTGCTGGTCCGTGGACCACAATTCAAATAGCAAAGCAGTCTGGGCCATGGGGTCTGGTTCAGTGGAAAACATTGAGTATAGGACCTCTTAACCTTTTGAGGGTCAAGAACTCCTTTGAGAAGCAGATGAATGTTTTTGGACACTTCCCCACAAAATGCACACATACTAATACTTTTCTATATTGTTCCAGAGATTTTATTGCCTCCCGAAGCTCATCTATGCACACCCAGGTTGGAAATCCATCCCCCTGGGCCACCACGTAATGCAATGAACAAATACACGGGCCCGTGTGTTCAGAAACCAGCTTTGTCACTTAGCTGGCTGCTCTCTCTGGGGTTTCGTTTCCTCATTCGAAAAGTTGTTTAAACTTTTAGAAAAGGATGATACTTACAGTAACTTTCTCATAGGGTTATTGGGAGGATTAAAGATGATAATGCAAGAAAAGTGCTTAGCACAGGGTCTGATAAGCTCTTGATAAATATTAGTTATTCTGTTTCTTATTATTATCATGAATAATTGATGTGCATGGAGAGGAGCTGCAGCTAGAGGGACTGAGCACTACGGGGCAGGAGCACTAGCTGTGTGCTCACCTTGCACCTGGCCCTGCCATGATGTTTTCACATGCTCGGTGTCTTCCACCCCTCAGAATGAGCTGGGCATACAGCCAGCTTGCCCTGTTGTTCAATGAGGACATGGAGCTTCAACAGATTAGGTCCTACGCCCAGAGTCGCTCCGCTTCTAAGCAGCAGAGAGAGTTTTGCAGCCAGACTGCTGTGTTCCGACTCTGGGTTTTTCCCTCTATTTCCCTAGATGAAAATAAACAAATAATTGGATGCATGGGGAGGTCTTTTTTCCCCTTTAAAAATATTTAAATGATTTTCCCACCTTTCAATAAAATGATATTAACTTTAATTTCATCATTTTCGGCAATGCTACAAAGCTGCCTGTGAACTTTTCTCAGCACATTAGTTGCTTCGGCGGTTAATTCTTAGCCCTTAATTTTGGTGAGGCTTTCTGTAAAGTGACGGCTCCAAAGAGCCATTTACCTGTTTATTCATACTTTCCACCAAAGACCTATTTTTCTTTGCAACCAACCCAACATTAAGTATGCAGCCAGTTTTATTTATCTATTTTTACAAAGAAACCCTGACCTGTAAAGACCTCTTTCTTTTCATCCCGGCTTCAAAACAATTCATTCATGCATTTTAGAAGTTATGCAAATGAGCTTCCCTTGATCTTAGAGGATTTCTCTGGAATTGATTTTGGGATTCTATATTAATTACCACTACCCAGGCACAGGGGCTGCCACATAATGCATATATTTAGCAAGAATGACAAGGCTGATAATTATGCACGAGGTGCCTCAGAAAAAGGATTGTGTACTTTGATGTTTAATTTCAGCAAACTTCTTTAGTTTGTTAAAGTTAATCAAAAGCAATCAAAATACACTGGTGTAAATTACAGCAAATTAATTGCAAACCAGTGGAAAACATCTTGTCTTTCAAATTGGAATGTTGAACTGGAACTTCTGATTGAATCACTCAGATCTAGGAAGCGGTAAGTTTTTGAATGTGGAAGGGTAGTTTAGAGCTTGAGTTAGGATCAGGGTGGGAAATGCGCATGATTCCATAAGGAATTATGCTTGTAGGGAAGACTGAAGGCCTAAGAATAACCTTCATGTTTGGCTTTAAGGGAAACTCACTCTGTGGACTTGGGAAGGTCACTTAAACTTAGATTCTTGGGGCTTCAGTGTCCTGATCTGTTCAGCAACATAGCTCTTGCCTTGCTACTTTGATTAGTAAAGAGACAGCTTACCTTTATCATCTTTATTGAATGTACTCTCAGCCAGGTTCTGTGTGCACTCCTGTTGTCTACCTTACACCTGATGAGGGCGCTAGGAGGTTGGTGCTCCCGTTTCACAGATGCAGACTCAGCTCCAAGACACGTTGAGCCCAGGCACTCTCACTCCAGAAGACTACTCTAGGGATATTGTGTTTAATTTCAGAAGACTTTGATTTGACAACCTAATCAGAGGCAATCAAAATATGCTTATGAAACATATAGAAAATTAATTTCAAGCCAATGCAAAGGATTACATTTCCCAACCACAGAGAATCAAGTGAGAAGATGGATGTGAAAATATTATGTGAAATGTTGACTGCTATGCAAATGAACGGTAGTAAAACTAAGGCAGCAAATCTAGGAGACGATGCGGAGGCCAGTTTTGCAGAAAGACAATTCCTCCAGCTCATGACTCATCACTGGAGGCTAAGTTTTATTTCATGAGATTTGTACTTCAGTAGGGCCCACTGAGTCATTCAAACATTGATTCATTGAATGCATTTTTTTATCTACCAAGATCAAGGTATGAGAAAAGCAACACAGGGTTTAACAAGATGTCATCTTGACCTCTGGGAGCCCATGATGTAGTGACAAAGACATATAAATTGTTCATGATAATCCAAGGAGCCACTGAATAAGAACAAAAAGTAGCATTTTCTTGACACTGTTTTAAGGATGGGAAGTATGTTACCAGTGCATCCCCAGGACTTGACACAGAGCCCGGCTACAGAAAGTACTTCATACATTTGGTTGAATGAATGCATTTTAAAGGAGTCTTGGATATCAGGGTGAGCATCTAAGTGAAAAGTTTCCCTCCATTCACAACGCTTCTGACACCAAATATGTGGGGTGTATCCTACTAATAACTAATTCTCCAACTCTCTAGACACTACCTGGGTGTCCAATGAGTCAACTCAATTCTGACATTTACTACCCAGACTTAGTGCAGTCCTCACAGGGTAAGGGATCAATCTGAGATGGAGCAGGGACTCCTTTTGGGGGCCGGCCAGGCCTCTCAAACATAGAAATAAAGGAACCTCTTGAGTTTCTTCAAGAAAAATTTCAGACACCTTACTATCCTTAAAAAGTAAGTGAGCAACTTGATAAGAAAGAAGATATTAATGGCTTAAAACAATAGCCAAAAAAGCTAGAGCCACAAGATATTTTGTCTCCTATAAAAACAAAAGGTAACATCCTGACATAGGTCCCTGTGTTTAAAAAACCTGGACTCCACCGGGCAGGGCGCAGTGGCTCAAGCCTGCAATCCCAGAATTTTGGGAGGCTGAGGTGGGTAGATCACTTGAGGTCAGGAGTTTGAGACTAGTCTGGCTAACGTAGTGAAATCCCACCTCTGCTAAAAATACAAAACTTAGCTGGGCATGGTGGTGTGCACCTGTAATCCCAGCTACTCCAGAGGGTGAGGCAGGAGAACTGCTTGAACCCGGGAGGTGGAGGTTGCAGTGAGCTGAGATGGTGCCACTGTACTCCAGCCTGGGTGGCAGAATGAGACTCTGTCTCAAAAAACAAAACAAAAAAACCCCTGGAACCCACCAAATAGAAAAAACCATTTGCTGGCATATAAACCTGAGATTGGGGTAAACTGAGGACTGAATGAGCTCTGACTGCCATTCTGAGTTCTAAATGTCTTCCTGAAGGGCCTAGAAAGAGTCATGCCTACAGGCCACCTTAGCATTCCCTTCTATTAGCCCTAAGTTTTTAGACAAAACTTTGCTTCCTTGACCAATCACGGATCAGAGACTTTTTTTTTTTTTAACATTGGTGAAATCCACAGAGTTTATTCAGATTTTACAGGTTTTACGTGCACTTATTGTATGTGTGTGTGTGCCCATCTGTGTGTATGGTTATATGAAATTTTACTAACCTGCACATTGTGCACATGTACCCTAAAACTTAAAGAATAATAATAATAATAATAATAATAATAATAATAATAATAAAGAAACTGGATCACTTACACACTGCTGGTGGAAATGTCAAATGGTAGCATCACCCTGGAAAATAGCTTGCCGGTTTCTTATAAAAGTAAGCATGCACTTACCATTTGCACATTTGTGCATTTATCTCAGAGAAATGAAAACTTAAGTCCACACGAAAACCTGTACGTGAGTGTTCATAGAAGCTTTACTGGAAATATCTAAAACTTAGATTAGAGACTCTTTAAATCCTCCTATAACCTGTAAGGTATAGTAAGCCCCTGCTTCAAGATATCCTGCCTTTTAAGGCCACAGCAATGTCTAACCTCTATGTATTAATTTACAATTTTGCTTGTAACTTCTGCTTTCCTGAAATTTGCCCCTGCCTTTAAAAACACTTGCTTGTAAGCCATCGGGGAGGTTGAGTCTTACATGTGACATGCCTGGCTGGGTACGGTGGCTCACGCCTGTAATCTCAGCAGTTTGGGAGGCTGAGGCACAAGGATTTCTTGAGCCCAGGAACTGGAGTTTGTAGTAAGCTATGATTGCACCACTGCACTCCAGCCTGGGTGACAGAGTGCAATGCTGTCTCAAAAAAAATAAAAAATAAAGAAAAACAAAAAAGTAAGCAGCCCGATTCTCCTTGCTCGGCACCCTGCAAATAAGTGCTCTCCTTTCTCTGGCTACGAAAACTCAGTGTAAATATTTGGCTTTAATATGCTAGGTGAGCAGACCCAGGTTTTATCTGGTAACAAGTCCAACAAGAAGGCCCCCTACTTTAGACACCAATAGTAGATCCAGGTGACCTGCACTTTTGACCAACTGGCTATAAATCAGGGGTTCCCACAACCCCATCCTCAGGTTTCATAATTTGCTCACAAAATCATAATTTGTTCAGAAAACTCAGAAAAACAATTTATTTTTGTTTACCTTATTATAAAGGATAAAACTGAATAACTAGTTGAAGAGATATCCTAATTACCTTTCTGGTGAGGTCCAGAAAGTTCCCAAGTGCAGGAGCTTCTGTCCCCATGGAGTTTGGAGTGTGCCACTCTCCAGCACATGGGTGTGTTCCCCAGCCCAGAAACTGTCCTAATCCCTTAGTGTTTAGGGTTTATAATGGAGGTTCCATTATGCAAGCAGGATTGATTACATTCTTGGCAATTAACTCAATCTCCAGCCCATCTCCCCTTCCGGGAGGTTGAGGGAAGGGGTTGAAAGTTCTAACCCTTTAATCACAGAGTTAGTTCCTCTAGCAACCAGCCTCATCCTGGAGCCATGTATCTCATGGCTTTCAGCCATTCATCATCTCATTAACATAAACCCAGGTCCAGGTGAAAGGGGCTTGTTATGAATAACCAAAAAACCTCCCATTGCCTGTACCACTCAGGAAATTCAAGGGTTTCAGAAGCTCAGTTTCAGGAAGCAGGGACAAAAACAAAATGTTGTATTAAAAGGTGCTTCTATCATCCCTACCCCTCAGGACATTACAAGTGGAACAGGGGATGAAGACAAATTGTGTATGCCATTTTACATCACAATATCACAGCATTGCAGAGTGGATGACAGTTTATTGAGCCTTGTAAAAATTAATCAGGTGTTTATGGGTGGCATCCCAGGATGGAGGAACAGAGTGAGGTGTTTAGGGCTGCATGAATAGTTGGGTGTAGCTGAGATGACCGGTGCAGAGATTGCAGTGTTAGGAGAAGAGGGTGATTCTCAGGCTACAGAAGGTAGACTTTATGCTGTAGGTTTTGGAGGAGAGTGGCCTAAGCCTAGGAGATTGGCTATCACAGTTGACCTGAGAGCCAGAGCCAGAACAGTGTAATGACTAGGAGGCTAACTCTGGAAACTGACTGCCTGGGCCTTGAATCTGTGCTCCACTCTGCCAGCTGGGTGAACTTGGGCAAGTTATTTAACCTCTCTACCTTGATGTCCTTGAGTGTAAAATGGACATGGTAACAGCCTTACTCATGGAGTTGTTGTGAGGTTTTCAGGAACTGTTGTTAGTAGAGCACCGAGAACTATACCAGGCACATGGTATCCCTGAGCTAGTGCTAGCTGAGATGACTGGTGGATGTTCAGTGGCCTCCATGGGAATCCGAGCTTTGTCACTTACCAGCTCTGTCACCTTGAGATGATGAGTGGAGCTCTCCAATCCTCATTTTGCTTCTTGTAAGCAGCGCAGCGGAAGCGCCTCTGCATAGGGTGAGGGCTAGATGACCCTCATCCAACACTAACGCTTGCACAACACTTTGCACAGCATCTACCTGAGAGTCAAATTGTCAGAGACGTTAAAACCAGAGCAATTCCATCTTGAACAGAAGCTGAGTAAAACAAGGCTGAGAGCTGCTGGGCTGCATTCCCAGAAGGTTAGGCATTCTTAGTCACAGGGTGAGATAGGCGGTCACAAGATACAGGTCACAAAGACCCCACTGATAAAAAAAGATTCAGTAAAGAAGCCAGCCAAAACCCACCCAAACCAAGATGGTGACAAAAGTGACCTCTGATTGTCCTCATTGCTCATGATATGCTAATTATAATGAATTAGCATGCTAAAGACACACCCACCAGTGCCATGACAGTTTACAAATGCCATGGCAACATCTGGAAGTTACCCTATATGGTCTAAAACAGGGGTCCCTGCCCCCCAGGCCAAGTACCAGTACCAGTACCAGTCCTTGGCCTGTTAAGAATGGGCTGCACAGCAGGAGGTGAGTGGCAGGTGAGCAAGCATTACTGCCTGAGCTCCGCCTCCTCTCAGATCAGCAGCAGCATTAAATTCTCATAGGAATGCAAACCCTATTGTGAATGGCGCATTTGAGGGATCTAGGTTGCTCACTCTTTATGAGAATCTAATGCCTGATGATCTAAGGTGGAATAGTTTCATCTGAAATGATCCACCCTCCCCCCGCCACCACCAACCCATGAAACCGGTCCCTGGTGCCATAAAGGTTGGGGACCTCTAGTCTAAAAGGAAAACAGAAACCCTCTGTACCGGGAATTCCTTGCCCTTTCCGACTCACAAATAATCCACCCCTTGTTTAGCATGTAATCAAGAAATAGCCATAAAAATAGCCAAACAGCAGCCCTAGGGCTGTTCTGCCTATGGAGTAGCTGTTCTTTTATTCCTTTACTTTCCACATAAATTTGCTTTCACTTTACTCTTTGGACTTGCCCAGAATTCTTTCTAGCATGAGATCCAAGAACCCTCTCTTGGGGGACTGGATCAGGACCCCTTTCCAGTAAAAAACCAAACTTTGCCTTGAGTGTAGGAAGATGGCTCCATGGTGAGAGGAAGCCTGATGAGACACAGAAGTGGGGGCCTTGCATGGAGGCTGTTTGGATTGTCAGTGTGACAGGCAGTGAGCTAAGGTTTTGGGAAGCCAAACAGAAAGGTGTCTGGGGCTGTGAGAGAAAAGGGAAGGGCGAGCTGAGAAACTTGACTGTTGGCTTGAAGGTTTACAGGGAAGGGTCAGGGCTTGTGGGAAGCAAAGATAAGGACAAGGCTTCTCACCCAGTGCTGGGAGAATGACTATATATTGACTGAGATGAAGGACTCAGGAGAAGCAGGGTTAGGATGAAGAACTGATAACATTGACAGATTTACTGTGCAGCAGATGTGTGGTTGAGAGGGTTCGGAGAGCATTTCATTAGTTAATTGTGTTTGATCAGGTATTCTCCATATATTCTGCATTTTTAGGGAGATGAACTTACTCACATTACTTCTTATATTATGGTAAAGTATACTCAACATACATTTACACTAGTTTTAACCATTTCTGATTGTACGGTTCAGTGGCATTAGTGCATTCACATGGTTGTGCAACCATCACCACCATCCATCTCTAGAACTCTTTTGTCTCCCACATTGAAACTCTGTGCCCAATCAATGATCACTCCCCATTTTTTCCTCCCCACAGCCCCTTACAACCTTTATTCCACTTTCTGTCTATAAATTTGACTACTCTATGTGCCTCATATAAGTGGAATCAGACAATATTTGTCCTTTTGTGACTGGCTTATTTCATATAGCTTAACGTTTTCAAGAATCACCCATGTTGTCAAATTTGTCCAAATATTCTTCCTTTTAAAGCTGAATAGTGTCTATTGTGTGTGTAAACCGTATTTTGTCCTTCCATTCCTCTGACAGACACTTGGCTTTCTTCCACATTTTGCCTATTATAAATAAAGCTGCTGTGAACATTTGTGTGCAAATATCTGTTCAAGTCCCTATTTTCATTTCT
The DNA here is from genome assembly GCF_000001405.40 of Homo sapiens. NCBI lineage: Eukaryota > Metazoa > Chordata > Mammalia > Primates > Hominidae > Homo > Homo sapiens. Next base: position 21,568,695 of record NC_000008.11, on the reverse strand, counting down.
TCTGTGTATACACCCAGAAGTGGAATTCCTGGATTATATGGTAAGTCAATGTTTAATTTTTTGAGGAACAGCCATACTCTTTTCCACAGCAGCTGCACCATGTTACATTCTCACCAGCAATGCACAAGGGTTCTGAGTTCTCCATGTCCTTACCCATGCTTGTTATTTTCTCTTGCTTTCTTTGTTGTTGTTGATAATAGCCATCTTAGTGGGTGTTAAGTGATATCTCATTATAGTTTTGATTTATGCTTCTGTAATGATTAGTGACATTATACATCTTTTCATGGGCTTACTGGCTATTTCTACATCTTTGGATAAATGTCGATTCAAGTCATTTGTCCATTTTTGAATTGGGTTGTTTGGATTTTTTGTTGTTGTAGAGTTTAGGAGTTCTTTATGTATTCTGGATATTAATCCCTTATGCTATGTGTAAAATATTTTCTCTCATTCTCCCATTGTGTGTGTTGCCTTTTCACTCTCTTGATACTGTCTTTTGATGCACAAAAGTCTTTAATTTTGATGATGTCCTCCACATTACCCATTTTTTTTTTTTATCTTTTGTTGCCTCTGCTTTTGGTGTCATATCTAATCACATCACTTCCTGTATCACATAAGAAAAAGCCAAATTGTGATGCCAAGCTTCTTGGATAATGGTGTGACTAATGTCTTAGCAAAATCTGTTTTATAACTTTCTTGGGTTATTGTAAATACTAGACATAGGGATATACAATGCCATTCTTGCAATTCTCATATCTTCCTCTCTAAATTTTCTTTTTTTGTGTCATTGTTCCCATCAATCTTCTAGTCCCCAGGACAGAGAATAGGCATTCTTGTCTTCCTATCCCTCTCCCTCCTAATCAGCTATAGAAGCTGGGGAACTTTCCTTTATCCTCCTGGGCAGCTAGGCTATAGATCCCAGCCTTCTAGCAGTTAGATGAACGAGTTCTGGCCAACAAAATGTAGGTAAAAGAGGTGTTTTTATCTTCTGGCCTGCAGCAGAAGCTCTTTTGCAACCTTCCATTCTGTCTGTCTGCCCTCATTTGCTGGTCATATGCAGAGGATCTCACTGAGGACTATGTGGATTGTGTTGGAGCCACAAGGCAGAAGGAGTCTGGGCCCTGAATGACTGCATGGATCAAGCCTCTCTATTCACTCACATGGTCCTGTGATATGAGTGAGAAATAAACCTTTACTGTGTTAAGCCAGTTAGATTTGTGGTTGTTTGTTACAGCAATTAGTCTGTGCAGATGAATCCACCAACAATTTAGAAGTCCTCTCAGAGATAGCCAAACAATATGTCTCCTTGCCTCCTCCTTCCCATGCATATTTATAGTATTTTAGTCTCCTTGCAGCTCCCCACATCCCTAAACCACTATAATGGTTTACCTACTGGGTTTCCTAGTCCAAATCTTTCCTCCTCTAGTTTATCATTCATGCATAACAGAATGAATATATGGAAAATAAATATTTCTAAGAGGATAACAGGTTTATATGCTTTGGTTTCAAAACTTTTGTTATTAGAGATTTTCCTGATAGAATGGCTTCTTCACTCTTTTAGTGCTCCCCTACAGAAATACTCGCCATCCGTTATGCATGCCTACTTTTTTACCTTGGCTCCATCTCTCCTTCTCCCCCTATCTTCTTCAAGCTCAAGTTCCCTTGTTCCCCTTCCTCCGGGAGCCCTCTGTCAACTCCTGTCTTACTTGTTTATCTTATATCCTTGGCACCAGACATACATTGCTCTTCATATATGTGGTTCCATGCTAAGTGTCTTCAGCTGAACCAGAGATTTCTGACATTGGGTTCATCAGTGCAATACGTGAGGCCCTTGAAATTGCTGCCAAATTCTTTGTGCGTGTATGTATTTTTTTTTAAAGGGGTGGACTTAGACTTCGCAAGTTCCTTCCAATGTGGAACGTGCATAAGACTGGTATACCCATTGTCTTTAAAAAAACATTCATGAAAGCAGCAATGGATGTAATACCTCAGAAGCAAGAAAAGATAGAGGTGGAGGCAAAGTCTGCCCACATAGGATGCCCTTTGTACTCTTCCTGCTTTAATAGGAACCAGTGCCCAGCTTCCAGGGAGGGGGAGTCAAAAACTTCTGCAATGAAGTGACTCATCCCTGGCACAGAATTGCATCTGGCTGCATTCCCTTCACTTCATATGGGGCAGGTGGTTTGTAGAGTTGACTGAAATGGGCCAGGGCCCTGCCAGGTTACTTCACTCCTTTGCCTACCCGCAAACAAGGCTAGCTTTTGCCATATGCTGGGGTGGGCAGATAGTTCCCCTGTTCTTGTCTTTCCATCAAGATAATGCCACACGAGCCAGCAGCCCTCCTCTTCATCGTCTCATGTCCATACTCATAAAATACTTTAGAGCCTCTTAGATTCTGTGGTCCAGGCCCAGTGGCCTCTGATGCTTGCTATTCCCCAGGGAGGCCTGCTGGAGCCCTGTGGGATCCCCTTCCTTCTGTGACTCTTTCTGTTTGCTCAGCACCCAACCCTGGCAGAAAGCAGCATGCCTTGCTCGCTGCTTTCTCTACAGCTCTATGAATGTTTAATAAATTCTTAATTAAAAGCTGGGCACCTCATCTATTCCTGTCAATTGCTTCTCCGTTGTGAAGAAGAGAGGCCTACAGGAGGGAAAAGTCAAGCCCGCACTCCACCCTCTGTTCACACCCACAACGACCCACGTGCACGTGCACACACACACACACACAGCCATGGGACTCGGTGCTGTATTTACATAATTCTATTGACATTTTGAGGCTAAAATTAGGTATGCTACTTTAATTCTCTGTTAAATTAAATTATGAATGTTTGGAACGTAGTAATTTCTTTTGTTCTATGAACAGATTGTTTTATATATCTGCCTATATTACCAAGTTATTAATTTAATGATTTCATAATAGCAGCTCATTCCTCTGGGTAATATAAAGACTGAAGTGCATGCTCTGTACAGCACAGGCAGACACTGCTTGCCCTATGTGAATTGAAGGTTTTAGGAATAAAGTTATTAGTTTTGGCAGAATGTTTAAGTGTGCACAGGGAAAGTGGAGGGATGTGTCAGGTCAGCTCGAGCTTCCCAATCTCATTGAAAAAAGTCAGGGCATAGTCCATTGCCTGTGAGACTGGATGAAAAATAATTTTCTTAAATAAAGTCAAGCACCTAGCTGAACACTGGCTAGTTTGACAGCTGCTGCCTGCCCCTCTACCGTGGCAGCTCTGGACACAGTGTAGGGTCAGCCCCAGCTACAAACAGGAGATTCTTTGTCTTTCATCCTGTGGACCTGCTGGATAATCTCCAGCATGATGGAGATGTGCTGCCAGGCAACAAGGCCGTGACTGCATCGTCTTGCTCCTTGCTGGCTTCCCACCCTATTGTGGGGAGATGGAAAAGAGCCAGATTCTGTGTGGTGAGTGGGGATGAGCATGAAGTCTGGATTCAGAGGGACCTTCCTCTTTCCCTGGGAGTTGTGACTTTTGTGACTTGGGCTTTTTTAAGCCTCAATTCCCCGATCAGTACAATGGGGGCATTGATAACACCTTTCCAATCAATGTTGTAGGATTGTTGTGTGGCTCAAACGAGGAAATGGGTGGGAACGTGCTTTGCAATCACTAACAGACAGGTTTCTTTGGAGGCTGGGTTGTGTAGGGTATGGGCAGGTACCACTAATCACTACAGATGACATCAGAGCAATGTTCATGACCACTTTCCTCACAGCTCCAGGTGACTCACTTCTCCATTTGTTACTCCATTTCTTACTCCATTTGTTCAGCTGACACCTGAGATTTGAGTTTGAGGACTTCTAAAGTTCTCCCACCTTTGGTAGTTTGGGATTCTATCTATTTTTCAGGAGAAATCACCAAAATGCTTCATTTTAGTTGAGAAGACAATGCTGAATGTGGAGCCTTATAAGGAATCACAGCGTATTCAGTTGTTCAGTAAATACCAAGCACTGCTAACTCAACAAGTACTGATTTAGAACAGCAGATGCAACAGTCTCCAAGACAGGAGTGGTTTCTGCCTTCTCCAAGCCTATGATCTAATGAGAATCAGATGACTAAACAGGCAATCATGATATCCTGTGATGATAAAAGGCATGTACCCACCCTAGACTGGGGCCAGGAAAGAGGAAGGTAAGCCCAGGCTGATACCTTGATATTGACTACGGATCAGCCATGCAAAGAGGAGGTGAAAGAATGGGAAGGGCCAAGGTGTTTCAGGAATTAAGAGCATGTGGAAAGTGTGGGGAGATGGGGGTAGGAGAGAGCAACACAGCATGGATTGGACATTCCATCTAGGTTTGGGGAGGGAGTGGTGAGATATGAGGCTGGAGCCATCAGCAGGGGGCCATATATGGCAGACTTGGGGAGTTTTGCTAAGCAAAAGGCACTTGGGGAGCCACTGAAGAAGATAAGGGATTATTTGTGTTTTAGAAAGGATGCTATGGCTGCCATGGGAAGAACCATCTGGAAGGGTCAAGTTGAAGGCAGAGAGACCAATTAGGAGACTGCTGCAGTCAACAAGATGGGAGACAGCAGGGTCTGTGTTAGGTAGAGACAGTAATGTAGACAGAAGACATAGGAGGTGCTCAGAAGGTGGAACTGATGAGGTCTCCATTAGGCTCTTGGTTAGATGGGGGCAAAACAGAGAGGGAGGTGCTGAAGGTTGGACCAGCAGAGGTCTCTGAGGTTGCTCTTTACCCTTTGAGTTCTTCCCTCTTTGGCTTTTCTATTGTTTAAGAGGAAACTCTCACACAAACCCCTTCTTCCATGGCTGACACACACTTGTGTAATCACCCGATGGGTTTTTCCTGCCTCCTGCACAGACAACACCAATCCACTGGAATTGTGCTATTGTGGTAGAGAAAGAGTATTACTAACGTGAGGCTGGCCATAGAGGAGATGGACACTCAAATCAGTCTCCTCAAAAGTTAGAGTTTTTCAAGTATAGTTTGGTGAAAGGGAGGCTAGGGAGTGGAGAATGTTGATGGGTTGGAGACGAAATCATAAGGGTATAGAAAGTGGGTCTTGTGCACAGACTCAGCCTCTGGGTGGGATCACACAGCTGGACCCATTGAGTCATGAGTCACAGATCTGAGTGGAGTCAGCAGGTTGTCAGAAATGCAAAAGTCTGAACAAATATCTCAAAAGGCTAGTCTTAGGTTCTACAATAGTGATGTTATCTACAGGAATAATTGGGGAAGTATGGTCCTTTGGAACAATGGCTGATTATTGATTAACTATGCCTACATCTTAGTAGAATTCAGACCCCTCTCATAATCCTAACTTGTGGCCTTTCATTCGTTTTACAAAGGTGGTTTAGTTTTGGAAAGGATTATTACTATCCTTGCTTTAAGGTTAAAGTATAAACTAAATTCCTCCCCAAGTTATCTTGGCCTATGCCCAGGAATGACCAAGGACAGCTTGGAGGTTAGAAGCAAGATGGAGTCAACTATGTCAGACACCTGCACACACATGTGTCTCAGCTGCTCAGTGAGGCCAGCAGGGTAGCTAAAAAATATTTCTCTGCAGAGATGACAGATTGCTAAGTTAAAACCAGTGTCATTGATTATAGTTTCTCCATTTGTTTTTTTGTCTCTGCATGTCAACTCTATGAAACATTCCAACATCCTCAATTGAAAAAAAAAAAGAATTCCTTTCTTTTGCTTTCACACAATATAGTATGTCTTAATCATCTCTGGATTCCTGGTGCCTAGCACTGTGTCAGGCACAGCTATAGCCAGGACTGTCGAGTGATGGATGAGCAAATAGACCCCAAGGGCACTGGGTCTCATTCCTCATGAAGGGAATTCTGGGGTGTGCTCACCAACCTCCCCCAGAAGAAACCTGGATCTGTCTAGGTATGAGGCAGGAAAGCACTAGAAGTTGATGGAAAACCTCCTTCCCAATTAGGGAATTGCCAAAGCCAGATACCTGTGGGACCAAAGACAAGAGGTCCAAAGTAGTTGCTTTGCAAATGTACGTTAATGTTGGCCAACCCATTAGCAGAAGGTGGGCAAGAAGGGGACGGAGGGGAAAGTAGAAGTAGGGTTGGTTAGGGCTCAACCTACCTACAGAAGATAGCAGCTATGAAAGAAGGAATGCCTGCTTAGGCACAGGATAGAGAACTGGTGAGACATACAAAGGGACAAAAAAGGTGACAAAGATGATGTGGAAAACTGAGCATGAGCCAGGAGCCAGAATTTGGACAGAAGATCAACTGTGGAAGGTGACTTTCACCAAACACGTGGGGGAAGAATCAGTGTAGGATATGTCAAATAGGATCCAGGGGGTTGGGGGTGTGTGGAAAATGACTATTTCGAGACATCAGGGGAGACGGACAGCAGGGCAGAGTTTAGACTGCAGTATTCATATGGAGAGAGGAGATCATGTTTGCTTTGTTAATGGCTGTGCACCAATGACTGAGGCTGACACTTCATAGATAGACAATAAAAAATGAATGAATCCTGGGTGTTGTCCTTCAAGAATCATGTAGAGGAGGCTGGGTGTGGTGGCTCACGCCTGTAATCTCAGCACTTTGGGCAAGCTGAGGCGGGTGGATCACAAGGTCAGGAGATTGAGACCATCCTGGCTAACATGGTGAAACCCCGTGCTCTACTGAAAAAAAAAAAAAAAAATTAGCTGGTCATGGTGGCGGGCACCTGTAGTCCCAGCTACTCGGGAGGCTGAGGCAGGAGAATGGCATGAACCTGGGAGGCGGAGCTTGCAGTGAGCCAAGATCACGCCACTGCGCTCCAGCCTGGGCAACAGAGTGAGACTCTGTCTAAAAAAAGAAAAAATCATGTAGAGGAAGGTTAAGGAAAGAGGGATGCCAGGGGGTAGGAGAAATGTGCTGTCTTCAGGACCTGTATCTTAGAACTGGCAGAGTGGAGGCAGATCAGTGGGACTGGATTATGTTCAACACATTCCCAAGTGGTACCCCAAGAATTCTTCCTCAGTAGTAAATTATTGCTAATACACTACTATGGTCTGACTGCTTGTTGTTCCCAAAAATTCATATGTCAAAACCTAATCCCCAGTGCAATAGTATCAAGAAGTGGAGTCTTTGGGATGTGATTAGGTCATGAGGGCTTTGTCGTCATGAATGGGATTAGTGTCCTTGTAAAAGAGGCCCCAGGGAGCTATTTGCCTCTTCAGCCATGTGAGGACACATAGATGGCATCATCTATAGAGGCCTTCCTCTATCGGCAGTTTAATCTTGGATTTCCCAGCCTCCAGAACTATGAGCAATACATTTCTGTTGTTTATAAATTATGCAGTGGAAAGTATTTTGTCATAGCAGCCCAGATGGACTAAGATATACACTAAACATCATGGACTGAGTGGATGATGGCTCAGAGGCCCCTAAGGCAAGGGCACTGGCAGGAGCCAGAGTCAAGGCAGTAAGCCCAGGGTCTCCTAAAGAATGCTTCAGGAGATAGAAGTGGTGTGATCTTCAGGGAAGGGCAGAGAGCCTTATTTTGATTGCTAACTATCGATGTCTTTTTTTGGCACCTCATGGAAAGACCACGTTTGCAGGTGAGGGTGGTGGTGGTGGTGGTGGGGTTATGGCTGAAATCCAGGAGAGGAAGTGCTTGGCTTCCCACTGTATGTCTCCAAACGACAAAAAAAACTGGAGACTTGTGAGAGTCCATTTGGAGCAATTCAAAGTCTGGAGCCCTGGGCTATTTAATGTTTCCAGCAATGGACTAGATGATGAAACAGAGAGCACACTCATTAATTTCATAGATGACACCCAGCTGAGGCTGGAGGGGCACCTTGGAGGATCAGATTAGAATTCAAATTGACTCGAGTAGGTTTTAGAGATTGGTCAGAAACCAACCAAATGAGATTTGGGAAGGACAAGGGCAGAGTAAGGGAAAAGCAGCCACCCAAATGACGGGGAGGAATGACTTACTTACCAAATGACATCATTACCAAATGATGGGGAGGAATGACTTACTGAGTCCCAGTCCTGCTGGAAACCTGAAGACTGTCTTGACCTCCTTGCCTGATTCATCACTGCTGACATTTGCACACAGCTTACAATGAACTTTCACAGCTCCCTCCTTTGAGCTTAGGGTGACAACCCCTTAAGAGAGGAATTGTTATGAGTAAGATCATGGGGGTTCAAAGATGTTAAAAATCTGCCCAAGGCTACATAGCTGATAGGTGTCACAGCCAGATGCAAACTTAGTTAGCACTTTACAGCGCTCATTGACACTTACCTCAGTGCTTTACTGTGTCCTCTGTTCTCCCACCTCATTTAGAGGTACATTTCCCTTGATGCTTCTCTTGCCCACAGGCCAGCCCCATCTCCTTTCCTATTCTTTTCTGGGTAGCCAATATCCTAGGGTGCGTCCTCCAACCCAGTTCTTACAAGCTGCTTTATCAATCTGGATTTGTTCTATTTGGACTAGACCCACGCAGGTAAGTTGTGCACCTTGGGTCCATCCAGCTATCTGTCAATTCCTCTACTCACTGGGTTTGTTGAGAACCACTGGAGGAGATCATATACTTGGCTGGAAGGAGCCACTGCAGATCCATTGGGCAGGCTCTTGGTGCTGCTTGGCAAGAATCCATTATGTGTCTCTGGTCAGCTTATTCCCCTCAAGGTCCTAACAACATTACTGCCTCATTTATCATCATTATGTCATCATCATCATCATCATCATCATCGTCATCATCTTCATCATCATCGTCCTATTGAGGAACAGATGGGGGTCATCTGGAAAGTGCTGTCCCAGCTTCCTATCCTCATTCTCTCTCAATTCATCCAAATGTACATCAACTCTCACTCCTCTCCTCCTGGCTCAGGGCAAGGAATGATTTTTCTGTTCACTCTTCTCTCCTGTACTTACAGTCTATCCCGTTCTTCCTTCAGGGACTCCACAAGATCTTCCCACTCTATTGTCCCTTCCTCATAGTCCTTGAACATGCTTCAGTTCAGCCCATCTTCAAAAGCTCTTCCTGGAGGACAGTTACTAGGGAGGTGATGGAGTATGGTACCGCTGTACTGGCGATGTTCTGGTTCTTAGGTTAAGTGGAGCTCTTAGGTTAAGTGAAGCATTCATGGATACTTTACATATATTCTATCACATGTATCCATCACTAAGTAATTAAAAAATCAACTTACATAAAAATATCTCTTCTTCAACCATGCTAGCAACATTTTGTTCTTCCTTTTGAAGACAGTTCCTTGAAGATCATCATCTTCAACTTTGTTTTTTGTTCTCTCCTTAATCTACTATTTTAATGACAAAAGCCCCCAGTGACCCCTAATATGTCAATTTGCAGCCCACACCTTACCTTACTTTTCTGAGGCATTAATCGATCTACCACTCCTCTTCTCTTAAAACCCTGTAGACCTGAGCCTTTTCTCTGCTTTGGTTCTCCCTACTTCCTAATGTGTCCTTTTACAGCCCACAACTCACCTGACTTTCCTGAGGCATTAACCAGTCAGCCACTCCTCTTCTCTTAGAACCCTGTAGACCTGAGCCATTTCTCTGCCTTGCTTCTCCCCTGAGCTCCCTGACCAGCATCTCCCAGTGTCTTTGCTGCTTCCTCTTCTTCTGCCCAGAACTTACACATCTGTCATATCTCAGCTTCCTTTCCTAGGGTCCTCTTTCCCTTTCTTCTCATTCTTCCTGCACCAGACCAAGGTTGTCCGTGACTTCACGTCTACCCATTCATACACATCTGTCCTGGCCAGAGCTCTCTCCTGTACCACACACCTTATATTGAACTTCCCACTAGATAGCTTCACCTGAATGCTTCTCCTCCCACGCAACCTGGACTCATTTTATTGCCCTCCTTCAACTTGCCCCTCCTTCTGTGGGCCAGCCCCTAGGAATTATGTTAGACTCCCACACATTACTCTCTTTCCCTATATCTGATTGTGGAGTAACTGTCTTTGTTCATGGTCATAAGCTCTTCATTAATTTCCCTGTTTCTAACCTTGCCTCCTGTTAATCCAGAGCTGATCTTGCCAAGATGCAAAATTGTAGGCCCTCAAGGCCACCATGATGTCCCCACTCTTTGCCTTTGCACATGCCATACCTCTGCCTCAAGACCCTTCCCCATGTTTCCCACCTGGCAGCTGTTCCTGCCAATGCTTTTGCTTCCCATTCTGAGATGCAACACAACGTGGCAACTGAGAGTGCTGGTTCTGGAGTCACCCTGACTAGGTTTAAATCCTGGTCTACTCCTTCTAGCAATATCACTTGGGTCAAACACCCTAAGGCTTCCTGTCCTCACCTGTGAAGTAGAAATGAGGAAAGCACCCACCTCACAGCATGGATGTGAAGATTCACTAAGATAAGGGTCCTCAACCTCAGGGCTATGGATGGGTACTGGTCCATGGTCTGTTAGGAACGGGGCTGCACAGCAAGAGGTGAGCAAGGGCAAGCAAGTGAAGCTTCATCTGTATTTAAACACACTCCCAGCACTTGCATTACTCCCTGAGCTCCGCCTCCTGTCAGATCATCAGCGGCATTAGATTCTCATAGGAGCATGAACCCTATTGTGAACTGCACATGTGAGAGATCTAGACTGCACGTTTCTTATGAGAATCCAACTAATGCCTGATGATCTGAAGTGGAACAGTTTCATTGTAAAACCATCTGGCCCCTAACCCTGGTCCATGGAAAAATGGTCTTCCATCAAACCTGGTGCCAAAAACACTGGGGGCTGCTGCACTAAGGCTCTCTGTAAAGCGTCTGCCACCATGTTTGGTGCATTAGAAGTCCTTCCTGCACAGTGGCCCTCCCCACACTGGACTAAGGTCCAATGTCACGTGCTCCATGAAGGTGTTCCAGACCTTCCAGACAGACTTAATTTTACCACTTTTGCTGCTTAGAGTGTAATTTTGTGTGTTTGTCTGCATCTACAAGAACAATGGACACTATTTGTGATGTAGCTCTTAGAATCTGACACAGTTTTCAATGTTAGGCACCCCCTGCTCCCAGCCATGCCTCAGAGATGAGTGGCTTGGGCCATTCATATTTGCTTGGTTACATAAAGGCTTTTGTGGTGTTGGACGAGCTTCCTCATCCAATTTACTCATCTATAAACAGAGGCCATTGTGGAAGGGAGGCTGCATTCTGAAAGGGTACTCTTATATTGGGCATAAAGTTCATAGGGAAACCAAAATTCCTAAAATAATCAGGATGGAATATCTAGAAATTAGGGCTGGTCAGCAGGGTACACATTGTCCTGTGTGTGGACAGACATTGTTGAGAGTTGTGGCTGTGGAATAGGACAGGGACCTGTATTACACATTGTGTGTGTGTGTGTGTGTGTGTGTGTGTGTGTGTGTGTGGTGTGTTGTATGTGTCTGCAAAAACACATGCCTGTGCCCCATGGTTGTGCAGTGTGCCCTGGGGCAGCTAGCTGACAGTCAGTTGCTTCATTGTTCTCTGGCTGAAACAGTTGTTAGAGCTGTTAGAGGGTTCACAGGAGCATGAACCCTATTGTGAACTACCAGCAGCTGGCCTGGCCAGCCTCCCCACAATGATCTTAGGGGGCAAGAGTCACGCTGCTGCATGAAGGCCATGGGAGATGGAGGCTTAGCTAGATAGAGCAACCGGCCCTCATGGAACCCCCCAGGCACACACTTGCTGCTGGCCACCTGATGAGCTGCGAGGGCATTCTTGCACCTTGCCTGGGTGGGACTGGGAAGCAGCTGCCGCTAGCTCTGGGTGGATGCCGATACAGGCTCTGTGGCTAGCAGCATCTCCCCAGGAGATGGGTAGGACTGCCTGGCTGATGCTCTCTGCCCAAGTTCCCTGGGGTGGGTTGGGAGAAGGGGACAGAGGGCATTGGCTCTTGCCCACAGCCAGGATCCACTCTGCCTGGCTTTGGGGTCTTCTGGCCTGTCAATTTCTAGCCCACCCGATTTTGGGCTCTTTCGCGTCTTCTCTGCATATCCTTTAAGGGTTCAGAGCATGACCTCACCTGGGGCCACAGAAGCAGATGGGGAAGTGGTTCTGTTGCCTGCTTTTTTGCCCTGGCCTTTCCTCTAGGCCTGGCTTTTGGGTGGCCCACTCTAAAGGGCCTCATAAAGCAGCTCCCTGAAGTCCCTAGGGTTCCTGCTGGCTTTTCCTTTATTGGCCTTGTAGGAATTTTGTAACCTGCCTGTGGATGGCTCCTTTGGGACCATGGACCTGCCTGTAGCACTTTCCCACATCCCTATTCCCCAGCTGCATGTTAGAAGCATCAACCCCCACTCCCACTGAAGGCCTGGGCCATGTACTTATCACCTCTTTGGGGCAGAGGCAATTCGGACACTCTGTTTGGTCCTTGCCATAAACTTGCTTGACACTGTCTGCCATTTCTCCAGCATATAACTACCTCCCTTACCCACATTTTTAAAGGCACAGCCTACCTCCTGGTGGATAAATGGCCCTGTAGGCTTGTGTAGTATAGTCAGGACAGGGTCTGTGGAGAGGGTGGGACTGGACATGGGCCCTGAAGTCCAGGCAGGATAAGGCTGAGTGGCAGGAGGGTGTGTGGGGCTTCCAGGTTAAGGAACATGTCTTTGGAACTGGTCCTTCCACTGCATTCTCACAGCTGCCAATTAATAGTGCCTGTCAGGTGAAGATGGCACTCAGAGAGAGGAGTGTGCCCCAAGGTCCCCGCAGAGGCCCACTGCTGCATCTGAAGCTGTGCTATGCTCAGGCCAGCCAACTTGTCATCTTCCATGTGGCCTTGTGGGATGAAGACGTTGAAGTTCTACCTCCTCCTAATGACCTTCAGCAGAGAACCTGAGTTGGCTTCTGAGCAGACACGTCCCCTGCCTCGGCCAGGCTGCTACCTAGGCAATTAACTGCTGCTGTAATTCCGGGTCTCTGCACCCACAGGCCCCCCTTTCCAAACAACCATGTCGAACAAGAGTCCTTAGAGGAGAAGGGAAAGTGGCTATCTGGTCTGGTGGCCCGACAGGTGGCCAGCTGAGAGACGACAGGAGTGTGAATGGAGGGGCTGTGTGGTTTTAATCACTTCAGATACTGTTCTGGGAGCAGATGTGAGATCAGTCCCAGAGAGCACTCTGGGGGTTGCAGCACCCTGAGGATAAGTGAGGGTGACAATCCGGAAGACAGGATATTCTCCCAGATCACTATCCCCCCGGGGCTGGCCCCAAGCCCTGCCAATTACCTATCTTGCTGGCTGGGCTCCTCTGTGTGGGAGGGGGCCTGAACTAACCCTGTGGCCGGGCACCCCACCAGAGAGTAGGAGGCTTGGTGGCCCTGAGAGCGTGCTCCTATGCTGGGGGTTAGGGGTGGTGTGCTGGGAGGCTGGGGGAATGACCTTTGGGGACCTCAGATTCCCGGACTCCTCCAGCCCTCCCATGGGTTATTTTCTCTCGCAGCAGAACAGCAGCAACCTGGGTTAATCAGGAGCTTGGGCTGACCCTGGGAGGATGGTCTCAGAGGAGAGAACTTATTTTGAGCTGGTGAAATGATTAGTGGTGCTAATCACAGGCTCAGCCCAGACCCTTCTGGCCTACTTACAGGCTGTTCCAACTTTCCCTGGCCTGTACGCGCTCTCCCTCCCCATCCCTCCTTCTCCTCTGTAAGCTGGCAGCTGCCCTCACCTGCCTTTCTCTCTTCTTACTCTCTCCTCCTATTTTTATGGGAAAAGAGACCCTGGGGACCCCAAGAGCTCTAGTCTGTACCCCTAGGAACCCCAAAGATTTCAAATGACCACAAGAGATTCCAAAGCTGAATATGATCCTGACCACAAGAAGACCCAGGGTACATTCTATATAAGGTAAGAGAGAAGGCCTGGGGGCACTCCCGAGGTGATGGATCCAAGGGTTTTCCTTTGGACCGTGGTGAGTGGTTGGGGGTAAATGAGGGAGTGAGGGGTGGAATGAGCCGAGGGGGAAGGTCCTACCCAGGTGATCCTGCCCTTGGCCTACAGCCAGAATTTCTTGGGAGTGGCAGCAGTTTTTGAGTGACCCAAGGTAGAGCTGTGCTCTTGGGCATTTAGAAGAGGCAGTGAGGAGTCCAGGGGCCTGGGACCTCTGGGAAGCTGGCCCTGTGGCTGGCTCTTCTGAGCATTCGTCTGGCCTGGTGAATGAAGGCTGATCAGCATATTCATGCACTCACTCAACAAGCAGGTGTTGACGCCTGTTCTGTACCAGGCCCTGTGCTAGGTTTTGGGAAAAGTGAAGGGTAAAAATGCTATGAAGGGAAAAAAGAGAGTGCTGAGTTTGAAATTACTGAGAGGGGGGTCCTATTCTAGATAGCAGAGAACAGGCCCCTCAGAGGAAGTGACATTTAAAGACTTGAAGAATGAGTAGGGATGAGTGGAACTAGGAGTGCGAGAAACAGGATAGGTAGAGGCATGCATGGAGCCCCCGAGGCAGGCAGGAACTGGGCTCTGGGATGCCACAGCATAGAGAGGCACGGTTGGCGGGGTGCCACAGCCCGGGCTGTACAGGCCATGCTAAGGAGTTTGGATTTTGTCCTTAAGACAGGTCATGCCCATTCCAAGCCTGCTGTTTTCTGACTCACTCTATGCCCTGGCCCCACGCTGCTCTGCTTGGCAGGGCCTAACTCTCATAGGCTGTGTCTTCCAGCCCCTGGGTCAGCAGGTTTCCAGCTGGTCTCAGCCTATGGGAGACTGGCAGGAGCTGGGAGCTGGGAGGAAGAAGCCAGGGCATTTCTCCTTCTCTGCCTTGGACAGCATTTCCAGAACTGGCTGCAATTCTAGGTTTCTGGCACCCAGTAAGCAGGTCTGCCAGGTGACCAGGCTCCTGGGTCCCTCAATCCAGAGGCCTCCTTTGTCCCAGCAGCATAGGGATGTAAGTGGTAGTTTGCCATTGCTAATCTCTGGGTTGCCTCATTGCTCCTGTTTGGCTTTTTGGCCTCCTTAAAATCAACTCAGTTTTAAATGCTCACTTACTGAACACTTGTACGTTCTCTAAGAAGGACTTTGCATATATTGATTCATTCAAAGCTCTATGATATGGATTATACCTATTTTATAACTAGAAAAACAGAGTCCAAAGAGGTGAAAGTGCATAGGTAGTGAATAGCAGAGCAGAGCATTGAACCAGGTAGTCCAGCCCCAGAACTTGAGTTTTTAACCTCTGGGCCAGGGCCTGCGTAAAGGGCTGAGTGCAGAACTCAGTGAAGTGTGTGGTTCTGGAGGAAGACTTGAGTATGCATTGTGGCTTCCCCATGATGGGTTCTGTGATCTTGAGTAAGGCCCTTAACCAGTGGGCACTTAATCAGTTTGCTTATCTATTAACTGGGGATAATATTAATACTAGAATTTAGTTCCTAGGGGTTTTGTAGGATCAAATGAGATAATGCACGTGAAATACTTAGCACAGTGCCTGGCACATAGTGAGCACTTGATCAGCATGTGGTTTTATTCTTGTTCTTCCTTTTACATGACTGTTCTGACCCAGGAGTCCAACACACAGGACTGGACAACTAGATCTTGGGTCAGGTAGGGCCATGGCTGCTCTTGTGCTTCCGGGTTCCACTGAGACCTGGGGTGAGTACACTGAGCTCCGTGGTGCTGAATCTGAAGCCTCATCTGTAATGGTGTCCTTGGCTTCTAGGTTGTCCTGTCCTTGCCTATAGTTTTTCTGTGTTCTGAGCAGGTGTTTCTCAGAAGTCTCATATGGAGCCTTCTCCCTCCATGGCCTTCTGCCTTGTGGAGACCTCCTTGTGTCCCCAGGAGGACTCTGCTAGACTAAATCAGGCTGAGAACCACCAGACCCAGATCTTCAGAGCAATCTCAGGCCCACAGAACTTGTAATGGTCTCTGTTGTTCTTTCCTGTTTTGAGCCACAATGAAAGATGGAGCATGTGCATACGCACGCACACACACACACAAACACACACATATACACACACTACTAAAATCAATGACCCAGTGGCAAACCTCAGTGAATTGCTGAGCCTTGAACAATTTCAGCCGACTGATGAAGATCCCAAATAATTTTCATTCTAATCTATGTTGCTTGACTTCTAAGGAGGTAATGGCCCCTTTGGTGACATGCTGTCCTTTCTGTACACAATTTATGGCTGTGACTTGCCTTTCTGGACTGCTAAAACATGCGGAGGAAAAACAGCTTTTGAATTACTGTGAGCCATTCTTTGCTGAGGTGCTGGACCCTTGGCTCCCAGCTTGGGCAAACATGGTGATGACCAGGCCAGGGAGAGGGTGGAGAGAGATGGAAGGAGGAAGAACATGGAAGGAGGTCTGAACATGAAACTCAAAAGATTGTAATGATATTAACAATAAGAGTCACGTTTATGCACTTTACAATTGCAAAGAACGTTCAATAGCATTATTTCCACTTAATCTTATTAACCTATCATTTTACAGGAGATGAGGTTTAGTTAGGTGACTTGCCAGGGACACACATTAGGTGGCAGAGGCACAGTCACAAATAACACCAGTTCTGACTGTCATGCAGTTTTTCTGATGAGTATGTGGGGTGAGGAGGCTTACAGGCCTTTACCAGGTAAGTAGCAGTTGGCTCAGGAGTTTGGAGTCTTCCAGGCTGCATAGAACATGCCTGAGGGTCATGTGTGTAGTCCTTCAGAAGAATGATTCTCTGGGCCTAACCTGAGACCCAGTCAGGTCTGGCCTGGCACCTCTAGCTTGTGGTTTTTAGGGGGTGGGACAGGATAAGAGTAAGTTGATTCCTATAAGTCTGTCATTTCAGGAAAACAACCCAGAGTAAATGCTTTGCTGAGCTTCAGAAGTCTTCTAACCTCTCTGTAAATCTCAGCTCCTCCCTCATCTGTAAATGGGATTGTAACAATGAAATCTCTGTGAGAACTAAATGCAATAAAGAGCTCTGTAAATGGTCGAGAACCAAGGACATACGAAGGAATTTTATTGTATCTTCCATCACCACCACCACCATCATCCTCCCCATTTCCTCCATCATCATCAACATCATCATCACCATCATGATCTTGTAAGAAGGACAGCATAAGTCAAAAATTACTAAGAGTATAGACCAACACTTAGAATATCTGGGGGAGCTTATTTAAAATGTCACATCCTGGCCACACCCCCAGAGATGCTGATTCAGAAGGTCTCAGTAGCACCCAGAAATATTCCTTTTTAACAAGAACCCAGGATGATTTTTGTTGCAGGAAGACTGTGGATTGCACATTGGGAAACATTGCCTTATAGTTGTAGGACAAACAAAAGGAGATTCTACCACACACAGGGTTTAGTGATGTTTGTGAAACCCGTAAGCCTACGACAATATGTGTAAGCAGTCCAAGACCTTTCCACATGAGGTCACTGGCTACCCATCAGCATTCAGGGGCAGGAGCAGCCTCCTTGAGTTTTCTGGTCTTGCTTTATCTAGTTTAAGCCACCTGGGGTGAACTGGGTAGAGCATATCTATCTAATACACTCATGTGAACTTGGGCCTTGGGATTGAAACAGCAGCATAAAGACAAATGAAGAAAGTATTTATTTATACTAAGACAGTACAAAGCAATTAATCCTCGCTATTAGCTATAATTAAATTCCTCAGAACGAAGACTTTCAAATTGTGAGCTGGAGCAAATCTCCCCCTGTGGCTTCCTGCGGAGGGCAGGCATCTTCTCTGGATCCCCTCTGCCCTGCCATCCCGGGCTGGTGCTACTCTGTTCCTATTGATTCCAAAGAGTTCCTTAAGCTGGGACTGGTGAATTGACTTTGCAAGTTTCCTTTTTAAAGGGCCAGACTAATTTTCTATGGGAAACGTGGGAGTTATATATGAAGAAACTCATCTAAGCAAAATGTGTAGCAGAAGTCCAGGGTAGCCAGTAGGTGATATTGTGATTTATTTTTGCATGTGGACTATTTGCAGGACAACCCTGCAAATCAAATGTGCATCCACTGACGTGAATGGTGGCTAAAAACTTCCTGTGGGGGAAGACGCTCCAGCCATGTCTAAATTTGGGGTTTAGACATGATCAGATATGTCAGGTAAACTGAAAGCGGGCATTGGGAAGCAGAGGCCAAACTACCAGGTGGGAAGTGAAGCTGCGTAAAAGAGACCCTGGCTGGCAGAATCCCAGGAAGGCACTCAGAGGCAGACTCAAGGCTCAGGGACCTGTGGAGTGATTTGGTGAGTGTAGGAGCTATTATTTGTGAGCCCTCAACCCTATTTCTGTATTAGTCTGTTCTCATGCTGCTAAAAAGACATACCCAAGACGGAGTAATTTATAAAGAAAAAGAGGTTTAATGGACTCACAGTTCCATGTGGCTGAAGAGGCCTCACAATCATGGGGGAAGATGAAAGTCATGACTCACATGGTGGCAGGCAAGAGCGCATGTGCAGGGGAACTCCCCTTTATAAACCCATCAGATCTCATGAGACTTATTTACTATCATAAGAACAGCACAGGAAAGACCCGCCCCCATGATTCAATTACCTCCCACCGGGTCCCTCCCACGACACATGGGAATTATGGGAGCTACAATTCGACATTTGGGTGGAGACGTAGTCAAACCATATTGGGCGGGGGGGTGGTATGTGTATATGTTGGGGAGGGAGCAGCTTTGGGGTGTTTCCTCAAATTCTCTAATTGGGGGACCCCTGCAAAAGAGTGTCACTAAGAAGAAAGGTATTGGGTTGGTGCAAAAGTAATTGCTGTTTTTACCATTAAAAGTAATGGCAAAACTGTAATTACTTTTGCATCAACCTAATATCTTGATAATCTGGGATGGAATAAGAGTAGGTGGCAGCTGCAGCATGGGCACTCCCAAAGGCTCCAAGAGGTACCCAGAGCAGGGAGGTGCATTGCAGCAGAGCAGTTGGAACAGCCTGGACTCTGACCCGAGAGGAGTGTGGAACGAACCCTGGAACTCCAGCAGGTAGTAGAGGGCAGCACAGGCCTGCAAGGGGATTGAGGTGCAGCATTTCAGTGGGGTGGGAGGTGGGTAGACAGTGACCAAGCTTGCCCAATGGGGGAGTGATGGGCTGGGCTGCTTGGGCCGTGCTGATGAAGCTGCTGTGGGTAGGTTGGGCACCATTGCCACGTGATGTGGGTTTTCCTGACAAGTCTCCTGGGGCTTCCCCCCTCACAGCTCCTGTTTGTTTCCCTTCCTTCCTTCCTTCCTTCCTTCCCTTCTTCCTTCCTTCCTTCCTTCCTTCCTTCCTTCCTTCCTTCCTTCCTTCTTTCCTTCCTTCCCTCCTCTCTTTCTTTCTCTCTTTCTTCCTTTCTTTCTTTCTTGATGGAATCTCACTCTGTAGCCCAGGCTGGAGTACAGTGGTGCAATCTCGGCTCATCACAATCTCCGCCTCCTGGGTTCAAGTGATTCTCCTGCCTCAGCCTCCCGAGTAGCTGGGATTACAGGCATGCACCACTATGATCAGCTAATTTTTGTATTTTTAGTAGACACAGGATTTCACCATGTTGGCCAGGCTGGTCTTTAACTCCTGATCTTAAGTGATCTGCCTGCCTTGGCCCCCACAGTGCTGGGATTACAGGCGTGAGGCACCATGCCTGGCCCCTGTTTCCTTTCTTTTTAAATCTTCTGTCCATACTTGGTGGTTCCGCTTGCAGGGCTCTCCAGTACCCAGGCTGGCATGTGCAGGGGATAAAAAAACTCAGGGGACTTGCTGCAGTATCATTTTTTAGGTCTTGAGGTCCTTATGTGACCCTCTCCCCACCTTTAAGCGTTCTTTTGTGATTGTCTGTTGAATTATTTGCGGAGTATTTAGTTTTACTTTGAAGAAGAAAACAGGAAAAGTGGGCTAATGACATCTTGCTGTTGAACTTGCACTCTTTGTCTTACTTTTAAGCTCTGTCCTGGGATGGCCAGATGGGGAATTAGCAGGTGCTGGTCCTTGGTCTAATGCAGGAGAACAGCAGATGCTTGTGGCTGTTGGTGGCAGCACAGGCAGGGGCCCTGCCCTCTGGATAATGCAGCAAATTGCCCCATGTGCTTCTCTATGTGGCACCAGCCCTTGAGGCTATTGCTGGAGATAGCAGTGGGCTACATGCTCCAGGGTCTGATGCAATGTGGTCATGCCCAGGGTCTCGTTGCTGCTGGAGGAAGGTGGCATTGTATGAGGCAGTTCAGTGAACCAACCCATCTGTCACCAGAGATTACCATCTTTAGGAATCGTGCTGTCTAACAGAGCTACAACAAAAGTGCCGACTGTGATTTACGGGCGCAGGGGCAATTGGGGAACTGGACTATACATTACAGCAACTTTTCCATGAGCTAGAAACCATACGCCTTTGACTTCCGTGATTCATTTATCTTACATTGTAAAATCTAGTTTTTGCCATGTGCCTGGTGATATGGTTTGGCTCTGTCCCCACCCAAATCTCATCTTGAATTGTAGCTCTCATAATTCCCATGTGTTGGAGGGACCCCCGTGGAGGTAACTGAATCATGGGGGTGGTTTTCCCCATACTGTTCTTGTGGTTGTGAATAAGTCTCATGAGATCTGATGGTTTTATAATGGGTTTCCCTTACATGACTGTGAGGCCTCCCCCGCCCCGTGGAACTGTGAGTCCATTAAGCCTCATTTTCTTTATAAATTCTCCAGTCTTTATCAGCAGCGTGAAAATGTACTAATGCACCTGGCATGGTGTTTGATGTTGTGGGGAGAGAGAAATGAATGAAACAGAGCCCCTGCCTTTGAGGAGTGCCCTGTCTAGGAGGGAAACATCAGCAAGAGTGATAAGATGGGACCTCTGCTATGCAGGGGCCTGTGCAAGGTGCTCTGGTACCATCAAGGGAGTCTGAGAGAGCCTTCACAGTGGTGGTGACCATGGGGGTCTGACACTGAGGGCTGCCAGCAACCCAGGAAGACAATGAGAAAGGCAGAGTGGGGCACACCGAACCACAGTCTCACTTATCCAAGACACATGGGTGACAGTGTCTAAAATTGGAACTGGGGGCTAAGAGGATTTGCCTTCCAGGTATGTACAGCCTGATTAGAGAGTTGGACCCACACTTAACCATAAAGTTATTTATTTGCTCACTGACACCACAGGGTGAGAGGTGTTCAGGTGAGATGTTGACTCTCCCACGTGGTTGTAGTTGAAACCTTTCTTCTCATAGTAAAATGGAAATTTCTGTCTGGGTTAATGGATCTTGAGGCATCTTTAAGGAGGTATTGGAGTGAGTGGGGGACTTGGAGCAGGAGGAGTTGTGGCTTTTGGCTCTCATTAGCAGGGGACAGCTTGTCAGTTTTGAAGGTGAGGTTGAGGCTGCTCTCCGGTATGATGTAAGTGTGCGTGTGTGTGAACCTGAACGTGAGTGTGCATGTGCATGTGTGTGTGCATGTGTGTGAATGTGTCGCATGTAAGCTGCCATGAAATATTTTCTTTTTATCTTCTCCAGCACTCAGCTTCATGTCTGGCACATTGCAGGTCTCTAATAAGTGGGTATTTAGTGTTGACTGCCTTCAGGACCTGGATGACAAAGGCATATTTGCTCCACAGGAAGGAGATGAGAGAAGGCATCTCAGCCCACAGTGTTAATAGCAGCAGCTCCATTTGTCAGCTCCAGACTCTTGGAGGCAGGTGCCCTGGTGTTCCCACTTGCTCTTGTCTTGGCACTGGGGAAGCTCTGAAAAGACCTGGCTGCTTGAGTTCCCTCATTCCATTCCCCCTAAACTCATCTTGGTCCACTTACTCTCGGCTCCTGGACCACTCTCATTCCTCAGTGCTTCTGCCCATGCAGTTTGTTCTACCTGGAAGGGGTCTCCTCCACCAGTAGAGAGCCCCTACTCGGCCTTCAAAGCTCATGCCAGATATCACCTCCTCTAGGAAGCCTTTCTTGATGCCCCTGACCTGGATCCCATGACTCTCCTCTGTGCCGCCCAAATATGCTGTCCTTCCAGTGCAGCATTGGACTGCAGTGGTGCTTGCTGTTGTGATCATTGCTTTACTTTCTTGTCTTTGCCACTAGATTGAGAGTTCCTTGAGGGCAGAGACTGTGTTTCGTTCATCTGTGAATTCCCAGAGCCCAGAATGTGGTCAGGATTTTAGATGTTACATTGTGCACATTTTCTCTGTAACAGGCACAGCTTTGCTTCTGTGAAGTGGGGAGCATGTCTAGAGCTCTGTGGTTCAAAGATTCTGGACACATTTGAAAGGTGAAAGAAGCCAGGACACCTGGAGCATTGCAAGCAACGAGCAGAGTGATGGAGATGAGGCTGGAGAGCAAGGCAGGAGCTGGGTCATGTGGTGCCTGGGAGCTGACAGGACCAGGAAGAGGATGTGAGTCTCCAATTCCTTTATGAATCTGCTGGCCAAGCAGAGAGCAGATTCGGTAATCGTAGATGCTGCTGCTTCTATCTCTTTTTCTAATATCTCAAGACATTCTAATTACTCCCCCTGCAGAGAGAGAGAGAGAGAGAGAGAGAGAGAGAAAGAGAGAGGAGAAACATATACAAGTGGTAGGAAAGGCTACTAATGATCAAGAGTGATGGGACAGCAATTGGGATTCTTAACTCTGGAAAGATCAAGACTGGCAGAGGATGGGATGAAACATTTTCAGTTATGAAAGATGGAGTGTATGTCAAAATCCTAACATCTTAGTCCTAAATCCCTCCTTCTCCTGCATCCCCATAAAACTTGACAGGAGATAATTTTAGGAGAACTGAAGGGAACCTACTTTACTCAATGAGTAGTATTAAATTCCTGCAACTCTCTATCTCCAATAGATATTGCACAGGTGGAACATATAAATAACCTCAAGAAGGGTTTACAAATTTCAAAGATTAAAGTTCCCTAATGAGCTGAAGAGTGGAGTTCAGTATTTTAGAGTGTTACCCTTAATTTGACACTCACCCAGTAAACAAGCTCCTTGCTGCTCTGGGCAGAATAGAATCTTCCAGATGTGACCATTTGTAATTCTCAGGCTCTTTGGCCGCACAGCACTGATGTTCATTGAGTGTTCTACTCTGCAGACAGGGTGGGGCATTTTGGGGTTGTCTGTTTTTGACTGTCCTTAAAAGATGTTCTCAACCCTTGGGGAAGAGTTTGTGCTGGGTTGTGTGAGCCACAGCTGCTGGGGAAGGAGAGCTGGGCTTGAGTGAGGAGACTTGGCTGGAGTTCCAGCACTATTTTTTCTTTTTTAATTGTGTTGAAATACTCCTAACACAAAGTCTGCTATTTTGACCCTTATTAAAGAGTAAAATTCAGTGGCACTTATTATATTCACAGTGCTGTGCGATCATCACCACCGTCTAGTTTCAAAACATTTTCAGCACCAAAACGGAAGCCCCATGCCCCTTAAGCAGTCACTCTCCATTCTTCCTGCCGCCAGCCCATGGCAACCAGTAATCTGCTTTTTATCTCTATAGGATTTCTAGGACTAATTTTACTTTCCAGGCCTGCCTTCCCCTCCAGCTGCATCTTGTTCTGTTCTCCCTTCTGATTTGGTCTTTGTCCATTTCTTTACAAATGCATGAGTTTTGGGATCATGGACTTGTGTGCATGCCAACACTCACTGGCCTTCACCTATGATCTGGATACAACATCCTTCCTGACTCCATCCCAGGTTCTGAGAACCTTCCTGGAATTGGCCTTCCAGACTGAGCCTTATGCTTGTACAGCTGGGCTGGGTTGGCCTGGTTCTGGGAGTGGAGGAGATGGAGATGTGTGTGGAAGTCCTTGGGAAACTATACAGTGCAGCACAGGGCTGGGAATGGTTACCTGCTCCAGGCAGGTGGTTCCTCCACAACACATAGCAACTGGCTGCCTTTGGAGTATAGACCAGGGGTCTCTCTCCAAGTAAGCAAAGACATGGGAGAGCCTAAAATGCAGTCAGTGGAGGTGAGCAGCTTCTGCCGAAGAGACCCGAGCGGGGAGTTTTACCAGCACATGGTCTTCATGGGTGTGGTTCTGGTGCGTTTCTCTTGGCCCATAGCTGAGAGGGCAGCAGAGTGGGAGTGGGGCTGTCTGCCAGGGCTGGGATCCTGGGACTGCTGCTGACTCCTACCCACTTCACAGGAGTGTCATGAGGACCAAAGGGTGTGTGTGACAGAGCTTGGGGAAGGCATAAATTGCTGTTGTACAAGTGTAAGGTAGGACATTTTTATACGGGTAATAATTGTGAAGTTTCTAGCTCTTGCCTGATATCTCCAGCCGGCATATGTGATTGATGTGAGGGGCTGGCCAGGAGCCTCAGAGTCTTTTACTCACTCTGTCATTCATGTGTTCACTCACTCATGCATTCTTCCACTCATTTATTCCTTTACTTATTCACTCACTCATGCATTCATTCATGAATTTATTCATTAATTCACTCACTCACTAACATTTATTCACTCATTCATTCATTCACTCATTTATTCACTTATTCCTTCACTCACTAACTCATTTATTCATTCACTCACTAATTCATTTATTTATTCATTCACTTACTTGCTAACTTTTATTCACTCATTCATTCACTCGCTCACAGACTCATTCACTCACTAACTCATTTGTTCACTCTTTCAGTCACTAATTCATTCACTCACTCACTCATTCATTTACTTACTTGCTGACTCTTTTATTCACTCTCTCATTCATTCACTCATTCATTTATTCACTCACCCACTCATTTATTCACTCACTCGCTGAATCTTTTATTCACTCATTCATTCATTAATTCACTTACTAACTCATTTACTCATTCATTCATTCACTCAGTCACTAAGTCATTCGGTCACTAAGTCATTCACTCACTCGTTCATTTACTCACTTGTTCACTTTTTTATTCACTCATTCATTCACTCACTTGCTGAATCTTTTATTCACTCATTCATTCATTCACTCACTTGCTGACTCTTATTCACTCATTCGTTCTTTCCTTGCTCATGGTTTAGATCTGCACTGTCCAATATGGCAGCCACTAGCCATGTGTAGTTGTTGAAAGCTTGAAATGTGGTTGTCTCAAATGAGATGAGCCATAAATGTAAAATACATACTGGATTTTGAAGACTTATAATAAATATTTTTAAAAATATTGATTACATAGTGAAATGATAGTATTTTGGATATGGGTAATAAACATGTATTATAAAATTAATTTCATCTATTTCTTTTTACTTTTTAAAAATGTGACTACTAAAATGTTAAAAATTTCCTACATTGCCTACATTATATTTCTATTGTACAAACCTGGTTTAGCCATATCTATTTCTCTGAAGGACAGGAGAGTGTGAGACTGACTTCTCTTGGTTAAAAAGTGGCACAGTCTGGCATCTGTGTCTTTGAATAATATCATGGAGAGAGTGAGGCTGGCCTTCAAGTTCCACACATAGGGACTGAGCAACCCAAACCGTGAATGGAGAATGTAATTACAATCCTCTCCTGAGGGACTGAGCACAACGTTTATGATTGATAAAGGCACTAAAGCTGTTGATTATTTATGTTTGCTGGTTTGTACTTCAGTGCCTCTCAACAGTGCAGGAATAGGAACCAAATAAATTACCCAGTGATCTGGGAATTCATGTAACCCATGAATTGGGTATGCTATGTGTGAGTACGTGTGCACATTTTAATGAGATGCAATTTTGTTTCAATTTGGCAAATCCCAAAAGCTCTTCTGCTTTGTTTTCTCTGATTCCAGCCTAACAGCTTTGGGGGTGGTAGCATATGGGGAGATGAAATGAAAACTTTCAGGCACAATCACTCTGAAAACTTTCTGGTGTTTTCTTCACTGGGAACTTTCTACCACCTCTATACCAGGTGTCAAGCCCTCTTTAGAACTGTTGGCTTCGGTCTTGAGTTGTCTATGGTCTTCATCCCCCATAGTAGGCCTTCAGTACAGCACACAGTCAAACCAGAGTGCAAGCCCTGGGCACAAAATGAGGAAAGCTCAGGGTCCAAGTAAATTACAGACACAGTCTCAGTATTTGAGAGGCTATAATGTAGAGTGGAAGAAGCTGGGTACTACACAGGATTCTGCACACGTGCTTTGGCACAATATTCATTCAACAGGTGTATATTGGACACAAGCTCTCTGCTAGGTGCTGAAGAAATTAAAATGAATAAAGTTTGCTTCTGGCTCTCAAAACATTTTGGTGGATGAGAAAATTGTTTAAAAGCAAAGTGCCGCCTGGACACAGTGGCTCATGCTTGTAATCCCAGCATTTTGGGAGGCTGAGGTGGGTGTATCACCTTAGGTCAGGAGTTTGAGACCAGCATGGCTAACATGGCGAAATCCCATCTCTACTAAAAATAATAATAAAAAAAAGCCAGGCATGGTGGAGCACACCTGTAGTCCCAGCTACTCTGGAGGCTGAGGCAGGAGAATCCCTTGAACCTGGGAAGCGGAGGTTGCAGTGAGCCGAGATTGCACCACTGCACTCCAGCCTGGGTGACAGAGTAAGACGCCATCTGAAAGAAAAAAAAAAGCAAAGCGCAGTTTGCTCAGTACACTTCTGAGAGGATAGAGCAGATATACTTTGCCCTATTCTCCCTAGTAAGTACAATGAAAAATCCTGGATACTGTACATAAGAAAAATAATGAGACATTAAAAGGTTGAAGAAAGGCACACTGCTAGAGATCAAGAAAAGAAGAAATGACAGGATGATGATGAGTTCCCTGGGTTTTCTTTTGGTCTTGTATATCCCAGACAT
This sequence comes from Homo sapiens, assembly GCF_000001405.40. Lineage (NCBI taxonomy): Eukaryota > Metazoa > Chordata > Mammalia > Primates > Hominidae > Homo > Homo sapiens. The sequence continues at coordinate 21,542,111 of NC_000008.11, read as the reverse complement.
GGAGATAAAGAAACTGGCAACTCAGAATGCCAACAGGTGCAAGAAAAAGAAAAAGACCCAACAAAAGCCTGTTTATTCTAGCCAAAGGACTGGGAAAGAGAACAATTAACAAGACAGAAAACTTTTGGACAACAACTACTTGCTATAGTTTGGATGTTTGTCCCTCCAAACCTCATCTTGAAATTTGATCCCCAGTGTCAGAGTGCGGGTGCCTAATGGGAGGCGTTTGGGTCATGGTAATGGATCCCTCATGAATAGATTAACGGCCTCCCTAGGGCAGCGGGAGTGACTGAGTTATCACTCTTATTGTTTCTTGAGAGAACTGGTTGCTGAAAAGAACCTGTCACCTCCCTGCTCTCCCTTGCTTCCTCTCCTGCCCCATGATCTCTGCACACACCAGCTCTCCTTCCCCTTCCACCATGACTGGAAGCAGGCTTTAACCCTCACCAGAAGCAGATGCTGGTGCTCTGCTTCTTGTACAGCCTGCAGAATTGTAAGCCAAATGAACCTCTTTTCTTTATAAATTACCAAGCCTCTGGTATTCCTTTACAGCAACAGAAAATGGACTAAGACAGAAAATTGCTGCCAAGGAGTGGGGTGTTGCTGTAAAGATACCTAAAATGTGGAAGTGGCTTTGGAGCTGAACAATGTGCAGAGGTTAGAAGAGTTGGAGGGCTCAGAAGAAGATAAGAGAGGGAAAGTTTGGAACTTCTTGGAGATTCGTTTAGTGGCTGTGACCAAAATCCTGATAGAAATATGGACAGTAAGTTTCATGCTGGCGAGGTCTCAGATGAAAACGAGGGATTTCCTAGGGACTGGAACAAAGGTCACCCTTGTTATGCTACAGCAAAAAACTTGGCTGCATTGTGTCCATGCCCTAGGGATTTGTGGAATGGCATTGAAATAAGAAATTAAATACCATTTCTGATCCCCCCAAAAGGTAATATTTAGGTTGTAAATCTAAGAAAACATATACAGGATTGATATGCTGAAAAGCACAAATGCTAATGAAATTAATTAAAGATCTAAATCGAAGGAAAGACATATCATGTTCATGAATTGGAAGATTCAACATAATAAACATATCAATTCTCCCCAAATTGATATATAAGCTTAATGCAATTCCTATAAAAATTTTGGCAAGGGTTTTGTAAATATACACAAAATTATTCTAAAATTTATATGAAAATGCAAAAGAACTAGAATAGCCAAAGAAGTTTGAATAAAAAAGAATAAAATATGAGGAATTAATGTGTCTGATTTCAAGATGTATTATATAGGCACAGTCATGAAGATTGTGTGGTATTGGTTGGGGGATGGACTCATAGATAGAATAGAGAACTCAGAAATAGACCCCCATAAATAGGCCCAACTGATTTTTGACTAAAGCGCAAAAGCAATTCAATGGAGGAAGGATAACCCTTTCAACAAATGGTGCTGGCACAATTTGATAGCTATAGGAAAAAAAACTAAACCTAGACAAAAATCTCACCCTTTATACAAAAATTAACCCAAAACGAACTATGAATTTGAATGTAAAATTTAAAATTTTAAAACTTAAGGCCAGGCACGGTGGCTGATGCCTGTAATCCTAGGACTTTGGGAGGCCAAGGCAGGCGGATCTTGAGGTCAGGAGTTCGAGACCAGCCTGACCAACACGGTGAAACCCCGTCTCTACTAAAAATACAAAAATTAGCCAAGTGTGATGGTGCATTCCTGTAATCCCAGCTACTCAGGAGGCTGAGGCAGGAGAATCACTGGAACCCGTGAGGCAGAGGTTGCCGTGAGCTGAGATCACGCCACTGCGCTCCAGCCTGGGCAACAGAGCAAGATTCCATCTCAAAACAAATAAATTTAAAAAAAATCATAGGAGAAAATATTTGGGAACTAGAGCCAGGCAAAGAATTCTTACACTTGACATCCAAAGCACAATCTATAAAAGGAAATATTGATAAGTTGAACCTCATCAAAATGGAATACTGCTCTGCAGCAGACCCCATGAAAAGGATGAAAAAGAGAAGCTACAGGCTGGGAGAAAATATATGGAAAGCATACATATAACAAAGACTAGTATCTATAATACAGAAATAATTCAAAGCTCAATAGTAAAAAAAAACCCCATACAATTCAATTAAAAATGGGCAAAAGATGTGAGCAGGCGTTTTACCAGGAGGATATACGTATCAAAATAGATGAAAAGATGTTCCACTTTATTAGCCATTAGGAAAGTCTAAATAAGAACCACAATGAGATGAGATGTCACTACATACTTATCAGAATGGCTAAAATAAAAAATAGTGACAACAGCAAATGCTGATGAGAATGCAGGAAAACTGGCTCACTCATACATTGTTGGTAGAAATGTGAAATGGTACAGCCACTTGGGAAAAATGTTTGGCAGTTTCTTTTTTTTAAATTTTATTATTATTATACTTTAAGTTTTAGGGTACATGTGCACAACGTGCAGGTTTGTTACATATGTATACATGTGCCATGTTGGTGTGCTGCACCCATTAACTCATCATTTAGCATTAGGTATATCTCCTAATGCTATCCCTCCCCCCTCCCCCTCCAACAAGAGTCCCCAGTGTGTGATGTTCCCCTTCCTGTGTCCATGTGTTCTCATTGTTCAATTCCCACCTATGAGTGAGAACATGCGGTGTTTGTTTTTTTGTCCTTGTGATAGTTTGCTGAGAATGATGTTTTCCAGTTTCATCCATGTCCCTAGAAAGGACATGAACTCATCATTTTTATGGCTGCATAGTATTCCATTGTGTATATGTGCCACATTTTCTTAATCCAGTCTATCGTTTTTGGACATTTAGGTTGGTTCCAAGTCTTTGCTACCATTCAGGACATAGGCATGGGCAAGGACTTCATGTCTAAAACACCAAAAGCAATGGCAACAAAAGCCAAAATTGACAAATGGGATCTAATTAAACTAAAGAGCTTCTGCACAGCAAAAGAAACTACCATCAGAGTGAACAGGCAACCTACAGAATGGGAGAAAATTTTTGCAACCTACTCATCTAACAAAGGGCTAATATCCAGAATCTACAATGAACTCAAACAAATTTACAAGAACAAAACAAACAACCCCATCAAAAAGTGGGCAAAGGATATGAACAGACACTTCTCAAAAGAAGACATTTATGCAGCCAAAAAACACATGAAAAAATGCTCATCATCACTGGCCGTCAGAGAAATGCAAATCAAAACCACATTGAAATACCATCTCACACCAGTTAGAATGGTGATCATTAAAAAGTCAGGAAACAGGTGCTGGAGAGGATGTGGAGAAATAGGAACACTTTTACACTGTTGGTGGGACTGTAAACTAGTTCAACCATTGTGGAAGTCAGTGTGGTGATTCCTCAGGGATCTAGAACTAGAAACACCATTTGACCCAGTCATCCCATTACTGGGTATATACCCAAAGGATTATAAATCATGGTGCTATAAAGACACATGCACACATATGTTTATAGCGGCACTATTCACAATGGCAGTTTCTTAAAAAAGCAAACATGCAACTACTATACAATCTAAGATTTGTACTTTTAGGCGTTTATCCCAGAATGAACATTTATGTCCATGCAAAAACCTGTATATGTTTGTTCATAGCAACTTTATTCGTAATAGTCCCAAACTGGAAACAACCCAGATATCCTTCAACAGATGATTAAACTATGGCATATTCACAACATGGAATACTACTCAGCACTAAAAAAGAACATCTACTGATACACGCAACAACTTGGATTCATCTTCAGAGAATTATGCTGAGTGAATAAAAAACAGTCCCCAAAAGTTACACACTGTACGAGTCCATTTTACAACATCATTGTAATGACAAAATTACAGAAATGGAGAACAAATGAGTAGTTCAAAGGGCTAAGGGAAGTGGATGTGTCTATATCAGGGCAACACGAGGGATCCTTGTGGGGATAGAAATGTTCTGTATCTTGATTGTGTCAATGAAAATATTCTGGTTGTGATAGTGTACTGTAGTTTCATAAAAGATGTTACCATTGATAGGAACTGTTCCCTTGTGAAAGGTACTTGAGATCTCTTTGTATTCTTACAACTGTATGTGAATCCATAATGATCTGAAAATGAAAAGTTTAATTAAAGAAAATAAATATAATTCAGTTTATTAAGTGCTATTACGGAGTTATATAAAAAATGCTCTGGGAGTCCTGGGAATGAATCAATTATTTCTTCATGGAGAATTTGGTAAAGGTTTCACAGAGCCATCAACAAATGAGCAATGTCTTAAAAAGATAATTTTTACCCCTCATCTTTCATGTGACTTCATCTTTCTACTGAATTCTTTTGTGTTGTCTCCACTGTTTACTTATTGATAGCTTATTAAGGCTAGGGGCTGTGCTAAGTGACACAGTTTTAAATATTTCATACAATAATCCTGGGAGGCAGGTACTATTATTTATTGATAAGGAAACTGCTTTGAGAGGTTCAGACTCTTTACAAAGTTCACTCAGAGGGTAAGGGGTGGAACCAGATTTCAAACTCTGGTCTGTCTCAGACCACTACTTAGGTGGGCACTGAGAGTCATCTTTTTGTTATTTGTTTGTTTGTTTGTTTTACTTGTTCTCTGCTTTTCTGCCTCATTTTCCTGCCCCCTTTGGGGTTAATAAAGTATTTTAAAATATTTCATTCTATCTTCTCCTAGCATTATAGCTACATCTCTCTCTCTCTATATTTTGAAAGTTTATTGTCCAGCACTTTGGGAGGTTGAGGCAGGCAGATCACTTAAGGTCAGGAGTTTGAGACCAGCCTGGCCAACATGGTGAAACCCCACCTCTACTAAAAATACAAAAGAAATTAGCCGGGCATGGTGGTATATGCCTACAGGCTACTCGGGAGGCTAAGGCATGAGAATCGCTTGAGCCTGGGAGGCAGAGACTGTAGTGAGCCGAGATCATGCTACCGCACTCCAGCCTGGGTGACAGAGTGAGACTCTGTCTTAAAAAAAAAAAAAAATTATTGACTAGAGATTATAATGTACCTCTTTAACTTAATCACTGTCTCTCTGAAATTGTTATACCATTCTTGGTTTAATGTCAAAATTAAAGTATAATTCCATTTACCACATGATGTTCTTTGTTCTATTGTCACATATTTAATTCTACATATTTTATAAACACCAGGATATTTTTTTATTACTTCAGTCCATTTTCTTTTAAAGACTCTGAGAAAAAAATAATTAAAAAATTTATCCATACACAGTTATGAATTGCATATATGATGGTGGTCCCATAAGATTGTAATATTGTATTTTTACTGTACCTTGTCTATCTTTAGATAGGTTTAGATACACAAACACTTATCATTGTGTTACAATTGGCTACAGTATTCAATACAGTAACATACCGTATAGGTTTGTAGTGTAGGAGCAATAGGATATGTCATACTGCTTAGGTGTATAATAGGCTATACCATCTAGGTTTATGTAAGTACACTCTCTGAGGCTCTCGCAATGACACAATTGCCTAACCATTTCATGCATTTCTCAAAACATATCCCCATCATTAAGTGATGCATGAATGTATTGATAATTTTCAGCGTTCTTCATTCCTTCCTGTATTTCCAAATTTCCATCTCGCATAATTTCTATTGAGCCCAAATAACTTCGGTTAGCATTTCTTGTGGTGTGGGTCTGTTGGTAATGAATTCTTTCTACTTTCAGTGATCTGAAAATGCCTTTACGTTACTTTTTGTTTTGAAGGATATTTTCGCTGGATGTAGAATCAAGATTGAAGTTTCATTTTGTTTTGTTTTCCCTTCAGCATTTTAAAGATATGCTTCTGTTGTTTTCTGTTCTCTATTGTTTGTGGTGAGAAGTCAGCTGTTATTTTTGTTGCTGTTCTCCTCCATGGAATGTGCCTTCTTGGGCTTTGTTGGAGATTTTTTTTTCCTTTGTCTTTATTGTTTCAGCATTTTGATTTTTGATATATCTCAGTGAGGTTTTCTTTATATTTTCTTTTCTGGGTGGGTTTTGCTGAGCTTCTTGGATCTATGTTTGTCTTATTTGTATTTGGAAAATTTTTTCCTAATATTTTGTCATTTTTTCTGACAAAAATTTTGAATGAAGACAAGGTCAGCGTTATTGATTTTTTTCCCCAGTTTCAGCAAGGCTTAGTATAGCGTCGTTATTGATCTTGCCCTTATTTTAAATTTTGGTAGTTTGTACATCATGGATTTCTTTTGCATTAATTTTGATTTGTTAAAATACTGCCTTATTGTATTATATTGATTGCCCAGTTTTTCTGGCACCTCCTTAAATTTTACACTCAAGGCAAGTGCCTCACTCATTTCATCTTAGTCCCAGCTTTTTCTTCTAGTTATTGAAAAGTTCTGCTAATTCTATCATGCATGTTGTCTTTGGGTCTATTTCTATCGACTATTTTTTCTTGATGATTTGTCATATTTTTGTATTCTCTTGCATTTCCAGTAACATTTAATTATATATAGGGCATTATGGATGATATAATCTAGAGATCCTGGGTTCTGTTTTTTTACTCTGAAGAGTGTTAGGTTTTGTTCTATAAAGCAACTGAATTCCTGCAGATCACCTCAAATTGTGGAGGTTTGATTTTAGGCTCTGCTGGGTTGGCTCTGTTTCAGTTTTCCCCTAGGTTTAAGGCTCAGATATTGTCACTAGTCCTAAGGTCTGGCCCTTCTTGCGTTTCAGTAGAAAGCCTTCTGGGGTTTACCAAAAATCTCTAACTTTGGTGAGGTTTTAACCCTGAACTCTGTTCCCTCAGCATGAGGCAGCTAATGAAATATCTTCTTAGCTATTTTAGCCTTCTGTTTACAGCTTTCTGGATTTCTTAGTACCTCACTCAATCCATGAGCAGTCCAGAAGTGAGGCAGGATCCTGAGAGCAGTGTGTTTGCATATTTTGTGTCCCTCCCCCGAAAATGGCTCACTCTTTTCTGAGATATGACCTGTGATTTTCTAGCCACTTAGACAACTCTACATTCCGATCTCTGACTTTCAGTGATTGACAGCCCAGTAAGGCTGTTGCTTTCTGCTTGATCTCTGTGTACCATGTGTCATACAGACTGGGCATGCCTTCAGGGGAAAAACCAATTACATGTGGATCTTACCTAGTTTGTTTACTGCTGTGAGTTGAATTTTGTCCCCCAAAATTCTTATGTTAAAGTCTTAACCCATACCTCAGAAAGCGATCTTAATTGGAGAAAAACACTTTACAAGGTTATCAAATTAAAATGAGGTCATAGGGTGGACCTAACCCAGTATGACTGGTGTCCTGAACAAGTGGGAGATTTTGACACAGAGACACATGCACAAGGAAAGCTCCATGTGCAGATGAAGGCAGAAATTGGAGTTGCTTCTGCAAGCCAGAAAACCACCAGAAGCTAGGGGAGAGGCATAGGGCAGACACTTCATTACAGCCTTGAGAGGGACCAATACTGTCAGTACCTTGATCTTGGACTTCCAGCCTCTGAAACTGTGACATAATACATTTCTGCTCTTTAAGTCACCTAGTTTTATGAGCTGAATATTTGTGTCCCCCCACCCCTGCCCAAATGTATATGTTGAAATCTTAACTCCCAGTGTGATGAAATTAGAAAGTGGGACCTTTGGGAGGTAATTAGGTCATGAGGGTGGATCCTCATGACTGGGATGACTGGGATTAGAGCCCTTATTAAGGAGATCTTAGAGGCCTCTCATGCCCTTTTCTGCCACGTGTGGATACAACTAGAAGTTGGCACTTTATAATCTGGAAGCAGGGCCTCACCAGAACCCAACCCTGCTGGCACCCTGATCTCAGACTTCCAGCCCCCAGAACAGCAAGAAATAAATTTCAGTTATTTGTAGCCACCCAGTCTAGGGCACTTTGCTATGGCAGCCTGAACTAAGATACCCAGTTTACCAAACTGCTCTACCTGCTATAGTAAGCCAATATACTCTCCTTCATGAGATCATATCCTCTCTAGTTTCTCCTTGCTTTGGCCACCCCCAAGTTCCTAAAACAGGTTTTAAAAAATATATATGTTGTCTACAGTTAATAATTTTTATGGGCATAGGTGTTAGTCCAATATTAGCTACTCTATTAATTACCACAAGCTTGAAGTTCATGGGCTAACTTTTCCGTCTCTCTTGAGTCAATGCTTGGCTGCCTGTGATATAGTTTGGATGTTTCTCCCTCCAAATCTCATGTAGAGATGTCACCCCTAATGTTGAAGGTGGGGCCTGGTGGGAGGAGTGTAAGTCATAGGGACAGATTCCTCATGAATGACTTGGTACCATCCTCATCATAGTGAGTGGGTTCTCCTGAGATCTGGTTGTTTAAAAGTGTGTGGCACATCTCCCTCTCTCTTGTTGCTGCTCTCACCTTGTGAGATGCCTGCTCCCCATTCTGCCTTCTGCCATGATTGTAAGCTTTCTGAGGCCCTCACCAGAGGCACATGCTGGCACCATCCTTCTTGTACAGCCTACAGAACCGTAAGCCAATTAAACCTCTTTATAAGTTACCCAGCCACAGGTATTTTTCTTTCTTTCTTTCTTTCTTTCTTTCTTTCTTTCTTTCTTTCTTTCTTTCTTTCTTTCCTTCCTTCCTTCCTTCCTTCCTTCCTTCCTTCCTTCCTTCCTTCCTTCTTCCTTCCTTCCTTCCTTCCTTCTTTCTTTGTTTTTGTTTGTTTGTTTGTTTGTTTATTTGTTTCTTTCTTTCTTTCTTTCTTTCTTTCTTTCTTTCTTTCTCTTTCTTTCTTTCTTTCCTTTTTCTTTTCTTCCTTCCTTCCTTCCATCTTTGTTTCTCTTTCTTTCTTCTTTTTCTTTTCTTCCTTCCTTCCTTCCATCTTTCTTTCTCTCTCTCTCTCTCTCTTTCTTTCTCTCTCTCTCTCTCTCTCTTTTTTTTGACAGAGTCTTGCTCTGTGGCCCAGACTGGAGTGCAGTGGTATGATCTTGGCTCATTGAGACTTCCACCTCCTGGGTTCAAGCTGTTCTCTTGCTTTAGCCTCCCAAGTAGCTGAGATCACAGGTGCATACTACCATTATTGGCTAATTTATGTATTTTTAGTAGAGATGGGGTTTTGCCATGTTGGCCAGGCTGATCTCGAACTCCTGACCTCGGGTGATCCGCCCGCCTCAGCCTCCCAAAGTGCTGGAATTACAGGAATGAGCCACTGCACTCAGCCTCCAGCCTCAGGTATTTCTTTATTGCAACACAAAAATGGTGTAACATAGCCTGCAATCCAGTTACGTTTACCCCTGAATCCAGTCCAGCATCTCAGACACCACCCTAAGGTCTGGTGTCCCACCCTCCGATGATCTAAGAGAAGAACTAGGACAACATCAAGGGTCTTCTGTGGTCTCATAGCAGCTAATTGGTTATGGCTGTTCTTAGAATTGCCTAGGTAAAACCCATGTTTTCCCTTTACTGGGAGTTGTTTCACGGGACTTCAGTTGGGCCACTATTCAAGTACTTGTGAAGATGGAAGGCTGCTTACAGTTACCTATAAGAAGCTTGACCCCACCCACAGGTGCCTCTGCAATCCGCTTCCATGCAGGAGTGTGGGATTTGTGTGTGCATGTGCATGCATGTAGGTGTATTGAGGGGAGCTAGGGAGCTCTCCATTTGGGTAAGAATACAAAGCAAGTTCTTTGTGTTTACTAATATTTCAATTTTCTTTAAAATAGATGGCTCCCTTTCAGTCAACAATTGAGCATATCTGTAACTTGGGGCACTTACCTGTCATTTAAATCTTCTGAAAGCAGCCTGACAAGGACCTTGGGGAGTTAGTCCACAGGACATTAACCGTCAATTATTCTGGGTTCTCTAAGTGTACTCTCTCTCTACCAAGTTCTATTACCAGGAAGACATATGCTATACTACATTATTTTAGCTTCCCATAGAAATGTCTTTTCAGAAAACGGTGATCTAATATTATGCTTTCAGTTTCCATCTAGTGTTGATAAAAGAAGCAGTGATATGAAGAGTACTCTGCAACTTTTGTATAACTGCTGTTGAAGATACTGTTCATTATGTTGTTCAATATCTTATACAGAGGCCTAGGAGAATGGCTCTCATTTTTTTCTTTTTAATCACGGAATCCGTTCTTCAAATAAAAGCTTATGTGGAAACGTAATACCTGTAATAGATTAATATGGTTAAATGGAAACTGGAGTCCCTTGGCCCTTGTCTTTTCTCTCCTTCTGCATTTATTTTTTTTTTATCTCCTTACCCACCACCTCACACACCCCTGCTCAATTCCTTGTTAAAGGTCTCATAGCATAAAAATCACTAGTGCTAGTCTAAGGTAGATGTTTTTCTGGGAATTCACTACATGGACAAGATTTGTCTCATCTGACAAATAGTTGTGTTCATTTTGATATAACCCAGATTTGTAACTCAATGTATTTCTCTTCTTGCCTTGGATGCAAGGAAATTCAGATAAATTAGGGGCTCAAAATGCAGTATTTCTTGACTATTATTTGTAAACATAGCTAAAAATGGCTGTCTCCCACTTTTTTTTTTTTTGCAACGGAAGATAATAGAGGGTTGAATTTATTATATTTCCCAGTTCCAGGTACATTATCATTACTGGTTCAGACAAGGCCCCTCTGTTGTAAACATAAAGGTGTGTATGTATATGTTTATTTATCCTCCTTTATCCATAAACTCTATTTTTATTCCTATTTCCCCTACCCTGTAGGCAGCCATATTCTAATGGATTTAATATATGTTAAGCTCTGTTCCTGAAACTGTGTATTGTTTTTTATGCACACACATACACACACATTGTTTCATACATTCTTCACCATCCACATTGCTATATATAAGTATAACCTACTGCTTTCAACTGCTGCATAGTACCCTATGGTGAATAATTACAACATAGCATATGTCTTCCTTCCCAGTGATGTGCACCCAGGTTGACTCCTACTACTGGCTACCACAAATAACACTGCAAAGAGATCTTTATATATGTGCCCTTGTGACTGTATAAGAATTTATCTGGGATATGTAGATATAGAAGTAGAATTTGGGGGCCATAACATGTGTTTATATTGAATATGACTATGTACTGGCAGATTGTGCAGTCCAATGGCTACACCCATCCACACTCCCACCAGCAGTGCAAGAAGGTTCCTGCTTCTTTAAATCCCCAGTGACTCTTGGCATTATTCAATTTTCTTACATTTTCCAGTCTGTATTTTTTTGTTTTCTTAATTTGCATTTTTCTTATTCTTAATTATTTTGAGCAGATAGTCATATGCTTGTTTTGGATTATTTTTTCATTTTTCCTTCTATAAATTACCTGCTTGTATCTGTTGCCCATTTTTCTGTTGAGATTCCCATCTTTTTATTGTTGATTTTCAAGAGTTCTTTTATATTCTGAATTAGCTTTGTCCAAAAGAAATACAATGTGAGGTACACACATACAAATTAAAATTTAAAGATTAAAAAGAAACCAGTGAAATTATTTTTAAAAATATATTTTATTTAATCTATTTTATTTACCCCAATATATGTAAAATATGATCATTTTAATATAAAGCCAACCAGTTTTTGTAGTAATAAGTCCTCAAAAATCTCAGGTGATCTGCCTGCATCACCCTCATGAAGTGCTGGGATTACAGGCCAGCTGCCTTAATTTTATCATTTAACTTTTTCCTCTGTTTTAAGTAGTCCTAGTTTGTATACTACAAAAAGTAGTTTTTCATAGAGAATCTCTATTTTTCTGTGTCTCTCTCTCTTAGAAGTTCACATATAAAATTTCTGTGGCGAAAGTTCTTTATATTGGCTTGTAAGAGCTTACACCTCTTGGAAAATAAAATTATACAAATCATGATCTCTGCTTCTGGCTAAAGAAACAAGGTCCTGACTTATACACTTATCTGAAACAAATGGAAAAAAGGAAAAAATACTATATGTATGTGTGTATGTACGTGTATATATACACAGAAACATACATATATGTATGGAGGAATGTATACATACATACATACGTACACATCTACACATATGTGTGCATGTGATATAAAACCACAGTTTTCAAGACTGGACATAAGATCAGGCAACAGCAAACCTTGAGAGATGGGAAACAGATGACATAATATCGATTGTTTCCCCAGGTTACCACCTGAAGAGAGATTTCAGGCCGTAGCAGAGAGAGAAGAAAACCACATGGAACCCAGGGTTTTCCCTGAGTTGAGAATTTGAAGCTGGGATCTGGGGGATATCAAGGAAGCTGGGCCGGGGCAATTTCCAGAGAGAAAAGAGTGTGTGTGTGGCGGGGTGGGGCTGTGGGGAGAGTGGGAGAATGAACGTGCATGTATGCAAACATATGGATGGTGTGCTTCAAAGTTGGGGAGGAGTGAGGGAAAGAGAAAGCTCTGTGGATTTCAGTAGGTCACTCATAAGTCTTCAGCTGAGTACTGGTCAGCACACCTGAATGAGAAAACAATTGAAGCTGGAGAAGGAATGACCCGAAGAGATCAGAACAAGCAATATCAAAGCCCACACAGGGCCAGAATTAGTCTTGTTCCCACCAGAAACAGTAAAAAATAAACAACACCACCACATACACACACACACACACACACACTCACACACACACACACACCCCCCACAAACTATTCTACCCAATTCATTGAGCATAAGGTAGTATATTCAGAAGACCTTTAATTCATTCATGGGAAAAAATTATACCTATACTAAAAATTGGTCTGGTACTGCCTAATAAAAGTTGACGGCAATACTTAGAAGATTCAAACTATTTTTATTTAACATACCTTCATTTTAGAAAATGACTCAATAGTATTTATTGGAATGTGAAAATATACACCCAACCATGAAAAGTTCACAATGATTAATACCCAATACAGACTTACTAGGCATGCAAAGAAGCAGGAAAATAGAAGCTACAATAATAAGAAATATCAATCTATCTAAATTGACTCCTGAACAACACAGGTGTTAGCATTAATAGATAGAGACATTAATACACTTAGCATATTTTATCTACGTATTCAACAAGGTAGAAGAAAATTTCAGAATGTTCATTAGAGACATGCAAGATAAAAAGAGTTCCAAATTGAAGTTCTAGAGATAAAGACTATAATGTCTAATATGAACAGCACCCCAGATACAAATAACAGAATGGGCATTACAGAATAAAAAATTTATGAACCTGAAGATATCAAAATGAAACACACGAGAAAAAAACTGAAAAAAAAGTTTCATTTCAGTGAGCTGTGGGACAATTTTAAGCTGTCTAATATACATGTAATTGTAGTCCATAAAGGAAAATAGGAGTGGGAGGGAAAAGACAAACAAAATTGAAGCAATGATAGCCAAAAAATCCCCAAATTTGATGAAAACTATAAACCCATAGATCCAAGAAGCTCAATGAAATCCTAGCATCAGAAATATGAAGAAAGCTACAGCAAAGCACATCATAATCAAATTCATTAAAACCAGTGGTAAAGAGACAATCCTTAAAGCAGGCAAGGGCAAAAAAGACACATTACATACTGAGGAATAAAGATGAGGATGACAGCAGACTTCTTGTTGGAGACAACTTAAGCCAGAAGCCAGTGAAATACTATTTTACAGTACATGGGAAAAATCTTTCATATTTAGGATTCTAAATCAAGTGAAAATATTTGTCAAAAATACAAGGAATATAAAGACTTCTTCAGACATACAACAGCTGGAGGAATTAATTATCAGCAGATCTGCACTACAAGAAATGTTAAAGGAAATCCTTTGGGCAGAAGACAAATGATACCAGTTCAATATCTGGATCTACAGAAAGAAATAAACAGTAGTAGAACTGGTAATTACAGTGATAAGCATAAAAGTAGGTTTTCTTATTATTTAAATATCTTTAAATGTAATTTATTGTTTAATGCAAAAGTAATAACAATGTACTGTGTAGTTTCTCAAATATGTAGAAATAAACTATGAACAAATATTGGGAGGAGAGCATAAAAGTGTGCTTTTTTATGATTTTAATACCATATATGAACTTTTTTTCTCAGTTAATGTAACTGTCTTTGTAGAAAATCCTACAGGATTTACACAAAAGCAACAATGCAATATAGCCTTGTCCAGATTATAAATACTTTCTCAGATTATTAAATACTTATAACATCATTTTCAATGACCGTATACATTGTACTAAATTGAATTGTCTTTTCATTATTGGATATTGTGGTTGTTTTAGAATTTCCTATTATTGTTATTATTGCTGCAGTGAACATATCTATTAGTTTAATTTTATTCACCTCTTGTTATTTTACATTGTGCAAATCACCAATAATTAAAGTGGAATTGATGGATATTTTAAAAGTTGTGGTATGTTTTATAAAATTGTGATCAAGGCATGTTGTCCTAACTTCCATATTAAAAATAATCTCCAATGTAATAGGTAGTAAGTAGTATCCTATTATTTTAATTTGCACTCCTTTGCAAAGACTATCTTTTCTCCATTGTGTTGCCATTGCTCCTTTGTTAAAGATCTGATGACTAAATTTGTGTAGGTCTATTTCTACATTCTCCCCTCTGTTCCATTGATCAATTTGCCCATCGTCTTGACTAATGTAGCCTTATAGTAAGTCTTGAGGTCAGGTAGTTTCAGTCCTTTGACTTTGTTCTTCTCCAATTTCGCATTGGCCATTTTGGGTCTTCTACCTCTCCATATAAACTTTAGAATCAGTTTGTCAATATCCACAAAGCAAGTTGATGGGATTCTGATTGAGACGGCATCGAATCTAGAGATCAAGTTGGAAAGAATTGATTTTTTGACAATAAAGTCTTCCTATCCATGAACATGGAACATCTCTTCATTTAGTTTTTGATTTCTTTTATGAGAATTTTGTTTTATCAGGTGTGTTTTAGAAAAATGCTTGCTATTTCTTTCAAACACCAGAATCCCATTTAGTGTAGTAAGATGCTCATGCCAGGAGATGTGTAAGGAGGTTGACAGCCCATTCTTTCCTCACTCAAAGGGATGTGATAACTGAATGTAAGGATGGGTAGAATCACTCACACTTAAAAAATTTGCTCTTTCTCTCTGCCTTTTTGTAGAATCTGAATGATTGCATGCATCTGAGTTAAATGTGTTTATAATGTGACTCTATTGTATGCAGCCATTAAGCCATCCCTTAATCATTTCATGCTCATAGAAAATGGTATGCATTTACTCCAGGACTCTTTCCCACAGAACCTGGAATTCAGAACCCTTCTCAACTCAGAGCCCATCCCAGGAAGCTGTTAACCAGTCATTGCGAGTTGTCATGGATGTGGGTACCTGATTGTCATTCATGAACTATATCAATGCTGCCTATTTTCAAAAATATATTTGAAGCATTAAAAAAATCAGTCACTAGAAAGATGTAATTAGACACTATTATTCTAAATATCATAGGCAGTATTAGCCTAGTCTCCCAACCCCTTAAATTGAAACCCTGTGTCTGTATGAAAACTGGGCCCAGGGCCCAGCTTGCCTGTGGGGGAGTACTGCAGGCCAGGCCCAGGTGGAGAGAGAGATGGCGAGTGTGGGTGGCCTTCATGAGCTGTATTGACAAAGTGTGGCTTTGTTGACTGGAGAGAAGGGCTTTGATTTCCTTTCTCAAGGATTAGGACATATGAAAGTGTCAGGCAGTGGGGGACACAGGACTTCAGCCAACATGCCAACTCTGCCACCAAACAGTGTCACTGATGTTGGGCAACGTTATATCTGTGTGCCTCTGTTCTTTATCTGTAAAATTGGGATAAGAGTTCCCTCCCCTTTGTATGCTGTGAAAATTAAATGAATAGCAATGGCAGGGCAGATTAAATGAATGGCATTGTTCTGACTGGCAGGTCAGAATGATTCTTGGGAATCGTTGCTCCAAGATGGCCCTAGAGCACGATGCTCCACCTGATCCAAGGTCCTGGAGCTGGGTGTGATTCCCATCAGCTGACCTCATCCTCCCCAGCCTCCAGCCCCTGGATCCTTGCAGGGTTCTTCCTGCCTGACACTTCTCCGCACCAATCTGCCTTCAAATAAATCAGTAAGTGGACAGATGAGCCAACTTGGGCATTAGAATATTTGCAAAGGGTGGCTCTCAAGACAACAGATGTGTGAAATAATCCATTTCAGCACTGGGTGAATTTGTTCCAACCAAAGGGCCATCACCAGTGTCAAAGGCAGTTAGCGTCACGTTGCCTCTGTATCTATTTCTTGTTAGTGCTCCCACATTGAACAGTAAACACATTTCACTGTTTTGCAAATTTCTCCAAAACAGATATTCTCACATCAATGTTAACCATTTTCCTCCCCTCCCTCCCCAGAGCTTTTTCTTTCTTGCTTGCTTGCTTTCCAAAACTTTTCAAGTTCAAGACCCTGGGAGCCTGCTGAGCTCAGGAGCAGGAGCTGAGGAAAGTTCCGACAGACCATATTCTCTCTTGATCTCCTTTCTCTTCACCATGGCTAAAAATATACACTTCTTCACCGAATCTTGTCAATTCCCCTGTAATTAGAAGGGTCACCAGAGTCTCATCTGCCAAATCTGTACCCCAGAGCGGAACTTAGGAATAGGTGGGGAGGGTGGGTGATGCAGTGGGGAGGTGGAGCTGGGGGACTGGAAGAGCCCAGGGCTTTGGGCTCAAAGCCGATGGTCAATGAAGGAGGGGAGGCTCATGCACGGTTGGGGGGGGGGTCTCCTGCTGCTGGAGACATAACTTCTAGGGAGTCCCCACCCCTCAGTGCACACATGAGGCATTCTGTGGGTGCTGGGCATGTAAGACCGGGCCCCTAAGGAGCTCACTGCTTTGTGCCACAGATGGACACATGGAAAATCACAAAGCTTTGAGAATAGAAGTAGGTCTGAAACGATGTTCAAGTGTTAACTTTGGCTTATTCTGGCAGCAATGAGAGTTTGAGGGTTGAGGGTTGTTGCATTTTTTGTTTTTTTCTTGTATTACTATTGTAAGAAAACAAGAACATGTACACTTTATAAAAAGTGAGAAATTTATTACTTTAATAAAAGTAACAATACAATTTGGTGAGTTTTCTAGAAGTCCAGTGCAGGCTGGGAGCCCTGAAGTTTTAAAGCGAGAGGGGCCCTCTGGTTGAAGACAATTTCCAAACCGGAGGATAATTACTGAAATTTTTTTTCTATGTAGGCCCAGTTCTAGAGTGTGAGGATACAGAAGTGTATTGCTGGAACAGAGTCTGAGGTACAGAAGTGTATTGCTGGAACAGAGTCTGAGGTACAGAAGTGTATTGCTGGAACAGAGTCCAAGGTGGGGAGAGGTGAGAGGTGGTAATGGTGAGAGGTGGTAGGGGAGGCCAGGCATGGTCCAGACTGGAAGGGCCTGTGTGCTGGTCTGAGAAGCTGCCATTCCCCTGCTCCTCAGTGGGGGAAATGGGTAGATATGGTGGCATGAGGTGCTGTGCCAAACAGAATGCAAAGCTCCAGGAGAAATAAATGCAGAGCAATCTTCCTGGGGTATCAATTATACTTAAACATCTTTGGGGAGGAGGTTGAGTGATTCTGTAAATAGGTAGTTTAAAGAATTATCATAACACTGGAACCAGCCTGAGTGGATCCTGGCAGAACTTTCAGACTGGGCTCCAGTCTGGTGCCCTCAGAGGGAGTGTGGCCCCCAGCTCTGCTAGGTTAGGGGAGCTCCCTTGGGAAAGTGTGAGGTGGCCTGCTGTGGTGAGAGGAAGTGAAGGAGAGAGTTTTATCCTATTTGAGCTTTAGAAAGATCCCCTGGTGGCTTGCATGGAGAGGGAGGATGAGGTTTGAGGCAGTTAAGAGGCTTTCATAATAGTTCACCTTGGAGATGCTGAGAGCCTGGCCACAGCCCTCACAGGGCAGATGTGAGAGGGATGTGGGGATTGATGGGGCTTGGATATTGCTGGGGCAAGGTGTGGGGGGAAGGACGGGGGAGTCCAGATGACTCCTAAGTGTCTGTGGTCGCTGAGAGATATGACACCATTAACCATAACAGAGAGCACAGGAGGAGAATGGGTTTAATTTCATGCATCTAGACAGCGGTGAATGAGAGACCCCCAGGGAGTGGATTGTGAGCGGGGAAGAAAAGAGGGACAAGGGGGACCATGATGGGACAGCGTCTTCAGGGAGCTAGTGGAGGACGAGGACCAGGTGATTGAGAAGACCTCTCACCCTTGTCGTCCAGCCACTCCACACATCTCCCAGGGGCTGGGGTCCCAGGCCATGTGGGACTACCAACATTTGCTTCCTCTGCAGTCCCTCCAGGTCTGCACAGCTCTCCTTGTCTTTCCAGAGGGTGCTCAGTCATCCTTCAGCAATCTCCGAAGCTCTCCCCTAAGTGGGAGCAATTGTCTCCTCTGTGCTCCCCTGGATCCCCTGTGACCTCCATCGCTGCATCTGTAACACTTTACAGAATGTGCTGGTTTCCATGGCTGTTTCCTCCACCAGCCTGTGAGCTCTGTGCCCAGCCTTGCACAGAGTAGGTGCTCAATGAGTGTGTTCTGGATGAGTGGATGGATTGTCCAAAAGGAAGGAGAAAGAAGCAAAAAAGGATGTGCCCACAGAGAGAGAGAGAAAGGAAAGAATTTTCAGTCACAGGAACCACATGCGCCAAAGAATAAAGTCAGATGAAAGCTGAGAAGCATTCGTTTCAGTTGGGAGGTGTCCTTGGCAAGAATAATGTCCCTGGCTAGATGTGGGCAGAAACACATTACAGCAAGTTTACGTTAAAGAGTGACTAGGAGATAAGAAAGTGGGGACACTGAGTGCAGACCTTTCCCCCCACCCCCAAGAAGTTCAGAATAGAAGAGAAAGGGAAAGATAAGGTGATAATTTCAAGTGACATAGATTTTTAGACTTGAAAGGAAGGAGCAAATGGGGAAAGAGATGCCTATATAATGCAAAGTGAATGGGTGCAAGTGATTGAGATGGGAAAGGATGATCAAGAGCAGAGGTGAAGGGGTTGGCTTTGAACCAGAAAGATCTGAAGTTAGACACTGCCTACCCTATGAAGGACGATGGTGAGGGGAAGGGGAAGAGGAAGGGAATAGGTTAGAGTTGAAGGAGATCAGGGAAGGCTGTGAATAGGAGAGGAACACACACACATAAAGACTCATGACAATGCGGTGCATCCACAGGAGACTGGAAAATCACACTAGACCTCCAATTGCTATGGTTCTATGATGTTCCATAGAACCAGTTCCATCTGGAACTGCTCTCTGGGCCCGCTGCAAAGCCACCATCTGGGACTCTCCTTTTCTATCATCTGAGGACTTAGCTTTTCCATTCTCCTGTCTGGAGCCCTGCTTCCTGGGATCCATGTTTTCCTCTTTTTTGGATTTCTTCTCCACATCTTCTGCCACATATCTAGGGGCTTCCTGAAATGCTGAATATACCTTAGAGGTCTAAAAATGTCTTTAGTCTATCCTTATACTGAATTTGTGGTTTAGTTGGAAAATCAATTCTAGATGGAAAATACATTTCCCTCAGAATTTTGTCTTCTGACTTCTCCTGTGGTTATTGAAAAGTCAGTTGTCATTCTTAATTCACATCTTTTGATGTTATGTTTTTCTTTTCTGCAAGAATTTAAGATATTATCTTTAGCCCTGTTTTTCTAAAATTTCATGATGAGGAACCTTGATGAGAAGTCTTTATTTAATATGTTGGGCAATCAGAATCATTTCAAACAGGGGACTCATGTCAGTTCATTGGAAAATGTTTCTGTAGCACATATTAGATTATTTTCTTCTATTTTTGTCTGTTCTCTGTTTCTGCAATGTCCACTAGATAATTGTTGAACTTCTTGGATTGTCCTCTAAATTTATTTTCTACTTTTCATCTTTGTCTCTTATTTCCTTCATTATGGGTGATCTCTTTGACTTTGTCTTTCAATTATCCTATTAAATTTTTGAATTTAGCAATCACACTTTTATCTTCCAAGAGTGTTTTCTGTTCTTTGTTCTTTTTAAAAATTACATCCTTTTTTTGTTCAATGGCTGCAATATTTTCTCTTCTACGTTAAGTGATATTAATTAAAGTTTTTTGGAAAATTTAATCTGCTCTCTGCATTGTTTTCTTTAGTTTTTTGTTCTATTAATTTTCGTTGTTGTTTTCCATATTCCATGATTGTCATCTATATCACCAAAAAATCACTGGAAACTATCTCTCTCTTTCTCTCTCTCTCTCTCTCTCTCTCTCTCTGTGTGTGTGTGTGTGTGTGTGTGTATGATTCATATTAGGGGAGGAGGACTTATTATTGGCTTTCCTGTAGGGTGATCAAGCACCAAGCAGGATATAGATCTTTTTATTTTTTGGTGTGAGGAGACAGGAGAATTCTTTCTTCAAAAAAGTCAGCTGCTTACCAGGATCTCTCTCTCTCTTCTCTCTCTCTCTCTGTCTCTCTCTGTCTGTCTCTTTCTCTCTCTTTCCTTCTTTTATCTCATCTCTATTGTTATTTGTATACCTACCTTTTTTGATTCTTGGACCTGGGTGGAAAAACAGAGTTAGAGAGTGTGTTTCTCACTATTCAAGATAGAGAATTTCATGTCTGTTTCTAACTGTGAGACTCGACTCTGTCTTCTGCTTTTTCAGGTGTTCCTGCACTTGTACCTGTAGCTTTTCCAGTTCAATAGAACTACAGGATCAGCCTCTGCTCCACCATCTGGGCAGGATAAATAGAGAGGTGGCTTTTCAGGGTTGGAGGAGACCTGGGGGTCTAATTGTTCTACACACTGACTTCAACCAACATCTCCTTCTCAGCTCAGCCCCTCCACTGTCTCTGAGGTACCCAGTGCCTCCCATCGCCAAGCCTTCTGCGGGCTTTGCTGGGTGAATTGGCTCCTGCCTCACAGGCACCCTCTGAGGCTCTCAGAGCACAGCTTTCTCAACTCTGCAAGGACAGTTGCTGCTCCTCTTTTCCCACCCCACCTTGAAAAAGTGGATTGAAATATCTTATCTGCTACTGACTCCTGTCTCATTCTCTGTTTCCCTGCTGGCTTTTATCATTTATTTCATCACATTAGAGGGTTTCGCACGCTCAATTTAGCATTTTAATCAGAAAACCTAGTATACATTTTGGTACAAAAAAAATGCTATGCAATCTGTTGTATGCCCATTGTTGCCTAATGTGGCAGGCATTCCATGAAGACCTGTTGACTTAATTAGTAATTCCAGGTCTGACACATGGAACTATCAAGTCCAATGCTGATCCTGGGGCACAAGGAACAGAGGATCCCTCTGGGAGAGAGGGAAGGAGGCCAGAAAATAGATTTCCATAAGGTGGGTAGGTAAGAACTGCTCTTCGTTCTAGATATTAGTTGATGAGGAGTGATTGGAACACTTGGTTGGTTTTGCACCTAATTTATCAGTTTTGGACAAATTGGCTGTGCCATTTGGACTGCACAGTGAGAGCTGTGACTGGCTAATATAGGAAGGAACACCGCCCCTAAAGTTTTCTGCCCGTTATCCTTGCATTAGGGCTATTTTCCAACCACTTGGAATTAAGCCATTAAATCAACAAGCAGATTGGAAGCCCTACTGAAAAGAGCCCATGAACCATGATGGAATGCACCTGCAACATGATGGAATGCACCTGCACTGTGATGGAAAGCATCTGCACCATGGTGGAATACAGGGGTCATAGCCAGGCATCTAGGGATGACCTCTGCTTCCCTCTGACTGGCAACAGATCAATCAGACTTATGTTTCCCCTTTGTCTGGGATTTCACAGGGTCTCTGGGGAGATGACAGCCATAGGAAGTTTGGGGATGATTCTCTGGCCACAAGTCCCTTATAGTCACTGATGAGAGCCCTGCACAGTGGATGGCTCTGCTGTTTCCATGCCAACATTGGGCACAGGGATCTTGGCCAAGGTTCTCAAGCCACTGACTCCATGTATGTTTCCCTTGGGCATCAGGATACTGGAGCTTCCATTGGAACTCAGGCCACCCTATGGAACTGTAGGGATTGGGGCTCAAGTCCTACTGCTCCAGGATGCCCATCTCTGTCTATCCCCATACATCACCCAAGGGCCTGGGAAATTCTACCCTTCCACTTTAGTTGGTCTCCATCTCTTGAACTAAATCTCATTTGGGGGTTGCCTTTCATGTGTTTGGTATCAGCTTCTGTTGTTGTTTTTCCTCAGAAACATAAAATACTCTTAACTCTACTGTCAGGCACTGGGAACCAGACTGAGATGAAGATTAGCTAACATCTAACTTCTTAGTTTTGGATTAGGGTTTCCAATTATTTTCAGTCTCCTACTGAAACAGGAATAAAAAGCATCAGTACTTTTGGTATTTGACTAAACTCTGCAGTTGGAAAACCTCATTAGCCATGACTTTTCCAAATGTATTAGGCCATAGAACTCCATTCCCCTCTTAACATTTATTAACACCTGTATCAGTTAGGGCACCCATAGAAAACAGCTGGCATACTCACCCTGGGATAATTTTAAGATGCTTAATTTACGAAGGGACTGATGACAACAGTGTGGGCAGCATGTGATGGATGGTGCATGGCCCTGGGGCCACCTGCATGGAGCTGTTAACACCCCACCCTGGAGAGCTAGGAAGGTTTAGGGGAATTTGGCAGATGGAATTTGTCTGCTCTGTCAGTTAAATCTCCCCATCTGATTTCTGAGTGCCACTGCTTTTTTGCCAGTGCCCTTACCTTGTCATCAGAGGTCTGGTAGGGATGAGAGTTAACTGACTCCACAGCTCTGCAGCCCTTACTCTCAGACCCTGGGCTTAGTCCTCACCACGTCTCCTCTGTGACTGTAGGAAGTGAGAAACTTCATCACTGCCATGGGTCTTCTGGTCCTCCGAGGACGTTCTGAATTGCATGCTCATGTCCTCTAGGGCCGTAAGAAGGAGGAGTGAGTGCAATTGGCTGCCTGATGCCCATTCCCAGACACGTGGGATCCCAGGACATGGGGCTCAGCCTGCAGTGCAGTGTCCAGAAGCCCCACCAGGGTACCGGGGTAGGAAAGGTTACTTCTCTAAAAGCTCTGGTTTCTGGAACTAAGGGTGGGGCCTAGGAGGCAGCATTTTCATCATCAGACAAGCTGTCGTCCTGGAGAGATGAGGCAGTGAGGGAGGCACTGAGGATAAGGCACTGGGGAGGCAGAGGAAGATGGGGCAGGAGCAGTGTCCTGAGTTGGAGATACTGGCTGGGATTCTTTCCATGGGGTTCTCTGACCAGCACATGGGGCTCTGGCCCCACCTGCTGCTAGGATGGAAGGTCAGTAATGCTTTTTCATGGGGTTTTACCGCTTATCTTCTAAGCATCTCTCTCTCCTTTGCCTTTCTCCTTCCCGTTAATTCCCCACGCTTTTCCTCATGACTGCTTTGTTTGTTTCACTTCTGCCTGTGTCTTTTCCTAAATCTTTTACTGTCTCTCTTCTTTTTTTTCAGCTTCTTTTCCCGTATGTGATACAATTATTTTTATTAGCCTGTGCTATCTATATATTTAAATCCCAGATGTGTATCTGCTAATTGTACTTTTAGGGAAATAATTATGCAAGTTAAGATGATTAGATAATGAAAGTGTTCTCTGGGGCTGGCCTCTTTACAAAGGAATGGTGATGGGAACAGGGATCCTTTCTACTGAAACTAGCAGGGCGGTTCAGTTCTTATTAGGACACTTTTGAGACATTTGAGATGTAATCAGATCACTCCCAGGGCTTGGCCAGAGGGCTAACTCTGGGAGCTCATCCGGTGCACAAGATTGGATATCTTGTGGCCTCCCAGGAAGGCAATGATCAGAGAGCTCCATGATACATGGCTTAGGTCTTAGGACCCCATGGAATTCCTAGATCCATATGAAGATTCCAAAGACACTTGGAGTTTCTGAAACTTGAGCACACACACACACACACACATGCACATACACAGCAAGATTTGGCTTCCCTTGGGCAGAGGGTTTTGTAGATGCGAAATTGCTGAAACGTTATCAACTCTGGAATTGCTTCATTGTACACTAATGGTGGCCATAAGCTTCCTGCTTACTCACTCTTGGCATATAATAAATGTTCACAAGATACATGCTTTCCTTCTCTGGATTCTGCTCTTGATTCAGAAGGGTGGCCTTGCCAGACATTGCTGGCACACCTGGGCCGTCACAGGTGCCTACCACACCTTCGCGTCCAGTCACTTGCTGACCTGACCTCCCCAGGCAGGAAGAGGTGGTGCTGGTGCTCTTATTCCAAGATGAGGGGGCATTGGGAGAGGCTATGGCCAGGGGATGGCCCAAGTTAAGAAGGGGCAGAGAGAAAGGGTACATGTGATATTGGGTGTGTAGGGGAACAGAGAAGTGAGTCAGGGAGAATGGGGTTCTCTTGAGGATTGAAGAACTGGCAGGAGTAATTTCTTGGAAGAATAAAAGGGGATGGGAGATGATCCTGGTTTAGAGCCACTATTTTGCAAAGGGAGAATTTGATACTGAGAGGGGACACGCTCTTCTGCAATGGGACCTTGACACTTCTCCATGAAAAAGTGGAACAAATTCCTCTCCCCTTGAATCTGGGTTGCCTTTAGTGACTTGCCTGATCAACAGAATGTGGTGGAAATGATGTTCTGGGTTTTCCAAGGCCAGGTCCTAGGAGCTTTGTGGTTTCTGCTTCTCTTCTGTAAACACTCACCCTTGGGGACACTTCCTCTCAGAACCCACTCCTCAGTGGGTGAAGTCCAACACACACGGAGAGGTCACATGAAGGGGCTCTGCTTAGTGCCCCACCTGAGAGGCTGCCTGGCAGCCAGCATCAACTGACAGGCTTTGGGAGGGGATCTTAGATGTCCAGCCCAGCTGAGGCTTCAGGGCACTCCACTCTCCTGGGATGGAGAGGGTCGGGATAGGGCAAGGCCTGTGGTGAGCCAAGTTCCTGGCCTGGGCTCTGAAGGCCATTGCGCCTGAGGCTTCCTGCTCATCACCAGTCCAACTGAGAGCTCCCCATTTGAAGAAAAGCAATGTCTGGCTGATCTGGGAGGCAGTTGTCTCCATCCCAGGGCAAAGGAAGCATCAGAGGGAGGTGCTCAATGATGAGAGAACATCAAGTTGCTTTTTATGGGTTACATTGCATCTCCTCAAACTTATAGGTTGCCATCCTAACCCCCGTGGCCTCAGAATGTGACCTTATTTGGAAACAGGATTGTTGCAGATGTAATTAGTTATGATGAGACCATACTGGAATAGGGTGGCCCTCTAACCGAATGTGGCTGGCGTCCCTCTAAAAAGGGAGAAGGCCATGTGAAGTTTCATGCAGTAGTTGAGGGAGTGCTTCTGCAAGACAATGAACATCAAGATTGCCAGCATGCCAGCAGAAGTTAAGACGAAGCATGGAGCCGATTCTCCTGCATAGTCCTCAGAAAAACCAACCCTGTCCACACCTTGATTTTGATTCCAGCCTTCAGAACTGTGAGGCAATAAATTTCTGTTGTTTAATTAAGTCACTTCGTACTTTGTTATGGAAGCCCTAGAAAATGAATACAATGTTAAATAGGTCAATGAATAGAGTCTTGAGATTAAAATAAAAAGATGAAAGGGGACAGGGAGTAATGGTTTGGAGGAGGAAAAGGTGAAAATGTAGGTGGGGAAGCCCTGGCGGGAGAACCACAGCATAGGCCCTTGAGACCGTGGACCCATGTCATGCCATCTGCAGTAGAGAATCATGCATCCTTTGAGAAATAGGTCTTGGCATGTTACTGGATGCTAGTGAAAACATGGATGGACACCAAGTGACAATGCATCCAGAACTGCCTGTTATGAGCTGGGCTCTGTCACAGCTACCAAGTTATAAAGTCAGACAGGCCCAGTAGCCATCTATTGTGGTGTGGAAATATTACATGTGATGTTGAGCTTGAGTAGGACCTGAGGGTATGACTAACCTGCTAGACCTCCTGGTCACCCACCACAGTTGGACTTTCCCAGCTTTTGCCTGTGGCCATAGAGAGGAATCCTGTATGATCAGCTGGAAGACAAGGCAATATAGTTTACTCTTGGTTTATAGGTGGATCAACTCTACATGGGTGCAAGCCAAAAATGGGCAGTGGCTGCATTTCCCCCACATTTAGGGTGACCCCAAAAGGCAGTAGGGAGGGAAAATCTTCCCAGTGGGTGAAGTTTTGAGCAGTGCACCTGGTCATCTACTTTGTATGGAAAGGAAAGTGGTCAATTACCTGGTTAGGGGTCAGAAAAGGAAAGGACTAGAGGCAAGGCAACATGGGTAGAAGCATGTGATAGACATATGGGAATGGGTACCAAGTATAAGGATTTTTGAATCATATGTTCACCATGAAGTATCTGCTATCAACTGGGTAACTGAGTAGACAAAAGGACTTGACCTGTTAACCTTGGCCAGTGTTTTAGTCTGTTGAGGCTGCTATAATAAAATACCATGAACTGGGTGGCTTATAAACAACAGGAATTTATTTCTCACAGTTCTGGGGGCTGTGAAGTCCTAGCCCTGGGAACCAGCAGATTCCATGTCTGATAAAGATCAACTTCCTGGTTCATAGATGGTGCCATCTTGCTGTGTTCTTACATGGTAGAAGAGTAGAAGAGGAGAATGAACTGTCTGGGGCTTCTTTTATAAAAGCACTAAACTATTCATAAGGGGTCCACCTTCATGAACTAATTATCCCCCAAAGACCCCACCTTCTGATATCCTCACCTTGGACGTTAGGATTTAAACAAGAATTTTGGAGGGGATGGGGGTGCAGAGATGTTCAGTTCCTTGCAGCCTGCCTTCATAATCAGCCACCCCACATTGACACGATGGACTCATGAGTGGAGTGGCTACAGCATTAGAGAGGAAGATATGTGTGAACTTAACAGCATGGACTTCCACTTACCAAGGCTTATCTCGCCACTGCTGCTTCTGAAGGTCCACATTGTTAGCCAGAGTCCAATTCAACCAGGCACTATTTCTCAAGGAAACCAATTGGCTACTTAGTGAGAAGTTGACTACACTGGTTCCCTTCCATTCTGGAAGAGCCAGTGAATCCTTCTCCAGGGAGAGATATCTTTTCTGGGGCTGGGTTTGCCTTTCCTGCCCACAAAATCTCAGTCAGCATTTTTATCTGGGGGCTTTCAGAATGCGTGATTCATAGGCATGGAATCTCATAACAGCACAGCATCTGACCAGAGGATCCATGTCACCTTGAATGAGGTGTGAGGACCATAACTAGGGAATGTAGGTCTCATATAATGTGGGACCATAACTAGGGAACCAATGGTTTTATCACAGACTCCTGCTCATAGGCAGCCATGCTCTTGCAACACTGGGACAGCCCTCCAGAGGCACAGTTGAAGCCCCAGCTGAAAGGAAACATTCTGAAGGAATGAGATATCATTATTCATGATGCAGTCCATTTGTTAAACCATTGGCATTTATGGTACTATGTCTTCCATAAGAAGGAAGCAAGGGCCCCAGAACAAACCTGTAGAGGCAGGAGTGGCTCCACTTACCATCATAGGAGGAGTCATGATCCTAGCAGGGGCAGTGTCCTTGATTAGCAGGAAGAATCAGATCTGCTTTTACACAATAGGAACAGGAAAGAATACATGTGGAATCCAGGTAAACCACCAAGATAGCTGAGGTTGAGGAAACTTTAAAAGGGACAGTGGGGAAAGGGGAGAATGGCATTAGTTATGGCCCTAAGGTCAATTGCAAAGAGGGGGCAATAGTTCATCCTACTAACCTCCCTCTCCTGGTTCTTACTTAGGAAGAAAGGCCTACTGGACTCATGAAATTATGAAACCAGCTGCTGCCCAAATCTGTGTGGAGAAGGTTTGCTCAGTGCAAGCGGTGGACTGTAGCAGCCATGAGAATGTGCCTTGAGGAATTCTAACTATAGGGCACATAAATAAACAAGAAAGGCAGCTGCTGTGTCTCTGAGATCCAGCATCCCATTTTCACAAAGGCTACATTTCCCATGGGCTGCTTTCAGCTAAAGAATGAATGTGGCAGGTACACTAAGGAAGATGCATTCTTGGGAGGCAAGGGACTCCTCTGGTGACCAGTGTTGGCTTGAGGACTCCTGAACTTGCCTTAGATTGCATCATTCTTTAGGATGCTTCCATCTAACCTTCTATTCCTCTGTCCTTCCTTCAAGGTCAGACTTGCATCATGGTCTGACTGTTCTTACAGCTTTCCCTGGGCCCCTCCCCATTTTCTGTCACAGGCATTTCCCCTAAAAAAAACCCTTGCATGTTTAATGGTGTCTTGGCATCTTCCTCCCAGAGCACCCAGAATAACCCAGTCACTTTAACTCTTGCTCCATCCTCTGTAAACAGACCTTCCATAAAGCATCTCTTCAAATACCCTGCTGAGTTGCCATCTGTTTCCTGCTGGGACCCTCAGTGATAGAGATTGTTATAGACTATAAATGTTAGAGATTTCAAGGAAGAAAAAGTAATATTAGGTGGTGTGATGAGAATAAGCAGCAAGGAAGACATGTGTCTTGAGATATGGGGTTGATCTGGCATTACAGGTTGGCATTTCAGGTAGGGGTGTGCGTGTGTGCATGCATGTATGCATGCATATGTGTGTCTGTGCATGTAGACATGCATGTGTGTGTGCAACATAAACAAAGGTACAGGGAAGAAACAAGTACATGTGGCAGAGTTTGTCCAAGAGTCCACACCTCTTTTCTCAGGAGC
The DNA here is from genome assembly GCF_000001405.40 of Homo sapiens. Classification (NCBI taxonomy): domain Eukaryota; kingdom Metazoa; phylum Chordata; class Mammalia; order Primates; family Hominidae; genus Homo; species Homo sapiens. The sequence goes on along the minus strand of NC_000008.11, from coordinate 21,513,446 downwards.
TCCATTTGTGCCATGGGAGGAAAGCACCCAGAAATGCTTATTTCTCGATGTTCATTGTTTGGAATTTGCAAAGAAGTTTTCCCCTTTTCTTATTCATCACCTCATTGCCTGCATCTTTCTTTGTGCAGCCAGGAGCTCATGTTAGATAAGAGCTGGGGCAGTGGCCAAGGCCAGATGAAAATACAGAAAAGCAGGAAAGAAAGACAGAGAAAAATGAGTGCCTTGAAATTCTGGTGTCCAGAGCTCAGGATATTGGGGGCAACAGGACTAAAGAGCCCCATTTGTTAGAAGCCAAAGACAGGGAGCAGTTTCCTTCAGAAGTCAGAGGGTGAAGAGAGGTTGTTTTGACCAGAGGCTCGCAAAACATAGTTCCACAGAGCCAGGGAGATAAAAGTTTTTAGACATAGGCTTCTATAATTCAAGTATCTCTAAGATGTTACTGCTAAGCTGTGAAAAACCAGGTTCTATTTATTCCTTCACTCAACACATGCATATGGGGTACCTACCACGTGTCAGGAACTGCTCTAGGCACTGGAGATGCACTATTAAACAAGACAGATAAAAAATCCCTATCCTCATGGAGCTTACATCCTATTGATTAACAAATAAACCAATAAAACAAATAACATGTCAGAGGGTGGTAAGTGCCATGGAGCAAAGCAAAGCAGGAAAAGGAATAGGTTGTGCATGGGCTGGGGCAGAGACAGCTAGAGAAGGCCTTGTAGACAAGGCAATGTAGAACAGATACTTTAAGGAGTTAAAGGAGCAAGTTTCAGAGATACCTTTGAGAATGGTCCATGCAGAAAAAAGAGCAAGTTAAAAGGCCTGAAGGTAGAGGTGTGCTTGCTGCTCTTATTAAAGTCTGTCTATTTTGCATCCTGTACTAGTCTACCTACACACAGAAAAGCTTCTGTTTGCAAAGTCTTCAAGTTCTAGTGTTTTGCATTCCAGACTACATTAATGTTATCTAACTGTAGCATCTAAAAGTCACCAATGGCATGACAAAAAACATTATATCTCATTATAGTATTAGACTTGAGGTTCATTACCTCACAATCTGCATCAGTTTCAGCAGCAGATGAAACTCCCCAAATATAACTCCTCAGATGCATCTCCACTTAATCTAGAGACTTTGAATTTAAAAGACAAATAGTACCTTGGCTTTTGGGGTTGGAAAATTTGCATCCTGGTTCACTTACAGGCTGTGTGGTCCTGAATAGTTACTTAACCTCTCTAAGCCTCTATTTCTATAGATGGAGATAATAGCATCTCTATAGATGCTGTATCTATAGATGGAGATAATAGCAACATCTACCACACACACTAAGGAGGAAATCAGATGAGACTGTGCATTTATAAGTGTTTATGAATCATTGGCTTTTTTTTTTTTTTTGGTGGAGTCTTGCTCTGTCACCCAGGCTGGAGTGCAGTGGCACAATCTTGGCTCACTGCAACCTCTGCCTCCTGGGTTCAAGCAATTCTCTTGTCTTAGCCTCTTGAGTAGCTGGGACTACAGGTGCCTGCCACCATTTCCGGCTAATTCTTGTATTTTTAGTAGAGTCGGGGTTTCACCATATTGGTCAGTCTGGTCTTGAACTCCTGACCTCAGGTGACCTGCCTGCCTTGGCCTCCCAAACTGCTGGGATTACAGGTGTGAGCCACCATGCCCGGCCAAATTGTTGGCTTTGGTATAGCACAAGATGCTAAGTGAACTATTAGTCTGTTTCTTGATACATAACAAACCATGTCAAAAAATTAGTGGTTTGAAACAATAATCATTTATTTCCTCACAGTTTCAGAAAGGTTGACTGGGCTTAGCTGGCTGGTTCTTCTGCTGGTTTTTCTGGGGCCCACTTTTATGGTTGCAGTGATCTGGCAGCTCAGCTGGATGACCCAGGTTGGATTCACTCGCTTGTCTGGCCTCACTTACACATTCTTACCTAAGGCTTTTAGGTAAGAGTGATGTAATATGATGCAAGCCAGAGATTTATAAATGCTTGCACACTGAGATTTGCCCTCTTGGAACACTGCCACCACACTGTAGAAAGCCCAGGCTTTCTACTAGAGAGGCCACATGGAGAAGAACAGAAGTGATGTTCTGTCTGGGGTGTCTGGGTGTCTGGTTCTTCTCCACATGGTTTCTCCTTTTTTAGCAGAATAATCTGTTTTTCTTTTACACGGTGAGGCCGCTTTCCAAGATGAGAGTGGCAGCTGTTAGGCCTTTTATGGCCTGGGTTCAGAAGTTACATATAACTTTTGTTACATTTGACTGCCCAAAGCAAGTCACAATGTCATCTGAGATTAAAGGGGTGAAGAAGTGAGCCTCAGCTCTCAGTGGGAGGAACTTCAAAGTCACATAGAAAGGGATGTGCAACATGGATGGAAGAAATGGGCCATCTTTAGAAACAGCGTACCACAGTCTATCCTCTAGCCTCAGCAAATCTCTCCCTGTCATGTGCAAAATACATTCACTTTTCCCAAGACCCCCAAAAGTTTCATCTCATTACGGCATGAAGCTTGAAGTGTATTATCTCATGATCTGCATCAGGTTCAGATACAGATAAGACCTCTCAGTGTGGCTCCCCAAGTGCAGCTTCTCTTGATTCAGAGACTTTGAATTTAAATGACAAGCATTCTGTCTCAACACCCCTAAAACTCAGCAGTGGTTTAGGAACTGGATAGACCCAAGAGCCAGTCCTATTTAAAATGGAGAGACCAGGAGCAACAAAGCAGTTGCTGGTCTACAGCAATGATGAAGTCTATCTGATTACATGTTGATGTTGGCTTCCCTTACAAGGGTCAGAGAATGTTCCTTGATGAGAGTCTAGTTCTGCTCCCTGAGAGGGATACCTAGGCCCTTGTTTTCTGTAGCTCTTGGATCTTCTCCCTAGACTCTTGGTTCTATCCTCTAAGATGCATTTATTTATTTTTTGTCCCATAGGAAATTATCTGTGTTGGTAGCTAAGTAGCTTTCCCAGCCGGATTCTTACCCATAGAAAGTGGAGTCTCAGAGGCTTATCTTCTATTTGAGTTACTTCTTTCACTTTTAGTCCAACTTGTAGTACTTTCACTGATTAAAGGCTCTTAAAAATTTTGTGTTTCCTATGAATCTTATTGGGGTTCACCCCATGGCCCCAGTAGCTCTATCCATAATTATTTTTGAGACAGACTTTTCTCTTTGGGTGTGCTAATCTATTGTGGGACAATATATTTAAGACTGTCGGAAACCCCTTTGTCCAGCAGAGAGGGTCTCCTAGTCACTGCCTTTCAGAGGTTCACCAAAGGGTCTTATAAGTGCACACTTGATTTGATCTTTCTGCTGAGGTTATTTCTTATCTGAGAGCCTTTGCCTGACCGAAAATACTGGAAATCAGAACTAGTTTAATTTTTATAAACCAGTAAATTTTTGGCCTTTTATATTTCTTCTAGAACAGTCTTGAAAACTAAAGAGCTGGTTCTTTAGCTCATCCCTCTCTGCCAGTACCTTATCATACACAGCTGAAAGCATCTAACTGATGCTTTTAACATTTTGCCTAGAGATCTTCTTAACTAAATCAATACGTTCATTAAGTACTGTTTGTCTTTCAAGTTACTGCAGACAACATTATTGGCAATTATTCTGCTGCTACGTAACATGGGTTGCCCCTTTTCCAGCCTCTAATAACAATTTCCTCACTTCCTTTCTAGCATACTGAAAGATTGTTCACCATTTTTCCAGCCTTCAGTAACAACCTACTCAGTGACTTCCCAGCTCCTATCTGCTGTGTTGTCCCAGAGCCAATGCCACATGTTTTAGGTTTTTGTTATGGTGGTACCCCTCTACTAGATACAAATTGCTTTAGCAGTTATCTACTGCTGTGCAACAAATCACTCCAAATTTTTGTGGTTTCAAACAAGAACCATTTATTTGCTCACTCTTCTGTGGTTCAGTAATTTGGGCAGGCTTAGCTTGGATGGCTTATCTCTGTTCCACATGATGTTGGCTGGGCTCAGTCATATGCTTGCGGTCAGCAGTCAGTTCATCTGGGAGCCGACTGATCAAGATGGCCTCACTCACATTCATTCCAGTTGGCTGGGGCTAGCAACTGAGGTGCTTCTGTTCTTTTCCATGTGGCCTCTCTAGCAGAAAGCCTGGGCTTTTTACACTGTGGTGGCAGTGTTCCAAGAGGGCAAACCTCAGTGTGCAAGCATTTAGAAATCTCTGGCTTGCATCACATCTGCTGGTGTCCCGTTGGCCAACGAAAGCCACATGGCTGAGCTCAAAGTTGATGTGAGAGTGGATTAAACAAGGGAATGCAATCTGAGGGGCAGGATCCATTGAGGGGCCATTAATGGGACCATCTACCACCCTTGATGTCTTCATTGATCTGTTCTTGCTGGCTTCCAGACATGGTTTGTAATAGGTAATTCTAACACTTACTTCTATTTTGATCTTGTTCTCCTCTTCTTCCACGATTAAGGGAGGATTACAATTACTTTCCTGCCCCCTTTCCTGCCACGCTAGCTATGGCCTGTGGGTTATGGGTAAAGAGCTTATGTTTTTTTCAGATAGAGAATTTAGTTGCTGGAGTGAATACCTCTTGTTTCTCCATTCCTCCCATACTATGTGAGCCCAGAGATCTCTGTTGAGATTGTAGTTTCTTCTGGCCTGGGTAAGGAATGAGCGATGATCGCATGAAACAGAGCCTCTCATCCTTATCTCCACACTTCACACCTGTATCAAGATTTAGCAATTAACCTTTACAGTCTTAGGCTATTGAGACGTTGAGTTCTTTGTTTACCACAGCATAACCCAGCCCATCTTGATGGATACACAGCCTCAGTCTCTCCATGCCCTGTGGTCAGTTCTAGCTTCTTCCCTTGGTAGTTTTTGATATAACTCAAGCTCCAAGAAAGGGAGAAAGATATAGATAATTAAGTGTCTAATAGGAGAGATGAAGGAAGGGGGAAGGAAGAAAGCACTGGGCCATGAGGAGCCCATTGTTTATTTGCCAAGGATTTATGACATGCCTCCTGTATGCCTAGGCTTTGTGCACTGCCTGGGGTATGAAAGATGCATAAGGCATGCTCTGGAAGGGAACACAGACTACGGGGAGGCTGACATGTGAACAGTGAACCCCACTAGAGAGTGATGGCTACTGCCCAGGGGTGCAACTGATTCTCTGTTTCCTTCTGTAATTGGCTAATTGTCCCTGCAGGCAATTTCCATAGAGAAATTCCAGCTATGGCATCTGGCATGATGGCTTCCTTGCAGTAAGTGTGTGTCCAGCCTCCCAAGGTGACATCTTTGAAGGCCAGCATTCATCTCAATGCATAAGGCCTGTGATTTGTTGAAAAGTCAGTCTCATTACTTTATAATCACGTATCAGATTCAATCCTTACAGAGGACAAATATGGGGACAAAACCGAACACTTCTGAGGGCTGCAGTTTGCAATTTTGAGGCAGAAACGGACTGAAATGGGAAGGTGTTTTTGAACAGTCAGGGCCAGCTCAGAGCAGAGGCCCTGAGAAGGCTGGATAGCATTCCTGGCAAAGCTTCAAGACTCTGACATTGTAAAGCCACAGCACAGTAATGGGTTAACCCATGAGATGTTAACATCTAACTAATGTCGGCTTATGCATTTTACAGGGAGATCTGGCTTGGAATGTCTGGGATCAGCCTGCTGAGGCTGTTCAGGGCTGCTGGGGAGGTCAGCACAGGGTGGGCATTTCCTGAGGTCAGACTCAATGCAGATGAGGCTGGGGGTGTGTGGGGACTTAACCAAAAAGTGTAAGCCACGTGTAGGTTGTGGTGGGGCAGACTTTAACTAGATTTAATGGGTATGAATTTTACTCTACAACATGAGATATAAGGTAAGGATTTTTCCTTCTCTGATTCTAATTTAATTTATTCCCAGCCCGCATTCTACCAGGCCAATGAAAAATTCTATCTTAGTCAAAATGGGGACCCTTTTTCCCCACTCTATGCCTTCCTTGAGTTTTGGTCATAGTATCTTAAAAGCACAGGATATTTGCTGGGCACCTTCTGGTGTTCAGTCCTCACGGACATGTCCAATTTTGTAGCCCACCTAGTCCCTTGATGCTTAGCTGCCTCTCTGCAAGATGGCACAGAGGGCCTTTGCTATGACCAAGGTCCTTTTGCATAGGATAGGGTTGATGCACCTAGATGCATCCCAGAGAGGTGTTCCCAGAGTCCCAGCACCTCCCAGGGGTCAGGCAAGGGAGCAGGAAGTGGATCCTTGCTACTTTCAAGATCCCTCCATCTCTGTCCCGTCTCAGTCTTGTAAATCTTTCCCGCCCTCTCCAGTGTCTGGCTGTGTCCCTCTGCTGTCCAATCCCAAGCCCCAGGACCATCCTCTTTCCAGAAAACCTACTTCTTTGTCTCCAAGATCACACACTTTAAGAAACAAAAGTCTTTTAAGCCTGCCCTGTGGCAAAGGAGCACAGTTTCTAGGACTCAGAGCCCTCCTTTCTCCCTCTCCAGAGGAAAAAGAGGAAGGGGGTGGTACCTCCTATTCTCTCTAATTTTTCTATGGCTGTTGAGACCAAAATTATACTGTCTTTCCCACATATGCATTCAGCATAGTGTGGTGGTAAAGAGAGGAAACAAAGAATAAGTAAAACTTATAGACAAGATGGTCAGAAATGAAGCAAGCAGGTGAATGACTACTTCAAAGAACACAGAGCATCCAACCATACTCTCCACCTATGGGCACCCTCGTGGTCTTTGAGCAACTGGGATAGATGTAGAAAGGACCCAGATGGAGCTGGACATGTAGGAGTGTTAGGGTCCAGGAGGAAACTTCTATTACGAATGAGATTCATAAAGGCATGCTGTTCTATTCTGTGGCCTTGGACGAATATTTATCCAGAGCCTCCCATGTGACAGGCAATGTGCAGGGCATGCAAGGGCTTTGAGGGCCGGCAGAAGGAACTAGCGATGTGGTGGAGGTACAGGTACGAGGATGCAACAGCATGATCTCCATCGTGCAGACAGCTCTTGAGCCAGCTTATGCCTGTGTTGGCGACGGGGGAATCTGCCAGGAGACTCCAGACAGTGAAGAAGGCCTCCCTGGTCCATTTCTTACAAAGCCTCCGAAAGTGTTTCCCTAAAAGCCTCTTCAAACATGGTCATCATTGTCTTAAAGATAACTTTTCTGAATCCATGTTTCTTCACTTTGTAATTTGCTGTGATAAAATTGTCTTTCCCCATACCCTCTCTCCTCACACAAAGGGAAATTCATGTGGTCCTGAGGTTGGGCCCTTCTCTCCTGCTTCTGCTGAAATTGGAGAGTTGGTGGGGAGAGGCTCTCGGATTGCCTCCCACAACACCCCGTAGCACTCAGACTTAGATGGAGGGGGCTACTGGAGGGACACCCTGCCCCCCGCAGCACAGCCCTTGGAAGGCCACTCTACATGGTGGTTTTGCAGGCCCTCCCGGTCACTGGGGCCAGGCCACTCCTGGCTCTTCATTTCTTGGATCCCGGCTTCTTATGTTTTGTTTTGTTTGTCTTGTTTTGAGACAGGGCCTGTACTCTGTTGACAAGGCTGGAGTACAGTGGTATGATCTTGGTTCACTGTGGCCTCGACCTCCTGAGCTCAAGCAATCCTCCCACCTTAGCCTCCTCAGTAGCTGGGACTACAGGTGCATGCCACCATGCCTGGCTAATTTTGGCGTCTTTTGTAGAGGCAGGTTTCGCCATGTTGCCCAGGCTGGTCTAGAACTCCTGGGCTCAAGCAGTCTGCCTGTCTTGCCCCCGTAAAGTGCTGGGATTACAAGTGTGAGCTGCTGAGATTACAGGCATGAGCCACTGCACCCAGCCAGGGCTCTTATCTTTAAGACTGGATGTCACTGTTTCTTCTTCATTTTCCAGCTTTTTTTTTTTTTTTTTTCCTTAGCACTTGCCCCCTTCTGGAGTGCCAGAGCAGTGGTGCGATCTTGGCTCACAGCAACATCCACCTCCCGGGTTCAAACAATTCTCCTGTCTCAGACTCCTGAGTAGCTGGGATTACAGGTGCCCACCACCATGCCCCACTAATTTTTGTATTTTTAGTAGAGACAGGGTTTCACCATGTTGGGCAGCTGGTCTTAAACTCCTAATCTCAGGGGATCCGCCCACCTTGGCCTCCCAAAGTGCTGAGATTATAGACGTGAGACACTGGGCCCAGCCCCAGGGACAGATCTTTTTGTTCTTGTTCTTCTTGTTCTTTTTCTCCTTCTTCTTTCTCTTATTTGTCCTCCTCCTCCTCTTCTTCCTCCTCTTCATCTTCCTCTTCTCGTGGTAGGTCTAAAATTCCATGACATTCCAGACCACGGAGGAACACAGGTCCCGAGGCAGCCTGGAGTGAGGAAAGGGTCTATCAGTATTATGGGTTGCTATAAAAGGTTATATTTAATCCCATCTTACATGATTCATTATTATGATTAATTGACTACGCAACTAGAGGTGTAGAAGTGTACAGATAATCGGACCACTGGCTGGGAATGTAACCCTCCAGTGCACCATGGATTTTCTGTGAAGTTCAGATTCAGGCTTCATTAGTTTGACTCACGGTTCCTTTCTCTTGAGAGTTTATGAACTGGTTCATAACTGCATTTAGGTACACCTGTTTGTTAGTCTCTCTCAAAGCTTGGCTATTCTAAAGCATCTCCATTTCTGAGCCTGGATCTCCAAGAAGGGACCCCGAAAACTTGGCCAGTGACAGTGGGAATGGCAAAGAGAGCAAGAAGCTTGCTGCTTTGTGATAGCATCGATACTTCTATTTCATAGCCTGGATAGATGTGGGGATACCCTGTGACAGCAATGGATGAGAGGTCTCCAAATCAACATGATCAGTGTCCATAAGAGGGGGACAAAGCTGGGGTAGTGGAACATTTCCCTCCTTCCTGTGACCTTTTCCTTGGGGACAGAATATCTCAGGCTAGTTTTCGGGATAACTCAGACTTTCAATGTCTTACTCCCCCTAGAAAATGGCTAGGTAGAACACAGACCCACTACTGGGATTCAATTCTAGGCACAGTTAGGACATGTACCTGCCTTTTTCCCTCTTCTAGGGAGATTCTCTGTTATCATTTGGTAGAGGTTTGCAAGTGGCATGTGTCAGGGGAAGCCTTGTAATTTACCTCCCACAGTTGATTTTCTATTTACATGTCTTTTTTTTCAGTTAATTTGTTTCAGAGAAATAAAACCAAAGCATCCTGGTGCCAGCCTCAGAGCTGGGTTCCAATCATATGGGTGGCAGAGATGAGGCAGAAGAGGCCTCCTCAGCTCCAGCTAAGATCATGGAGATGGATGGAAGGTCAGAAACACCTATGCTACAGCAGATCTAAAGATAAAGAAACTGTTGCCTCTTTTCTGGAAACTTAGAGACTTTCAGAGACCAGTTAGCAAGCAGCAGCTGGAAAGTGAGACTCCACTGGGGCATTGTGGGGCTGGCAAATCTGTAGATGCGCTGGGCCAGGTCTTTCCCCTTGGCCTTTTTGCTCCTGTTCCTCCTGCAGTCATTAATTCTGCATTCTTTTCAGTGCCATCAGCTATGATGGGTTCAGATATGTCTTTGTCCAACTCCCTCTCAGATGCTGGAGTTGGCTGATTACACTGGGAAGCTGCCATAGAGATGTGGGGCTGTATCTCATTCTAGAGCTTTGGACAGAGTGCAGATGCAGACACTTCATGAGCTTCCTGGCTGGAGAAGTGGAGAAGAAAGGAGCAGTGTGTGGTTTTTGTACTAGTATGACCTGTGACCTGTTGCTCATTTATCCGCGGCATCCAAGGTACAGGTCAGGGTAAAAGGAGGAAGATAATAAAGACAGGGGTAAAGCTGGTGTTCAAGAGAAATGCATCAGGAATGCACTTGGAGGCATTGGTTGTTATGTGACTTATTACCTATCAATTAGTCCCTTAGTGCCTCTGTAAGCTCTGATGCTAAAGGCTGGAGTGTGTGTGTTGGCACTCCTCTGTTTGCAGTAATTGCTAGGTTTCACTGCCTGTCACATAGCAGGCACTTGGTAAATGTTTGAGGCTCTGGAAAGAACAATTCTATAACAAAGCAGCAAGTTTTCTGCTCTCTCTGCCATCCCCACTGTCACTGGCCAAGACCTTGGGGGTTCCTTCTTGGGGATCCAGACTCACAAATGGAGGTTGATTCAATAACTCCCCAGATATAACCAAAAGTAGGTGTTTGGTAGACACTTTGGATTATTGACTCTTTTCAGTGTCTGACAGACTGGGAGCTCCATTCCACTCTCCAACAAGGGCGACACTAATTCCGGAAAACAGTGAGTGGTAGCCTAGGCTCTGCCCTGACCCGCAACACTGGTTTGAACATTTGTTTCTGGTGAAATACTGTGTCTTGAAATTCTCTTCCTTGGATCACCCCACTCTCTCCTTAAGTTACTTTGTGCTCCTTTGTTCTGGATTGCAGCTTCAAAGCCACATTAATGCAGACGTCTGATCAGGACAGCTTTCTGCAGCTTGAGTCTTGGGAGATGAGCCTCTTAAGAAACTATTTTCTTCCTGTGGGCAGCTCCAGCGGGAGAAGTGATGGGAGAGGCAGGCTGAGACTCTTGACTCAAAAGAGGGATTAATTATGAATCTCATCCAGCTGCTCTATCCCTGTCTCAGCCTGTCCCCAATAATTAAGAGCTGACAATACAGCTGTTTTCAATGAGCATTTTCACCTGGGAAATTTAAGGTTCTTTAGAAACATCATCTGAAGATCCATCTTAATACCCTGGTAGCAAAGTGTAATGAACCCCCTGGATGCATGAATGTAAAATCACTTGAGAAAACATTAGAGTAGGACAAATGTGTTACAGTGGAAACAGTGTGAGGTTTAGAGGCAGAAGAGGTCTGATTTTGTGTCCTGGTTCTTCCACTCAGGGGCTGTATCATGTTGAACGAGTAACTGAAACTCTTGGATTCATTTCCTTGGCTGGAAACATGGAGTTAATAAAATACTCATGATTTAGTGAACATCTATTATTAATTAGCTGTAAAATGGGGATAATATAATAGCCATAACTTAGAGAGCTCCTCCTGTGATATGTTACATTTTGTTATCTGTATTTCGCTTTAATCTGCAAAAGATTTGAGCCAAATCTCTCTCTTAAACACACGTGCACATGCACACACACGTGTGTGTGTGTGTACATTTTTAAATTCAAGAGAATAAAATTGAAAAGTCAGGGTAAAAGTAGGAAGGTAATAAACACAGGAGAAAGGTGGGCTGACACTGAGAGATGTGCAGCAGGAATGCATCTGGAGGCATTCATTGACAAGTGTCTTATTCTTGATAATCCCTCTGTCTCCTTGCTTCCCATCTCCCTGTCTCATGCCCCCTGCCCCCAACCCCCAGACCAACCCTCAACCTGGTCACCATCCTTACAAGCAGAAATGCAGACACAGTCAATATTTACATCAGATTTGGCATTACAAAATAGATCTTTGAAACATATAACCAAGACCAACATTTCAGAGAAAAGGCTTGCTTGGGATCAAAAGTTAAAGCCCTGAAGGATGCAGGGCACAAGGTTTCTGGAAAGAACAGATGGGGAGCCTACTGTTCAGCCTGAGCTCTCTCAGGCTGGGGGCAGGAGAAGCTGATGTGGTTATGAAGATCAGACACTGCGCAATTCCCCGGTAAGGCCAGTGGCCATAGCAGAAACTACGAAGAGGGTGTGAATGATGGTAAAAAAGCAACAGAAACAAGAATGCAACAGGAGAGGCTACCTGGACAGCTGATGACCAGGGATATGGATAGATGCAACTCTCACCTTCTGTCTTGGTCTGCTCTGGCTGCTATAACAAAATACTTTAATCTACATAATTTATAAGCCACAAAAATGTATTTCTCACAGTTCTAAAGGTTGAGAAGTCCATAATCCATGTGCCAGCAGCTTTAGTGAGGGCTTATTCTCTGCTCCAAAGAGGTGCCTTCTTGTGTGTTCTCACATGGCAGAAGGCAGAGGGAAAAAAGGGCCAAACAACCTCCCTCGAGCCCTTTTCTAAGGGCATTGATCCCATTCATGACGGTGGAGCTCTCGTGACCTAATCACCTCCTACAGGCCCCACTTCTTAACACTATTTTATTAGGGACTACATTTCAACATAAATTTTGGAGGGACACAGACATTCAGACCACAGCCCCCTCCCTGCTCCAGCACTGTGTGGGCTCCTGAGAACATCAAAGCAACCCCAGTGAGAAAAGACAGTGAGGGAAAATACACCCAATGGGCTGGAAAAATCTGAATTGACTAGAAGCCAATTTGCATGGACAGGCAGAATAGAGGCTTGGAACAGAAAATGAGTTGAATTAGGAAAACTTAAGACAGTTCCATTTTTGCATACCTTCTTGCATGGCCTGAGAAAGTAATCCCTGTTCTTTGTAAGGTGTTTCCACCTGGTTTCTGATGTTGATCTGTGCCAGGATTAGCTAAGGCATCTTCTGTCTGAACCACCATGCCTCTTTGGGTCTATGGAAGCCCTTTCAACTGCATTTGTGGGTGGTGAACAGGAACATTTGAAACCTTCTCCTCTGTTCCTCTGGGACTGCAGAGAACCCAGGGAACTCCCTCAGGCCTTCTTTTTCTGTGGTGGCACCATGTTTCATTACAGCTGTCCTAGCATGCTGGCATGTGGGGTAAGAGAAGCTGCATGGAGAGGTGCCTCCCAGGCTGCACCAAGGTCTCTGCTTCTCTGGCACCCACAATCCTATTGGGAAGGAGAATGGGTATCAGAACCCAGAGTTCCAGGTGAGTGCCAGCTTGCTTCTCTGCCCACATTCCCATCCTCCAGTTCATGGCCAGAACAGGGTAGTGTGAAGCTTCACCAGTTATTCCATATTTATTATTTCTAGCATGCACTTTCTGCCATAATCCCTTTAGGGTTGTGGCATATGATGTTGACGTGCCTGGATGTGAGACTTAAAATGTATTTTCTCATCTATTCCCTCTGCCACGAACCTATTCTGAAGCTTATAAACTGAACCTCGGCTTTTTAAAAAATTTTTTTATTATAACAATGCTTCCCAGAGGTAGGAAATGAAGGCTTCTAGTATGGCTCGAATGGAGAATGAACAAAGACATCCAAAATATTATTTGGCTACAAATGCGTATCATATGATTGCTAGAGAGAAGACGTAGAGTTGAGTCTCAATGATTGCTAGAGAAAAGACATAAAATTGAGTTTAAGCTTCTCGTGGCCAATGTGAAAAGGAAAATCATTTCAGGATTAATAATGTTCAAAGATTGTAAAAAAGTAATTGCTTAGGGTTAGCCTGGCTTTTTCTTATTTGAGATGCATAAAAGTTCTATCAGGGATCTTCATAGAAATATACTGTTATGAAGTTGATTAACATGAGGATATCTTGACAATGGTCATAGCATCAAATTTTACATAGCCACTACTTATCTTCTAAGTGTGTCAATGACATAATGATGTAGTGTAAACCACCAAAATAATTAACAAGTTAAGACAACATTACTCAAGGACTTGACTCTGATAATCTTATTGACCCAAGAGTAAATTTAAGAATAAGTGGAGTACTTTTTCTCAAAATGTAGTCCACAAACATCTGCACCAGTATCTTCTGGTATGCTTTTAAAAATGTAGATTCCTGGTTCCCACCTATGATCAACTGAATTGGATTTTCTGAGGGTAAGAGCCAGGACTCTGTATTTTCAACAAGTGTTCTAGGTGATCCTATGTACAGTAGATGATCTAGAACAGGGATTCGTCACCTTTTATTTTGTGCCACGGACGCTTGACAGTCAGGTGATGCCTATAAACCAGAATAATATTTTTAAATGCAGAGAATCAAATACACATGATTGCAAAGGAAATCAATTATGTTGAAAAACAATGATCAAATTATTAAACAAAAATAAATTTGCGATAAATAATACATGTGCTTCCTCATTAATGCGTTGAATAACAAGATCTAGCAGCAGGTCGAATAAACACGATAGTTTTCAGGAAATGATGAGTATACATGATATTTTGAGATGTCTGGGACCCCTGTAATGTGATATGATATGAAAGTCTGCTATTTTAATTGGTGACAGAGTCTGAGGCACTGCTAATCCTCCTGTCATTTGTCACCTACATTCATAATTAAAGGAAGTTGGCGAAAAATGGAAGATACATTTTTTTCTTCTTTAAGTTCATGGGCCTCTCTCAACCCAGAAACCATAGGTTAAGAATACTTGTGTGGTGGGAAGGGTGGAGTGCATGAGCTTTGGGATGTCTTGCATAAACAGATGTGATGCATGTGCCCACATGCACATCACATATATGATACTTTTGTAACTCTGCCTAAGATAGCTTGAACAGAGGCTATTTAAATTTCTGGTCTCAGTGGGATGAGCATAGCTCGCCACTATTAGTATTTAAAGACAGAGCTGTATGCCTTGGTAATCAATGAGACCAGGAGTAGGTTCAAGGCATATTATGAAAAATAAAGGAGTCTGTTCGAAACATATGACTTGCTTTTTAGACCCAGTACTTTTCACTCTTCATCCATGAGTTCTGATCTATTCCAGAACATGCACACATCGGTGCAAGAGAGCCACGTTCTGTAACATGGACCATCACTGCAATAATCTTGACTTGGAAAGATTTCAAGGCAGGTGTTACCAGGTACTCCCTGACACCACAAAATGCCCAATAAAACTTACCAATGTTTTCCAAAGCGCATTCTGCAAAACATGTGTCTTCAAGAAGATGGTCAATAAAAAGGTGTTTTTTTTGTGTGTGTGGTCAAATAAGTTTGAGAAGTTCTGCATCCTAAATAGCTCCTCTTGGTAATTCACAGCATATTAGCAGTGCTAAAAAATGTACAGGCAAGGAGACCTGCTTCATTTTGTGTGGCTCAGTAGTTTTCTACCCTCACTGTGCATCAGAATGTCCCGGTGAGCCTTAAATAAATACTTAAAAGAGGCCAGGTGCAGTGGCTCATGCCTGTAATCCCAGCATTCTGGGAGGCCGAGGTGGGTGGATCACCTGAGGTCAGGAGTTCAAGACCAGCCTGACCAACATGGCAAAACCGTGTCTCTACTAAAAATACAAAAATTAGCCAGATGTGGTGGTGGGCATCTGTATTCCCAGTTACTCAGGAGGCTGAGGCAGGAGAATCGCTTGAACCTGGGAGGTAGAGGTTGCAGTGAGCCGAGATTGTGCTATTGCACTCCAGCCTGGGCAATAAGAGCAAAACTCCGTCTCAAAAAACAAAAAAAAACAAAAACAAAAACTTAAGAGATATCCACCCCTCAGAGATCCTGATTGATCTGGTCTGGGGTGGAGCATCAGGTTTTTTCTCAGGTTCTTTGGGTTCAGGGCAGTGGTGAACTCATCATTTGTAAAGCTTACTTTGCCATTGACCTTGCTTGAGGTTCCCAGGGTTGCTGTAACCAAGTACCACAAACTGGGTGGCTGAAAACAACAGAAATGCCTTGTCTGCCAGTTCTGGAGCCCGGAAGTCCAGGATCAAGGTGTTGGCAGGGCGAGTCTCTCTCTAAGGCTCTAGGGGAGTGCCTGCTCCAGGATTCTCTCCTGGCTTCTGGTGGCCGGCAATTCCTGTCATTCTGAGGCTTGCAGCTGCATCACTTTGTTCTCTGCCTTTGCTGTCACAGGGCGTTCCCCTGTGTCTCTCTCACCTCTTCTTATAAGGACACCAGTCCTATTAGGTTAAGCTCTCACCCTACTCCATCCACAATGACCTCCTCTTAACTTTATTACATCTGCAAAGGCCTTTTTTTTTTTTTGAGACATTCTCACTCTGTCGCCCAGGCTGGAGTGCAGTGGTGTGATCTTGGCTCACTGCAAATTTTGCCTCCCAGGTTCAAGTGATTCTCTTACCTCAGCCTCCTGAGTAGCTGGGATTAGAGGTGTGTGCCACCACACCTGGCTAATTTGTGTGTGTGTGTGTGTGTGTGTGTGTGTGTTTAATAGAGATGGAGTTTCGCCATGTTGGCCAGGCTGGTCTTGAACTCCTGGCCTCAAGTGTTTCTCCCACCTCAGCCTCTTAAAGTGCTGGGATTACAGGCATGGGCCACCACACCTGGCCGAAAGGCTCTATTTTCTAATAAGTTTACATTCAAGAGTACTTGAGAAAGCAAGGGTAGGACTTCACTGTATCTTTCCGGGGAACACAAGTCAACCTCTAGCAAACCTCCTTTGCAAAGAATTCTTGGAACACGCTTTGGGAAATGCTGCCCACTAGAATTTTAAATTTTGAGCAGGGTAGCTTCCTGGTAAAATCACCCAGTTGAATTATTTACACATTCTATTCCCTGGTAACTGAACCTTTTGAATTGCAGTAAAGAATCACTGAGGCAACAAAATGCTGAAGGTTGTTTTTCTGTAAAGATGATTTTGGTTTTAGAGGGGTTGATCTAAAGCCATTCTTTCTGACCCAAACGAGCTTGCCAGACAGATTGTCTGTTGCGACCACGCCCACTCTGGGTAATAAACAGCTATCATCAGCAGAGAGGTGGATACTTACCTATCTCTTCTTGTCAGTAGGCAGGCCTGCACGCCAACGCAGCCAGGAGTGGTAACAAGCCATTCAGGTACTTGTTCAAAAGAACAAGGCCCAAAATACATCTCTGTCTCACAGCCCTCGAAACCATTGCCTAAGCTTCGAGGAGGTGAATCCTATCTCCTGGATCTCCAAGTAGTAATTAAATGGAGGTTTTTAATAGTCTGGGAGGCAGAGTGACCCCGTGGAAAGACAGAACTAGGACTGAAACCTAGGCTCTGACTCTCACGCCTGTGCTTTTTTCATCTTTCCTCTGTATTTTTCTGAAAATAATAATGATACTTACCTTACAAGATTGCTATGAGGGTTAAATGAGATGCTGCGGGTCAAAGTGCTTTTAAATTATAAATTCAGAAAAAAAAACAGGATCATTACAGAAGATGATGGAATCAGCTTTAATGTTAGGATGATGATGATTATTATTAAGGAGCATAAAACTGATCATTGGCATTAGCTCTGGACAGCATTATGAAGTCAAGTTCGTGGCTGACCGCCTGCACACTTCCCTTTCCACAGCATCTCTCTCCTTAAATCTTACCTGCCCTTGTTAAATCTGGCTCTGTGGTTGACCTGCTGATGTGAGTTTGTGTGGTTCTGGCTGTATAAAATGGAGCTGCTGATTTGAACAGCCCTGTTATTAGGGTCAGAGAAGGGCTCTGGTTAGAAAACAGGAGGAAGCAGCTCCTTCCTGTAATCAGAAGACACAGCTTTTGGCAGGGGCTACAGAGAGGCAGAGGCACATGGAAGATGCCCTGCTTGCCCTTGAAGAGAACTTTCTTAGAATTCCTGCCCCTGAGAATCATTCTGGATCCTGGGAGGATAGGCTGTCTTGCCTCAGAGAGGCTGAGGTCTTGCCTCAAGAAGCAGGTTCCTTCCAAACCAAGTTAGGAAGCCTGGAGCCCTGGAAGTATAGCAGGAAATAAAGATAGCAAGGGCTGGGCGCGGTGGCTGATGCCTGTAATTCCAGCACTTTGGGAGGCCGAGGCGGGCGGATCATGAGGTCAAGAGATCAAAACCATCCTGGCCAACATGGTGAAACCCCGTCTCTACTAAAAGTACAAAAGTTAGATGGGCACATGCCTATAGTCCCAGGTACTCGGGAGGCTGAGGCAGGAGGACCGCTTGAACCCTGGAGGAGGAGGTTGCAGTGAGCCAAGGTTGTGCCGTTGTACTCCAGCTTGGCAACAGAGCGAGACTCCATCAGAAAAAAAAAAAAAAAAAAAAAAAAAGCAGCAAGGGCCAGCCATCATAGTAGCACAGGAGCTCTTAGTGGTAGATAGCCACTGGAGGGTGTGACAAACAAAGAGAGAAAAGTGCTGTTGTAAAAAACCCAAAAACATCTAAAAGGCAGCCCTTGGCCCAAATGTCTCCTCCACCGGCCTACTCCAGAGTCTGAATTTCCATCACTAGGAGTCCTCGTGGGTGCTAGAATTTCCCTGCTAAAATGAAAATATCCCTGGAAGTGGGTGTTTGGGTGGGTCAGGTCTTAACTCTCTC
Source organism: Homo sapiens (assembly GCF_000001405.40). Lineage (NCBI taxonomy): Eukaryota > Metazoa > Chordata > Mammalia > Primates > Hominidae > Homo > Homo sapiens. Next base: position 21,495,409 of record NC_000008.11, on the reverse strand, counting down.
TCAATCAATAATATTTGGAGATAGATTTATTTACTGGCTCAAGAGCCTTGGGAACCTTACAACTAGGTTGCAAGCCCCACAGTACCTATCCTAGTGCAGTCTCCAGAGCAGGTCCCTGGTAAATGTTTGTGGGGTCATACGTGGATTAAAGGAGATACAGACCTACTGTGCTATGAGGAAGAGGAAAGACCTATATGCTATGAGGGATGGTATCAGTGTAGGGAGTGCTACTTGGGGCCTCTAAGATTTGGGAAAAGAGAGATTCAAGAAGCTACAAAGAGAGGGCAGTGTGGCATAAAGGATTTGAAGACAGAATGATTTGGGTTTGTGTTCTAATTCTGCCACTTACTATCTGATCACATGGAGGTCATGCAACCTCTCTGAGCCTTGGTTTTGTCAACTGTAAAATGGGGATACTGATATCTCATAGGACTGCTGTGAAAAATATGTAGATGAGATGGCAGGTAATTTCTTTATCAACGGTGAAAAGACAGACTTACTATTATTATTATATAGGGCAGAACATGCTCAGTACTATTACAAGTAGTATTTGCCTTGAAGGGACACACGACACCATTGACTAGCTCTTGTGTCTGGGAGGAGTGTAGACATGTCTCACGGGAAATGTTAGTATACTGTAGTAGCGCACCGCACAATGCGGAATCTGTTTCACCTTAGAGTTCAAGAAGTGGGTTCCTGCCAAACCAAGTTAAAAATTCCCTTATCATGTGGATGCTGAAGAGAGAAGGGAGCTGTTAGAAGCCCAGACAGAGATCTCTGGTTAAAGAGACAGAGAGTTACAGCATCAAATGGCCATTCCCATCTCAGTAAAGCAGGCAGCTGGCAAATTTGCAGGGAACACTGGGAAAAGCTAAGCCTGGGGAGAAAATCGGATGAAGATTGAGGACTAAGGGAAAGTACTGAGGTCAGTACCAAGCTGTTGGGTCACAGCCTCAAGGGCCCTGAGGAAAAAGGGGCCCACCTGACTCTGAGGACAGCTTTGCACAAGCAGAAGAGAATCTTGAGAGGGCAGGGATCTTCCCACTGGTGCCATTGCTCAAGGTTATTCTAGCCGCACAGGGTGGAGAAGCTGAGACAGATATCAGAATTTCTCTATGGCCATATAATTCTCTCTAGACCATTATATGCTATAAATGAAACTGGTTGTCCCTCCGACTTTGTATGAATTCTCTTTTGACCAATCTATTTGTCATTTTGATAAAATCCTAAGGAAAAGACCTGCATATACATACATACATACATGTGTATGTATGTGTGTATATATATATATATGTATTATGTGTACATGTATATGTGTGTGTGTGTGTATGTATATATACACACACACACACACACACACACACACATACACACACACATATATATAGTTCTATGTGAATCTTACCGGGTTGGAGGCTACTGACAATCAAAGTTAAGATTCTGGTTCCTCTGAAAAGGGCCAGGCCAGGTAAGGAGCTTCCAGTAAAGAATGTCATCATAAACAACTCAATTCTGTGTTGGGGAGCCACTTATCACATGATAATGGAAACACAAAGGGCTAGAAACACACAATGAAGGATATATTGGCTTCAATTGGGAAACTAAGGCAAGCTCCAGGGAGGATGTGGAGCTTGCAACGGGTCTTAATAAAAGGCTGGGATATTGACATAGGGGCTGAGCTCAGGTCAAGAGCATGGAGTGGATTCCAGGGAAGATCGAGTAGAAGGTGGTTTCAGTTTGGGGACAGGGACTTACGTGACATACAGGTAGGATCAGGGTGACAACAAAAGGGTAGAAAGAAAAAGTGGGAGGGCTTGGGGACATCTGCCTTGTTGATGATTCTACAGGGCATGAGCAGAGGCTGAGGTCTTACTTCAGAGAGTCACAGGACTTCTCAGCAGGGAAGGGTGGATGGATGGAGCCAGGTCTTTGTGGACGGAAATGCGAAGACTTCCTGACTCGGTCAGGATTCTTGGATAGGATACAGAGATGTCCCTTACCCCTCGACGAACTTACACATTCCCTCTGAGTTCATCTTCACAGGACTTTCCTGCTCTGCTAAACAAAACAAAACAAAACAAAACAAAACAACAACGACAACAACAAAAGCAGAGTTTGCCATTTTTCTGGATTTGCCAGAGGGAGCTCTTGAAACTGTCACTGCAGATTATTTTTATTGCTGCTAAGCAGGTTGAGGAGAGTTGAAGGCATCCTGAACAGTGCGTGTGGAAGAGCTCAGTGCTGGAGGTTTCAGAAGCTCAGGACTCTCATCCTTCAGATGTCACTCACTGCGGTGTGACTATTTTACCTCTCTGTGTCCTCACCTGGAAGGAGAGAAGATTGCACAGGGTGGTCAGAAGAGCCCTTCGAGTTCTGGAGTCTGAGTGTCTGTATCCTCTCTACCAGGTGATGAGGGTGACCATGACTGCCCTAAACTGCATGACAAAGGCTGACTGATCTGCCTTGTGTATACACAGACAGAGTTTTGCTCCTAGAGCTAGTCTAGCATGAAAACAAACAAACAAACAAGCAGCTTGTTTTTAAAAACCTAGATCGCTTGATTTAACTTGGCTCTGGGTCTGCAAGTTAATGTTTTAGGAAGGAAAAGCTCCCCAAACCCCAGGAAAAAAGAGCTGCTGCAAAGATGGAGAAACACCACGTAGAAAGAGCGAGGAGAGAAAGACTTCGTTGGTATCTTTAGTCTTTGAAAATTAGAGGTCATCCTGCCTTGTCAGTGTGACCTGTGGGTTCCTGCATTCTGGGCGAGTTGAGTCGAAAAGAGTATGAGTCAGCCCCTCTGCTTTGCATTTTCCCAATGAAAATTTCCCTCAAAGAAATTCTAGTAGCGGAAATGATTGCGTAATTGCCACCTTGATCTGTTGTTGCAATGTTTTCCAGCTGCTATAACTATTTATTTCCCCTTCAGTACCTGTTTACTTTCCAGGAGGAAAGGGTGAGCCATAAAAAGGGTGGCTGAAGAAAGGTCATTTCCAGGAGCGAGAGCAATGCAGATTGCAATGAGGTGGCCCCTTGGTGGTCCTGCGAAGGACGGACAGGGTACTCAATATTTGCCTGTGCTGGGTTGATGACTCCACTAATCAGCCCATCTCTCTGCCCCTGGTAAGGACTAGCCATGGACTTTGCTCCCTGCCCTTTTCCCCACAGCCAGGATTGTTAACTGTAATGACCATGTCAAATGTCCATGAAAAAAATCTCTCTTCCTGGCATCCCCCAGTGGTTGTGTGACAAGTCCAGGTTACCTTGAAAGGAATGCAGAGGAGGAAAATCTATCTATCTATCAAGATGTGAGTCACCCATGTGATGTCATCTGAATCTCAACCTGATCCCATTAATTTTGACTATGTAAGCACATAAAATACCCGAAGAAAATAAAACACATGCAGCTATGAAAGACACGCGTGCTGCCACGGACATACACACGGACACCCACGCACCGACACACTGACATACACGCATTCACTGGCCTAATCTGCCCAGGCAGCAGGCAAGAGGTCCTATTATGAGTGGAACAAGTGCATGTGGAGAGGGATGGCTTTTTTTGGCAACGTTAATGAGGGTGACCTTCAGGTAGGGATGCACAGGCTGCATAGAACGGAAGGAAACACGAGACCTTGGCATCCCTCTCACTCGAAGGCATGGCAGGGTTTACACAATTAGGCTTAATTATGTCCTGCTCTGCTTTCAGTGAGTGTGTTCCTTGCAGGTGGAGTCTGGCTTTCCCTCCCCATGCATTCCCCAGGCTCTTTTCCTGATGCTGGAAACCCGACTAGCCTCTAGCTATGGTTTTCAGAAGCCAGGCGCGGAGGCCACCATGACTGTTGAAGGCCTGCCTCTCTGGCATTACCTGGGTCCTCTCTCTACCTAGAGAAGGCGAGTTGCTGATCACTGCCCAGTGGGTTTTTATGGGGCGTCTTTTTGATTGTGAGCACAGGTCTGTCAACAGAAGCCACTGGGGCAGTGGGCACTGTGGTCGTAACAGCACAGGGCTGAAGCCAGGAGATGCGCATGAGTCCCAGTGCTTCTCTGATCCTCAGTTTCTTCCACTAATAATGACAATTAAAAAAGCTACCCAGCCTACAGAGCAGCCACATATGCTGTACAGGCTGGGCACTGCGCAACTCAAGCATGTCTTGTGACTGATGGCAGGGGGCTGGAGCTGTGCAGAACAGTGGCCCGGCCTGCCTGCTTCCAAGTTGATGGGGTCACACAAGATCAGTGATTATTTACTGTCTGCTTCTCTTTGCTTCTGCTGATTTTCCTAGAATGTGACCTTTCACCTGCCTGGCTCAGGGTATATGCCCATCAGCTCCCTCTCTAGCGAAATCCTGCATCTCGCTCCTCCTGGTCAACCTTGCCTTCTTGATACCTGAGACCTGCAGTTTCCAAGCACAACAGAGAGGTGGAGAAATTTCCAGTATTTGTGGCTTTTCTGGAGCAACAGGGCTTATCTGGAAAATTCACACCTTAAGGAAGGACCTGAAGGAGGCAGCTTACTGCATGGAGAGGAGAACTGGATTCCAGGGTGGGAAGATCAAGCAGGTCACAGGACAAATAAGGACCCTGCACACATCTGCCCACTCAACGGATGGGTCGAGGGTTACGCTCCTAATGCCTGCCATTATCTGTGGTTAACCAGGCCTGGGACACAGAACAAATGAGATTCTGAACTCTCCTTTTAAGCAGGAGTTTTCACCTCCCCCTCAGTCACTCTTAGGCTTCTCCCTTTTCATCCTTCCCCCGCTATTAACACAAGTGGTGAACATCTGGGTTTGCCTTGGCTTGTGTGGAAGGGGCCAACCAGAGCAGGAAGCCACAGAACCCAGGCCAGGAAGAGTGAAGTGAGCTATTACCCTCGAGAGTGAGCCCAGAGGGGACACCTGGCTGCTTAGGAATTGGAAACGAGCACTGTAGGAAAAGGAAAAGATTCTGGGGACCTTCAGCCTTGAAGAGCTTCCTCACGGAGGAGAAACCACGCTTTTCCACCAAGCTGTGCAACAAAATTACCCCAGGGCTTTAGAAAAATATGGATTCCTAGAACCTATCCCCAGAAAATCTGATTCAACACATCTGGAGCAGAGCACTGGGAATGGATGTTTAAAAAAAATAAGCATGTAACTTTAGAATAATTTTAGATTTGCAAAAGCGTTGCCAAGACAATTTGTATTTTAGCCCTTTTTAAGTTGTGAAATATAAAGCACATATAGGTAAGTGCTCAGAACAAAGAATGGCTTGATGATTTATCACTAAGTGAACACCTGTGTCATGTCTACACATCCACAAAATAGGACACTGCCAGGGTCCAGGAGCTCCCCTCAGACCCTCTGTGTTCCTTCCCATCCAAAGTTTACCTCTGAAGCAGGCATTCCCAAACGCTGGCGTTTAATTTTTCATCCCTAAACATTTAATTTCATTTGATCTATTTTTGAACTTTATATAAATGTAGTCATAAAAAGTAGGCATTTTGGGAGGGTCTGGCTTCTTTCACTGAATGAGTTTCATTCATGTTACTCTGTATAGTCTGTTCTTTTTCACTGTTCCACCCTTACACAGTGCTAGCCAATACAGTAGTCACTAGCCACATGTGGCTATTTAAATTAAAATTAATTAAAATAAACAATTCAGTTTCTCTCTTGCACGAGCCGTATTTCAAGTGCTCAGTGGCCTCATGTGATGAATGGGTGCCATCTTGGACAGTGCAGAACGGAAAATTTCCATTATCATATGAAGTTCTTTTGGACAGCTCTGCTCTAGGATGTGCAATTTTATGAATATATCAAAATTTACCCATTTTACTGTTGACAGACATTGTGATTCCTTCCAGTTTTTGACTATTGTGACTGACACTGCTGAGAATGTTTTTGTACTGGCCTCTTGGTGCACACGTGCAAGTATTTATGTTGAGTGTATGCCTTGGAGTAAATTGTAGGGTCATAGGAGTGCATATGTTCAGCTTTAGCAGATAATGCCACACTGTTTTCTTAAGTGGCATACTAATTTGTACTTCCACAAGAATCTCTTTTCAAAAGCATCCCAGGTAATTTTGAAGATTCATCAAGTTTGGGATAATGGCTTGATTTTTTAAGGGATTTGATTTTATCTTTATATAAGAAGGAGGGTTCTAATGATCGGATTGTTTAGCAGTAGAATGGACCCTCATGAGAAATACCTCATCTGGTGGTGAGTGTCCTGTCTTTAGAGGTATTCAAGTTGATGCTGCACAACTTTCTGAAACAGCAGCTTTAAAAGGAACTCCTGGACTTAGTAGGAAGCCTTCCTAAGTGATGTATCAAATCCTTTCCAACTGTAAGAGTCTCTGATTTCATCCCTTTTCATGGCTACGTTTGGATGGATGCATGCTGGATAGTAAAATTCCTCATAGTTAGGCAGCAGAAGAGAGAAAGGGCTGATGCCAGAGGCCAAGATTAATCACAAATTGAATCCTTAGTCCCTGAATAATTGAGTTAGTTGTCCCAATGATCAATGAATCACCTCATGCTCACTCTCAACCTACTGTTTCTACTTGAGCTCTTGGGATAATGGGAATCATGACTTCTTCAATGTCACCCTTTGCAGACATTTATAGGTCCTCCTTATTTCTATTTTAATGGCTTTATTGGATATGTGCCTATTATTGTAATGGTCTCAAATCATTTCTGGAAACAGGTGTGGCATAAGTCATAATACTGTAAAAATGCCCTCCTCCACCATTGCCGGGCAGTATATCTTCATCTGTCTCCATGCTATCTCTCTCCACCTGTTCTTCTGGCCTCCTCCCTGCTGGAATTCCCTTCTACCTTGTGGGGTTTGGAAATGCAGGGATTATTCTAGGTCACAAGAGTAATAATCCTCCTGCCAAGGCACTCAAAAGGCTGCCCTTGAGGATAGAATGGCTTCCTTTTAACTCCCTTGAAGACTGAATGTTTCTTATAAGAATGCTGTTAGGGGATTTGGGAAAAGGTCTTAAATCTCACTGGGTATATTGGAGTGATGAGATTTCAAAGGGAAAATGAGAAGTGGGCAGATCTAATAACCCGAGCCTATGCTGGGCCCGTGCTCAGCAACTAGCTATGCTCCATGACAGAGCCTTCAGCAGAGTCCTGCTCTGGGTCTCCAGGGAGTTCACAGATGAACTTGTTGGTAATTTTCAGGTAAAAACCACCCAACCAGATCTCAAACAACCTGTGGGTGTAGCTACAACTGGGCCAACATAGAGGTGAGATTGTGGTGCTGCTGGTGGTGGCAGATCTTACTCCAGCTCTAGATTGGAAGTCAGGGTTGAGTTAGGCTTTGTCCATATAATTTTATGGATGGAAGGGTCCAATTGAGGCAGCAGAAATAACTCCAGAGAAATAGCACTGGGGCTTCCAAGGGAGGCCTGGAGCTCATCCTTAATGCCATTGGTTTTATCCTTAGAAGGATACAGAGAGAAGTTTGGAGAAGAAACTTGAGAAGTTGGCAAGATCAGACCTAGTACCCATGTAGTTTTCTCTCTGTGGTTTTAGCCTGTCACCCCACTTTTTTGGTCCTTGGTTTCCTTGAAACTTCAGAAACAAAGACAATCAAAGGAGTCTGTCTGAAGAACGACGTCAGTCCCAGGAGACATGCTCGGCTTAATTAGCTGGTACCCACAGGATGTTCTGAAAATGAGAAATGGCCAGGATTATTATCTATCAAATGTCAAATACAAATGCGCTCATGTTCCCATTATGGATGTGTGTGTTGCAAACTTGCTGAACCGAGTGTGACCCGTTGGGTGGTTTTAATTACAAATATCAATAAAATTGGTTGATATTTATGGGCACAGACCCTTCAGATCAGGGCGAAGGAAGCTAATTGCGTAAGACAGTGCCGTGATTGAACTCCAAGGGAGGCGTGGACTCCTGTTAGCTGGGTGCGAAGCTGAGACAGCTCCAGTCTCCCTGTGTTAATTAAATGTGATGAAATGAATATTAACTTGTAAAAAGAGTCAGAGACTTGGACTGGGTTTACTTGGTGGGTGGGGCTGAGGCTAGGGATGGGGGTTGTGGTTGATGAGACTCAAGGGCTATTGTCTTAGAGAGAAGCAAACATTAGCACAGAGTTTCCCAACCTTGGCTGCAAATAGAATCACCCAAGGGGCTTCTGTAGCTTACCAGTTCCTGCACTGCACTACCAGCAATTTGCCTGGGGTGGGACTTTCCCACGTTATTCTAATAACCAGCCAGGACTGAGAATCATTGATGTAGTGAAAACAATTCATGTTTTGGAGTCAGACAAATGAGACTTTGAACTAGCTGCGTGTCCTTGAGCTTCAGAGATTTTTTTTTTTTGTCTGTAAAAATGAGGTTAATCAAAGCTGCATGGTGCGTCTGTGATGTTAAAATGAGATCATGTGGGTGACGGGGCTTGGTATCTAGTCAGGGCTCAGAAAAAGTTAGATTCCCTTTTTTCCTTAGATGTGAGTGCCTGTGGGCCTGAGAATCTGGAAGACTGCAGGGGTCTGGTGGTTTAAGCCAAAGTGAATTCTTCTCTGAGCACTGATAGGATTGCCCATAAGAAGAAATCATCTCTTCAGCCTTCTCATCCTCCACAGGAACAGAAGGACACGTCCCAAGTGGCGAGCTGTGCAAGGCCACAGACACAGTGAGTGGGCTAGGAGGGGCGGGGCTGAGGGTGGAGGTCCTGACCGCTTGATTTCCAACCACACCTCGGTTCACTCCACTCGGGAGAAACTTGCCATTTCTGTCCCACTGTGAGGAGCCTTGTCGCTTTTGCTCATTTCCTAGGGCACCTGAGCCACAGTTTCTTGGGAGACATGATGTCCCTAGAAGCAGGGAACAGTGGTGTGACATGGAGCTTTTTTAATTTTTTTTTTCTGGAGATGGAGTCTCACTCTGTCGCCCAGGCTGGAGTGCAGTGGTGTAATCTTGGCTCACTGCAACCTCTGCCTCCTGAGTTCAAGAGATTCTACTGTATCAGCCTCCTGAGTAGCTGGGATTATAGGCATGCACCACCATGCCTGGCTAATTTTTGTATTTTTAGTAGAGAAGGGGTTTCACCATGTTGGCCAGGCTGGTCTCAAACTCCTGACCTTAGGTGATCCACCTGCCTTGGCCTCCCAAAGTGCTGGGATTACAGGTGTGAGCCACCGTGCCTGGCCAACATGGAGCTTTTAACTCGCTTTCTTGAATCTTCTTACCGTAACAGTCAAGGTCTTCCTGGTTTCACCCAACCTCTTTATGTGTCCAATCTTCCCTTCTTGAAACCCACACAATGCAGCTACACTGGGGTACTCCAAACCCCGCAACAGGCCCCCTCCTTCCTTCTCTGAGCATCTACTCGTGTTGTTTTTTCCCCCTTTCCTATGACATCTGTAACTCACCACCTCCAGAAAGCCAAAAAAACAATGCTTCCCTCTGTATGAATCCTTTTTTGAAATGCCTTCCTGTGGAGAAATGATGATGGTAGTGTGTATATCTTGCAGGGTGCAGGCCACACAGCCGTGTTTTGTTATTTAATGGTATCTCTGTCTCATCCCCATTACTGGACCACCAATGAGGCAGGTGTAGTGGAAAGAATTAGGACTTTGGCATCAGGGCACACCTGGGTCTGAATTTCATCCCTGTCACTTATTAGCTTTGCAATCCTAGGAGAATCATTTAGATTCTCTAAGCCTCTGTTTACTCATTAATTAAAATGAAGAAATAATTCCTATTTCTCAGGGCTGATGTGAGGATTAGTTTGATACATATTTATGAAAGACTCTGGCAAAGAAATGTTTTCATAGATGCCTGTAAAATGATTAAATGAATTGATATAAACTATATGGCATGATGTTTGAAAAAATTGCTCTCACTTTCCTCATCGTTAAAACTCGCATTTTGGGAGTGGTGATGGTGAGGAATATATGGATTCTTTTCCAGATGTTCAAATCACAAGATATGGGTCTAGGAAACCAAACTAAACTTTCAGTGGCTACTACAAAGCCTGCACCATTGTCTTTTCACATGACATCCTTAATACAACCCCATGTGGTGGGGATTATTTTTTCGGAAAGACAGGATTCTAATCTTGGCTTTGCCAGTTACTGATGGGCTTTGGCAAAATGGTTTGCCTGCTCTGAACCTTAGTTTGCTAATGTATGTAATGGGCAAGGATTCCACTCACACATGACTTCTATCCTCAGTAGAACGAATGCAAAGTTCATATGATAGCGCCTGGCATGTGGTTCGCACTCTACATAGGACAGTTCTATGGCCATCCTTATGACAATATTTGTACAATGAATAGTGTGTTAGCATCACGCATGGTTTGTGGCTAGCATGAGCAGTATTGTTATTTCAACCGTAGTAATTCTGTGCCACTTCCAGCCATCTTCCTGCTATATAACCCTGCCCTGGGCAGCCTGTCTTAACCCCAAGATTGCAGCATCACTGAGCAGGACCTTGTCATGGGCATCCATATTGCATCTGTTCAGAATTCTTCGAATTTGCCACGAGGAAAGCTCTGTCCACCCCTGTGTTTTGCAGAATCGGGCCTCACTCCCCTCTGGCAAATCCCCATCCGACTCTATATCCCTTATCAACCTGCTGATCACCTCTCATTTGTCATCTTTATTAGCTTTTAATCTCCCATCAGTTTAGTGCTGGAGTTTAAGAGTAGGATTAGAGGGGGGAATTTAATTGGATGATCCTCCATGGCCCCTTGAACATCAGATTCAATAAAAGTTTATGAAAAGATAAAATCGCAAAGGGTTTTATAGCCCCGGACAGAGCAAGAGACCGGTGCGAGAACAAGGTAACTGTTTTTCAACCCATATAATCCGTGTTTCAACTTGATTAAATGAGGAAGTTAGTTTTCCATCTCTCTCTCTCTTCCTCCCTCTCTTTCCATGGGCAACATTATCCTTTTCCTCCTGGCGTAAGCAAGAAGCCACTTTCTGCCAGGCGCCTCTCCCCTCTTGCTTTGATTTTCCCTGACAGGAAGACTAATGAAACCTGGGTGCACCAGAAAATAACATTTATTTCATGCAGAAATATGCTGAACCACAACTGAAGGTGGCTGAGGTGATCATTTGATGGGAGAGAGACTGGTTTTCAAGAGGGGAAATTGTGGTTCATGAAGATGAAGGGAGGAAAAGTGTTCCTCCCCGTGAAGTCCCTCCTATCTCAAACCCATCTTTCCCCAGACTTCCGCTCTCTGCTTAGACCATTTCGCTTCTGGTTCAGGCAACCAGAGCGTAAGGGGTGGGCTGGCATGTGGAGTCATGTGTGAATTCGTTCATTGATTAATTCAACAAATATTTTTTGCATGCATTTTACATGCCAGCCACTGTGCTACACAGGGAGGATAGAAAGGTGAATAAGACCTCACTGTGCTCTCAAGAGGGCAGAGTCTGTGGGGGAGATGGACAGTGTGAGAGGAAATTTTTTTTTTATTTTTACAGCCACCACTTTGATCTAAGGAAGTGATGACCTTTGGTGGGTTTTTTTTTTTTTTTTTTTTTTTTTTTTTTTTGTATTGATGTGATTCTACAGTGAGTTTGGCTGTCAGACCTAGGATGAGGAAGTGATCTGCACAATGAGAAGTGAAGAATTTGGGGCTCTTGGTGGAAATCTCGGTGGGTGTGAGGGGGATGGGAACAAGAAAAGGGAGAAGGTGGGGAGAGGGTAGAAATGGAAGCCAATGAATGAGTGTTAATCTTTGGGTTGAAGATTCTGGGGTGAAGATGTAATAAAACGTTCCAGGTGTGGATAACTGAAAGACGTTTAAAGAATAATCCACAATACTCATCGGTGCTTTGTGTGAATATTTATTTATTTACATGCAGTCTTTCACTTAGGGCAATAAAGGTAAAAAGCCCAGAATCATTGGTGACTAGGAGAATGCAGCTTCCCAGGAAGTCATAAAAATCCAAAAGTGGGCTTGAGATTTCCACTGGCCAAGAACTGGGGCCCAAGCCAATCTTAAAGGGACTCAGGTGACCCCAGAAGATGTGTAATTTACATAACTCGTATTGAATACCAGATGCAATAATGACAGTGGTACTAGGTAAAACCGGAGCTCGAAGGAGGGAGTGATTAGTCCACTTGGGGAAGGGAGGTGTGGATGGGCATCAGATAAGACTGCATAGAGGGGGCTGAGCTTGAGTTGGGCCTTGAAGGATGGGCAAGTGTTTGCTTGATGGATGGAATGGAAATAGAGGTGGGGCACAGGGCCCCTCAAGAAGAGGAGGTATACAGCAAGATAGCTTGGAGGCCAGGGAGCCAGAGGGATGTGAGGGGGGATATGAGAGGCTGTAGATACCAGCATCTGGGAAGGGGATGGTGGTGTAGTCACGGTGGCGTGGGTCACGAAAGACCTCTGATGTCAAGTAAAGGAGCTTGGATGTTGGTTGTTGGTGGAGGACTGCTGAATAATTTTGCTTATAGTAGGATGGAGTAACATTTCATTTCAGGGTAAGCCCCCTGGCTCAGTGTGGAGGATGACTGAGGGAGAGGGTGACACTGGAGTCAGGGGGACATATCTAGGGACAATGGCCCAGGGGAGACACAATGGAGGCCTGAACAGAGGTGGTCATAGAGTGGACTGGAGGGAATGGGCTGCAGGAGTGCTTTGAACAGAAAACAGAAAAGCTTTGTCACTGGTGGAACGTGGGGGCAGGGGATGGAGGAAGAAGTGTATCACTCCAGGCCTGTGGACGGGGTGCCTGGTGCTGACTTGTGTGTTCTCTGGGAGAGGGGATTCAGGGGCATGTTTAGATATTTGCAGAAATGCCTCAGTTGTGGATGTGTTGAGATTTAGGTGTCTGTGGGAAGATATGCTTGAAGCCACGTGAGTGAATGAGATGGTCCCGAGAGAAGGTATTGGGTAGTAAAAAGAAAGGAGAGAGGAGGGTAGGAAAGGAAGGGAAAGGGAAAGGAAACATGACCCATGGTTTTCCGGCATCTTTGAATGTTCTAGGACCCTATCTGCTTCCACCCGCCTGTGGATGGGGATGTTTAAGAGGTCTTGTGGATGGAAATGGAGAATGACTTCACATGTTGGCAGACATGTGGGGCATGGGGTAGGGGTCTGTGTGCCCTGCTCCTGATGGCTGGGCAGGGCAGGGTGCCCCTCCCAAGCCAAGCCCACTGTGCCACCATGTGGTTCCAAGTGAGAGTAATTTGGTTTGGGAGCCAGATGTTTGACTGGACCTTTTAGAGAAGGGGTGGATCCAGGCTTTATGGAGCTTCAAACTTGCATGATCTTTGAAGGAAAAAAAAATACGTTGTGCATATGAAATTGGATACTGGACTTGGAAGGGGTAGTGAGGATCTCTGAAGCTTAAGTTTCACTAGTTTTATGATAAATTCCCTTTTGTTTGGGAGACTTCCAGAAAGCTTAGGAAAGGCATGTGTGTACTTAGTGTGTGAGTGTGTGAGTATGTGTATGTGTATACTTCATAAATGCTGCTGACTTTTTGAACTCATCGGGAGGATGAGCTAGGATAAGTGAGAATGCAGGCCTGGTACTTCCTAAATCTCATGCTACCTAGCACGGAGCTCACAAAAATACGAGTCCTAAGAGCGTGCGTTGGGCACGTGGCCTGGGTGTCAGCTGGAACATCCAGCCTTTAAGGTCTAGGAGAGGTTGACATGAACTCCATGCCATGGAGGTCCATATTTTGGGGAGAGCCCGATGCTTTCCTCTGTAAGCTCCAGAAGGACTTACGTCTTCATGAACCCTTTCACTTCTGAGCTTGTGCTGCCACCAAATTAGTTACAGATCTTCTCACTGTCTCTGTTGCATTCTGCGTTGACTCAGATGTGGAACTCATCCTCCTGCTATGATTTATAAACACACTCCTTCACTCATACCCACAAGGTCTTTATGTATGAGGCAGACTTCACTGAATAAAGGATGGATATATTAAGTAACACAAACAATTAGCATTGCATATGAGCGATTGTGAATGCTTATTCCTTCTGCCATTGCTCTAGACCTTCCCCTCTTCTTTCCTTCTCTACTTTCTCCTCTTCTATTCCTAACTCTTGTTCCTTGCAGCTTAGTGACCCCTTTAGTTTCCTGATTCCTATTAGCCAGTGCCCTCCCAGGTCATGTGTGTTAACTGACTGTTGCCATGTAACAAATCATGCCAAAATTCTGTGTCTTAAGCAATAGTCATTTATTATTTTGGATGAGTCTGTGCTTCAGTGGAATGGGCCTGCTGATTGTGGCTAGACTCAGCTGATCTTGGCTGGGCTTGTTTATGCTCAGGTTGTTGACTGGTGGATGTTTGTGGGGGTGCCTGGTATAGTGCGGATCCCCTGTTAACCTCAGGAGGAAAGGCACCAGGCTCCAGAGCTGGAAGAAGAGACCCAGAACCAGCAACAAGATGAGACGTTTTTCTTTTTCTTTTTTTTTGGAGTCTTGCTCTGTCACCCAGGCTGGAGTGCAGTGGCACGATCTCAGCTCACTGCAACTTTTGCATCCTGGGTTCAATCAATTCTCCTGCCTCAGTCTCCCAAGTAGCTGGGATTACAGGCATGCACCACCATGCCAAGCCAATTTTTATATTTTTTGTAGAGATGAGGTTTCACCATGTTGGCCAGGCTGGTCTTGAGCTCCTGACCTCAAGGGATCTCCCTGGCTCAGCCTCCCAAACTGCTGGGATTACAGGTGTGAGGAGACTTGGGGTTTTATTAGGGGCTTACATACAGGGGAGAAAGCCCAGTGGCGGTGGGCTAGAAAAGGTAATTGCATGGCGTAGCAGTGGCAGATGGGGCAGGAAAAACATATGGCTCCCTGGTGGGTGGGCTGTGTAGGAAAACGACAAGCTCTTGCAAACGGCATGTGGTTTATGTAGCATTTTCACTTAATACCCTCCCCCTAATGACCTCTACCTGGCACCCTTCATTTAACCCAAAATTCAGGGCCTCAATCCCCTGTCTGGCCCATGTTCCACAGGAAGGGCCAGGAGCTTAGTAAATATTCCTCATAGACAAGGAATGCATCTCCAGGTTGGCTGGGTCTGGATTCCCTAGCTCGAAACACGTATTCAGGTGCGTCTGCCATACAGGGTCATTCCAAGGGTATGCTGAAGTTATTGGTGTCAGGTGTGTTTACCCTACAGCTGGTCTGGGATGGCCTTGAGCGGTAGGACCCACCTCCTGCCATGGGTCTTCCATATCTCTCCAGAAGGGTACTAGCCTCTGCCGGGGTCTCCTGTACCTCTCCAGTTATGTTCTGGGTGGGGCAGGATTGAAGAGAGCGGAAACATGCAAGCGTCTTTTTCAGACCTCTGTTTGCATCAACTTTGCTGTCATCCCCTTCACATGGGCAGGTTGTGTGGCTCAGCCCAGAGTCAGTGTGGGAGGCACTACCCAAGGGCATGGAGGCAACCGCCGTGAAACGCCGAGGGTGCTACTACAATCCATCTATCACACCGTGTCTTTCAAGAAGTATTTTTCTAAGCAAAGACTGTTCCTTCTCTAAGAGGCATCCTGGTTCCAGCTGTTAAGACAATAATTTGTTTCACTCTGCTACATCTGGCCCCTGCCTTGCATCTTATTGAGCAATAACATCACCCAGGGTGTGACATTTTATAAGGGCTTTAGCATTTCCACATGAAAAGGACATTTTCGTAGATCATTTATTTACTTTCCCAAATTTTATGGGCAGGTCTAACCTTTCTTTATTTTCAAAGGGTTCTGCTTAATTTCCAAGAGACCCTTGAATGGAGGAAAGTAGTGAACCTGAGTTACTGTGTCATTGCTTAAGATCTGATGGCCAAAAAGAGAAACTGAGGCAAGGAGAAAAATCCTGGTGATTCTGAATTCAAACATGATTAAGCCACACATGTTCCCTGAATTGGCACGAGGACACACTGGTCATCCATTTTCAGCGCAGGGTCTCAGAGTAGCTGCCTGTTTGGGGAGCTGGGGGGGTTGACAGTCAAGGCACCTTCCTCACTACTCGCATTCTAGAGGGAAGATTAGAGATGGGATGGGGTGGTTGTGTTCTGTGTCCCTCCCTTTGCCACATCCCCTCTTAACCTGTGTGAGTGTGTGTATGTGTGGGGGTGGTGTGTGTGAATTCACATGTCTGCACACACACATATCAACATACCTCAGGGTTCTCTGCTGAGAGAGATGCAGCTTTGACAGTGCTTTGCACTGCTTTGTATTAAACCAGATAATAGGGGAAATGATTAGGGCCTTTCAGAGCAACCACCTGACAATAGTGCGAGGTGAATGTGGGCTGATTGGAGCTCCGTTTACCACTTCCTGATAGCAGAGAAGGGCAGGCCAGGGGTGGCCCAGCACCTGCGTTTTGCAGAACTGGTTCCCAGGATGAACTCTTCCTTCTCCTTCCTCCTCCCCGACTCCCCCAGGGACCTCTGGGTTGGTTAAATTTAGTGTTCTGGTGTATCCAAATCCATGTGATTTCTTCCAGGACCGTGCATTTAAATGTCACCCAGACTGCAAAATTACCAACACATCAGGCTGACAGGGGTTGTTTAAAAGCCGTGTGGCTGTGAAGGAAGCAAAGAGGCGGGGTCTCCAGAAGATGAGAGAAGAAAGAAAGGAAAGGGAAGCCTGGGGAGAGGATGGTTGGGCTTCTTTCTTCCAAAGTCCCCCCAAAACCAGCCCCAGTGAAGTCAACCAGGAAATGTCCTCTTCAAACAAACGCTGAGAAAATAAAAATGAAATCGGAGGTGGGAGTGGCTGCTTGTCATAACCCCCTTCCCCGTCTTCCATCACCTTTCCACTCGGCATCTCCGTAGGGTTGCTGATAGACTCGGAGTGTTCTCCTGGGCACAGGGGGGTCTGGGGTCATGGTGGCATGGTATAAACAGCCATGAAGTTAAGCCACTGGGGCACACACCTGTGCTTGGCCACTTACCAGCTGTGAGATCTGGGACTCTCCATTTCACTTTTCTGAACTTTGGTTCTTCACTTTGTTAAATGGGGATCATTGTCTTTGCTCTGCCCACTTTGCAGGGGTGTGGTGAGGATCACATGACATGAGGTATTAAAAAAAACCCTTCAAAATAACTCATATGGGTTCTGGCACTGAAAGGGGTCTGTGCCACTGCCCAGATGGAGGTGAATGGACATTTCTAGAGAGAGAGAGGCACACAGCACCTCAGCCCTGGAGCAAGGCTTATGGAATGAAGCCCAACCAGGGGCTTCATGGAAACCATAAAGGGACATTTAAGATGCCATTTGGAGGCAGCACCGAGGCCTGAATGACTTCAGGTTGAGGGTCCTTGCTTTAGTATCAAGGTGGTTTGAAACCCTAAGAAAGGTCCTATGTCCAGCTGCCTCAGCTTTCTCATCTGTCAAGTGGGAGAATGACCATATACCAGCCTCATGGGGTCCGTGTGAGATTTAAATGAACAAATAAGTGCCTAACTGGTGCCTAGAAATAATAAGCCCTCAGTCAATATTGTCTACTATGATATCTCTTTCCTAGGGTCTCCTGCTTTGCGAGTCTGGAGTTCTTTCTAGAAAGATTTTTATATGATGATTGCAGGAACTTGAATTAACACATGTAATGTTTCTAGCCCGTGGCTGGGCATGAAGCTCAAGATATGCTGATTCCTGTCCCTTTTTCTTCACATTCTACCTCTCATCTTACTGGTCCATGAGATTTTACTCTGTGGGTAAAAGCCAGAAGAGAGGATGCAAAAAGATCCCAATGAAAAAAATAGATCAGTGAGCTATTGTTACCACTCCATGACACTTTGTTCAGAACTCTTCTTCATGCATTTTTGGGCCTGATGAGAAAGAAATCCCATCAGGAACATCCACCAGTCATCATCCTCCACATACAAACCTTGGGGGGAATTCACCTCTCTGGGCCCCAGTTTCCCTATTTATAAAATGAGGTCATCACCAAGGGACCTTCTAGCAAGTCATGATACCTTTGACTTCAGTGCTCCCAGCCAACGCCAGGCCCCAGCCCCTTTCCATGATAGTATCACTGCTATTTTATTTCTTTTTCTCTTTGTTTCTTCACCTTGGACATGCCAAGTGTTTATGGCATTTCTGAGAATCCAATAAACTGCATTATTGGGAGGAGATGGGGAGTAACAAACATAGGCAAAAATCTGCTATTTTCACATGAATGCTTTAGGCAATCAGCCATGATGGGAAATGAAATGTGTGGAAAAATACAGGGTGAATAAAGAGGGCTTTAGTGAGATGATGAGGCGTTTATGTTCGTGCCTGCACATGACTGCTGTCGATCCGTCAGCCCAGCGGCTGCAGCGCAGCCTGCGACGGCTTCTGCCGTGGAGGTCTGGCTCCCAATCCTCCTCTGCAGGTTGGGTTTCGATGTGGAACAACCCATAGTTATTTATCAAAGTTCCAGTAAGGATCAAGTGAGGAGAGCAAGGGCGAGAATCCCTGCAGGAAGGGACCCAGATCAGGCATCAGGAGTTGCTTCTGTCAATTACAAGCTCTTGAGAGACCTTCCTTGGGGAAACGAGGGAGTCTGTCCTGCTGACTAATGTGGTGGAAGGGACTAATGTGGTGGAAGGGACATTCAAGGTGCCCTTTGGAGGCAGCACCCAGGCCTGAATGACCTCAGGTTGAGGGTTCTTGATTCTGTATCAAGGTGGCTTAGCGTAAGTTCTGCAAATGTGAGAATTAAGAGGCGTGTTCAAGTTATAGCTGGAATCCTGACCTGTTGTGTGATGTTAGACAGCACGACCAATCTCCCTGCTCCTCCGTTGGGTGTCACCGATTCAGACACTAACGCTCATGCATTTTACAAATAGAACAGTGCCTGTGTATTTTCACTGTAGGCATAGATTGTTTTTTTTTTTTAATTAGGAGTCTTAATTTTTTAGAGCAGTTGTAGGTTTAAAGACAAATTGATCAGAAAGTACAATGAGTTCCCATATATTTCCTCTCCCCTTCACTCAGTTTCCCCTATTCACATCCTGCATGGGTGTGGCACATTTGTTACAGTCGATGAGGCAATATCGATACATTGTTATGAACTGAAATCCATGGTTTATATTATAGTATGGGAACAGTCTTTGTGTTGTATAATTACACAGTGTAATTATCCTGTATCCACCATTCCAGTGTTACATAGAATATATATATCCTGTATCCACCATTCCAGTGTTATATAGGATATATATATCCTGTATCCACCATTCCAGTGTTATATAGAATAATTTCATTGTCTTAAAAATCCTCTGTGCTCCACCAATTCATCCCTTTCTCCCCTCCCCACAAACTCTCAGCAACCACTAATCTTTTTACTGTCTCTATAATTTGTCTTTTTTTTCCAGGAAGTCATATAGTCTGATTCATACAGTATGTAGCCTTTTCAAACTGACTTTTTGCACATAGTAATACATATTTAAGGTTTCTCCATGTCTTTTCCTGGCTTGACAGTTCATTTCTTTATATTGCTAAATAGTATGGCATTGTATGCATATACCGCAGTCTGTTTATCCATTCACCTACTGAAGGACATCTTAGTTGCTTCCAAGTTTTGGCAATTATGAATAAAGCTGTCATAAACATTCCCGTCCAGGTTTTTGCGTAGACCTAAGTTTTCAACTCAATTGAGTAAATACCAGGGAGCGTGATTGCTGGATCATATGGTAAGAGTATATTTAGTTTTGTAGGAAACTGCCAAACTGTCTTCTAAAGTGGCTTTGCCATTTTGCGTCCCCACCAGCAATGAGTGAGAGTTCCTGTTGCTCTATATCCTCCCCAGCATTTGGTGTTGTCAGTGTTTTGGATTTTAGCCATTCTAATAGATGTGCAGTGGTATCTTGTTTTAATTTGCCGTTCCCTAAGGACATATGATGTTGAGCAAATAGGAAGAGTGCCTATGTATTTTCACTCTAGAAATAGTTTTAACAAGCTCATTTATCTGTTTATATTTTTTCTTCCAGCTAGTAGGAAATCAGAAGTGTGTGTGTGGTAGAACATGAGAAGGAGGCCCACAGCTGATAGGAGCAGAGAGCCCCATGCTGAGCATAAGAAGACCTGGTCTTCTTGGTTACCCTAACTGCTTGACCTTAGGAAATCAGCTCATCTCTGGAGCTCAGTTTCCTCGCTCTGGAAATGTGTGGCTTGTACTATATCAAGGTTATGAAATGCTTCTTAGGCCAATGCCCTCCAATTGGAGTGACAGCCTGAGATGGGAAGAGGCTACTGGGGGAGTAGCTTGTCCTGGCTGAGAGGTGCTGACTTCCATGGCAAAGACTGCAGGCGGGGGCACCTGTGACACAAGCACATTCTCTTCTTGAGAATGAGTTCTAACTTTCCCTCCTGTTTATAATTCCATGCAAGTTTAAGAGACCACTGAGAGCCTAACAGAAAGAAAGGAAAGGTAGCTTTTTTTTAAGACGGAGCCTCGCTCTGTCACTCAGGCTGGAGTGCAGTGGCGCAATCTCGGCTCACTGCAAGCTCCGCCTCCCAGGTTCACACCATTCTCCTGCCTCAGCCTCCCAAGCAGCTGGGACTACAGGCGACCACCACCATGCCCGGCTAATTTTGTTTTGTATTTTTAGTAGAGATGGGGTTTCACTGTGTCAGCCAAGATGGTGTCAATCTCATGACCTCGTGATCTGCCCGCCTCAGCCTCCCAAAGTGCTGGGATTACAGGTGTGAGCCACTGCACCTGGCCAAGGAAAGCTAGTTTTAAAAACACTGACACCATGGCTTAAAAACCTCCAGGCTGGGTGCAGTGGCTCATGCCTGTAATTCCAGCAATTTGGGAGGCAGAGGCAGGAGTATTATTTGAGGCCAGGAGTTCAAGACCAGGCTGGGCAACACAGTGAGACCCCATCTCTACAAAAAATGAATAAAATTAGCCAGGCATGGTTGCATGCGACCATAGTCCCAGCTACTCAGGAGGCTGAGGAAGGAGGGTGGCTTTGGCCGAGGAGGTAGAAGCTGCAGTGAGCTACGTTCACACCACTAAACTCTAGCCTGGGTGACAGAGCAAGAGCCTATCTCTAAAAAATAAAAACAAAAACAGCCTCCCTAGAGTAGGTGCAGCCTGGGTTGCAAAGTCAGCAGGACTCACAATTATCAGTGGCTGGAACCTGACATTCCAACATTCCCTGTCTGGCCCTTGAGCTCTGCCTGGGAGGAGAGAAATTTCATCTACTCCTCCCCCTATCTCCAGAGCTGGACGTGCCTGGCATAGCAAAATGTTTCCCTTAGGTTGAGTGAGCATCTTGCAGGCCCTTTGTTCTAGGCACTGGGGACACAGCAGGGAGCAGAGACAAAATTTCCTGTCCTCACGGGGCTTCCATCATGGTGATGTGCATGAACAACTCCCTCAAAATTAATTTGCACTCTATATTCAGCTTCAGAAAATGGTGTCATCCTATTTAGGAAAAGGTCTACTCAGTGAAAATGAAATGAATTTGGGATCTACAAAGGTGAACTTCAGTTATCTGGGAACATCTCATAACATGAAGGTGCTAACCCAGCGGTGATGAAGGCTTTATTATGATTTTCTCCCTGGGGGCTTTCAAAAAGGCAGCCGGTGAGGAGTTTGGCTGCTGAGTTTCTCCTCTCATTAACGCCTCAGCCCTGCTCCTCTCATTAACACATGAGGCCCTGCTCCAACTCCAGCCTGGTACCCAACAGGGCTCGAGAAACCTTTGAGGTCCCAGTGGCTCTGAACTCTGAATCCTTCGAAGGCGTCCCACCCATGCACTCCCTAGCAAGGTCCCAGGGAGATGATTAAACACACTTGAAAGCCGAGTCATTTTCCTAGATTAAGAGTTGTGTGTAAGGAGTGGAAAAAGTCTGAGAAGCGAGGAGATGCTTATCAGGTTTGTGCACTGGTCAACTCCTCTTCCTTCTTAGCTGAATGCTTTGGTAATGGCTTTCTTCATGGTAGAGGGAAATAATTTCTCTTTTCTCATCCTGAAAACTTCCTGTGAGTAGCGACCTCACCCCCATCAGGAGAGGCAAGAGAAAGGCTTCAGATAACGGATCTACTGCCCTGAAAGGTCTGGGAAGTCCAGGCAGCTCATGAGTCCCTGCAGGGTCTCTGGGGGCTCTTGTGCCTGTCCTTGAGGATGGGACAAGAAGAGGCTGGAAAATGGTGCATGCAGAGCCATCAGAGAACTCAGTGCTCCTCAAGCTACGAGGAACCTATGAGCCACTTGGGGGCCATGTGCAGCTCCTGATTGGCAGGTGTGGGGTGGAGCTTATGGTTGTCATTTCTAAAGTGCACCCAGCTGGATGATGCTGCCGGTCCACAGACCACACATGGAGAAGTGAGGATCGAGTCACCTCTGATATTTTACAGGGGAGAGAATTGAGGTCTCAGGGAAGGGGAGGACATGGCCTGACCAAAGTCACCGAGCTGGGGAAGTGGAGGAGCTTGGCTAGATCCCAAGTTTCCAGAACCCCAGACCTGGTACATCTCATCTCCTCTTTGTGAAGCCAGGTAGGCAACACCCAATTGCAGGCATGCTTCAGAGGGAATTAAAGATCACTTGTATTTCTTTCCTGTACAAAGCCCACTTATTTTTTCCCCATTTACTCATTCAGACAACTAGAAATATTTATAAGACCCTCTAAATACCCTCCCTGAGCAAGGCACTACAGGAATGATAGGAATAGCAAGTTATGTATGAACTAGAAGGGGAGAAGTGACATTTATATGTAAAATACCTACAGTAAAAGAAAAGTAGTTGACTCAGAGCTGATGGCATGTCATAGACCCTACATTATCCAGGAGTCCAAAGGAGAGAAAGAGACCTTTGTGGCACGGTGGTCAGGGAGGGCTTCTTGGAGGAGGAGGCTAGCTCAGACTGGGCCTTTGAAGGCTGCATAGGTTTTGAAGAGATGGAGGGGAGAGAGGGGTGGGCTCTAAAGGTGCTCTGTCTGTCACTTAGGCCTCCCTTTTCACTGCATTGGGCTGTTCCCTTCCAACATTTTCTCTTTCTTCTCTGTCTATATCTTCTTCCTTCTATTCCCTGTTCTTCTTCCCCTTCCCTCCTTCCCTCCCTTCCTTTCCTTTCTTTTCCTTCCTTCCTTCCTTCCTCCCTCCCTTCCTTCCTCCCTCCCTCCCTCTGTCCTTCCCTCCCTTCCTTCCTCTGCTTGTGGTCTCATTTCCACTTCACAGTAGAATATAAGTAGAAAATAAAGGGCTTATAATCAAATATCTTACCTTACCTGTTTATCTCAGCAATCCAGTGAGAAAGTCAGCTCTGTGGGTTATGCCCATTTAACAGGTAAGAAGAGAGAAGTTCAGATTAGGAACTGAGGGCTTTCTTAGGATGCCTGATTTTCACTGTTAAAACCAGGACAATCTTGATCATCCTAATCATGTGCTCACTTACCAGTACTTTGGGATCATGTCTCTGGCCTGTTGGGCAGGGTCAGTGAGGTCATGGGGTTACTGTTAGGGTAGGTTAGTCAAGTTCTCTGCCTTTCCCTCTAGGAAGGGGAGCTGGCCACATATCCCTGGAGGATGGGTGCAGAAGAATGTGACTCAGAGCCTGTCTGCAAGCACAAGCGGGAGCAGTGTTGCCATTGCGCCTGTTCCCTGACTCAGCCCTGGTGTATCCTCTGCTTTGAACTTGAGCAATCCAGCTTTCTGTCTTCTCCTTTTCAATCCTGCAAGGACGCTTGGCCTTCTGAGGCATTGAGGTTTCCCCTCTTTGCTGACACTACTCAAGAACTTTTGCCTCCTAACATGAACAGGACAACTATTAGTACGAAGTCCTGTTCTCTTAAAAGGACTTAAACTTGGGTATACACACACGCACACACACACAAACACACACACACACACATATATATATATAGTCTAGGCAGGGACTTTTGCATGTAACCATTATGCATGGGATGGATACAGAACTCAGATTTGAATAGTTCAGAATCTATTTTTGGTCAGGACTCCCTAAGCTAGATGAATTCATCCTCAGAGTTTAGCTCAGCCTTCTTTTGGCTGCTTGAGAAGTTTCTGGCCTCACTATTCCTGGTGTTGCATAGTCATAGCCATGTGAATCTTGATTGCAAACCTGGATGTAAATATGAAAGCAACAGAAAGAACAAGGTCCTTGGCCTTTACCACACAGCCTCTCTCAGACCAGAGGAGAAGGACTGCTTGGGTTGAAAATCAAGAGATTAAAATTCTAGTTCTAGCTCTGCTGCCTGTTTAATCTTAGATAAGTCATTTCTTCTTCCAACTCCTCATCTTAAAGAATTGAACTAGATTGCCAGGCGCAGTGGCTCATGCCCGCCATCCCAGCACTTTGGGAGGCTGAGGCGGGCAGATCACGAGGTCAGGAGTTCAAGACCATCCTGACCAACACAGTGAAACCCCATTTCTACTAAAAGTACAAAATTTAGCTGGGCATGGCGGCAGGTGCCTGTAATCCCAGCTACTCAGGAGGCTGAGGCAGGACAATAGCTTGAACCTGGGAGGCAGAGGTTGCAGTGAGCCAAGATTGTGCCACTGCACTCCAGCCTGGGTGACAGAGTGATCCAGACTCTGTCTCAAAAAAAAAAAAAAAAAGGAACTTAACTAGATGTTTTCCAGGACCCAGCTTAGCTCTAGGAGTGCCCGATTTCTCTGACTTTGCAGGGAAAGCATCATGGTTACTGTTTAATGAGTTAGGCACTCATTTCCTTAGTTGTGTAGGTGAACAGGGTGTGACAGACTAGAAGCAGTGGTGCTAGATGCCAAGAGCCGACTGTCAGGGCAACAGGGTTAGGAGTGGAAGACACACTACTAGAAAAGCTAACAGCAATGGAAAAGTTGGGAGAAGCTACTTCTTAGCACAGCAGGGCGGGGTTTATTTTGTATCAGGGCAAATGGCTCTTCTAGGCTCAACAATCCCTGAGGACATCTCTAAGTTGACATTCAACATGTACTAAGCACTTCAGAGTTTCTGAAGCCCGTTCGCAGGCGTTACACCCTTGAATTCATCAACAAGTGTGAGATTGATGGGCACGCCATAGTTTTATAAATGAAAGTGAGGTCTAGAGAGATTTAAGGATGTGCCAATGCTAAGATGCAGAGGGACTCACCACAAGTCTTTTGGCTTTGGGCCCAGTGCCATTTCCACTACACCATAGCTGCCACCAACAGGATGGTCACAGTTATGATGGAGTTACCAACAATGGTCAGAGCAATAGGAGACTGTGCTTAGAATTATAAGCTTCAGTGATCTGGAAACTTTGCTCAGCCAGAATCCTTCTTTGATTTCAAACAAAGAGGTATAAATCAGGCATTCTTGTGGTTCTGTGTTTGCAATCAGTTACTGGTGAAGTCATTAAGACAGGAGTCACAAAGCACATACACAGCTGTGCCCAATACATCGTGCAGCCAAGTACACACAATAGGAGGCAGTTTAACAAGTAGGGAAGACATATACCTGCTCCTTCCGAGTTTCACCTGGAGGAAGAGTCTACAAAGAAAGGGAAGAAGGTTGCATCTGGTAACAGGTGGGGGCCTGTGCGGCTTGATAGCTTAACATGTATCAGGCGATACTCAAAGAGCTTTACAGGCATTCATTTATTTATGCTTTACAACCACTCCTTGAGGTAGGTACTACTCGTATCCCTGTTTTTGAAGAAGAGGAAACTGGGAAACAGAGAGGCAAGCTGAAAGAGACTGATCCTGTTTGATATGGTTTGGCTCTGTGTCCCCACTCGAATCTCATTTTCGATTGTAATCTCCAGCTTGTCAGGGGAGAGGCCTAGTGGGAGGTGATTGAATCATGGGGGCAGACTTACCTCTTGCTGTTCTCGTGACAGTGAGTTCTCACGAGATCTGGCTGTTTGAAAGTGTGTGGCACTTCTCCTTCATGCTCTCCCTGTCTCCTGCTCCACCGTGGTAAAGACGTGCTTGTTTCCTTTTCGCCTCTGCCATGATTCTGAGTTTCTTTAGGCCTTCCAACCATGCTTCCTGTAATGCCTGCAGAACTGTGAGTTATTTAAATCTCTTTTTTTCATAAATTACCCAGTCACAGGTAGTTCTTTATAGCACTGTGAAAATGGACTATAATACACTTGTTCAGGTGGGCAACTTCTGCCCTGGGTCATGTAGAGAGATGGACTTCTGCTTGGAGCTTGTCCAACATTTGAGTCCTGGGGCCACTTCTCTCTCCACCCTCCTCTTTCCTCCCCACTTCTCCCTCTCTTCCTTTCTTCCTTCCTTGCTTCTTTCTTCATTTCTTCCTCATTCCTTTATTTTTCTTCCTTCCTCATTTCCTGGGTGTCTAATAACGCCAATAACGATGCATAGTTCTAGGGTTGTATAAATGAGAAAAGCACTGCCTCTATTTTTAAGGGATTAAAAGCCTGCACAGGGCTTGGGAGTAGGGTAGAAGGTGCAGACGTGAACATCAGCAGAAATAAGTTCATTAGCTAATTTCCCTGTAAGAGAGAATGAAGATTATAGGAGAACAGGAGTGTGGGCCACCTGTAGCAGGTAGGTCAAGACAGAATGGATGTGAGAGGTGGTGGTGGGAAAACATCAAAGGGTACCAACAAGTTTGCAACTAAGCTCACGCTGGGCCTGCTGCAGCCTCTGTCAGCAACCCTCTTACAGGGTCTTCTTCCAAAGACACCAGGGGCCTGACACCTGGAAGGAGTTTGGAGCATGGACATCCATTGGTAGAGAAGGTGCTCATCGGCATGAGGCAGGCAGTATGCGGAAGAACTGTGCTTAGAAAGGAACTGGATTGAATGGTAAACTTTTCATGAGAGATAAGTTATGAAGGAAGTGGAATTCCCTCATGAGTCCCAAGGGCCATGGATAAAAGGCAGCCTTCCTGGCAATCTTTAGCACCTTTCATCAGTCAATTAATTCACAGACGTTTCTTAAACTCAGAGCAGAAGCAAACCAGTGTGCTAAGTACTGGGGAGAGGGCACAGGGAGGTAGAATACAAGCCCCTACCCACAGATAGGGGCAGTCTGACTGGGGAGATGAAGCAGCTTTGTTACTAGGTAATAGCTTTACAATGCACTGATCACCAGACATGCAGTGCAAATCATACATTTAGATTGTGCTCAGGATGGGAGGGATGAGAGTGCGCTGGGGTGGGCTGGGCTGGCAGGTGAGCAGGGAAGACTTCTTGAAGGAGATGGACCTTAAAGAAAGAGAAAGATTTGGCTGGTGGTAGAGGGGAGATTTGAGGCTGAGTAGCTGAGAAAGCAGTTCCTGCACCATTCCACAGGCTGAAGGATGCAGTGGAACCAGGGGAACAGCTATGTGCAGAGAGGTGTGGAGGAGGGATGCTTTAGAGATTCTCTCTCCCTCCTGGGCTAGTTAGGAAGGTCTGGGCTACCTTGCCTCCAGGGCCCATTGAATAGGACCTGATGTTCGGAATGCGGGATTGGAAAATATTCTTGGAAAAGAAGCCTAATCTGGTGGGAAAAATATTTGCTATTTTGCAAAGACTCAGAGGAGGCATTTCTTTCCCTTTTGCCATTCTCAGAGCAGAACCCTTCATGCCAATGCAGTGGCAGGACCACAAGTCTGAACGAGGGTCCGTGGATGCTTAATGGCCTTGGTGTTGAGACAGGCATTGACTTCTTTATTGTTGTCTCTGTCCTTCTGTTTCTCTGTGCTCCCCCCACCTCCAGCCCCCGCCACATGCCTTTGCTCAGGCTGTGCCTATGGTGCCTCCTACACCCCATTCCCTGACTTCCATGCTTCCAAACACCCTCCTTCCCAGCTTGCGGCCATCCGTCTCTCCTTGTGAGAGCCCCTGGCCCGGCATCTCTTGTAAGCATAGATCATTCTCAATCAGTCATTAGTCACCTGAAGAAAGCCTCATACACCCTATCAGACCGAGGGCCGGGAAAGCCCTTGGCACAGGCACCTCTACTTCTCTTACAGTGTCTAGCACAGACTTCTCACCCAGGGGGGACTCAATAGACCATTTGTCGAATGAGTCAGGAGGTTCAAAGAAAAATCAAGGGATTCAGAGTGAGCATGGTGCGTCTGGGAGAGTGAGATCTCTCTCTAGCCTTTTCCAGATGAAGATGACATTGCCACTGATTTTTGCACGTGGTCCCCCTATGATTTTCTCTCTGGGAAAATTTCGGCCCCTCTTTTTACTCCTGGGACCTCCAACTCCACAGTTCATTCTCTGTCCCTCTTACGATGATGATTTGGTGGGATTCTGATTCCAGGGCTCTAAGCTGTGTGCTTTCCTCCTGGCTCTCACACTTGTCTGCCACGATGAGGGGGACTGGTGGAGCTGAGAAATCCCCCAGGACTTGCACCACTCCCGGGCCAGCTGAGGAGTGTCGTTTTTCCATTTGTTCAGAGCACGGAGTGGGGGTGTGTGACTTGTCGGGGATCCAGACTTGCAGGGGAGTTCAGCTGTGGCCCTGCCCACCTGCCCTGTGACCTCGGGGCCTGTCACTGGACCTTTCTGGTGTTCCGTTCTGCTGATTTTCATAATGACGTTCGGTGTGAACTGAATATGCTACTAATGTTACCTCTTCTGGCCTGGAAGGAAAGACAGGAATCTGCTGGGCCTGCCTCGAGCTGGGGAAGGATCCTGGATGGGGATGGAACAGCTGAGAGATTTATACCAGCAGGTGGTTGCTGCGCCTGTGGAGATGTCAGCCAGATGCTGGTTCCTCTGCAGGGGGCGTACAGACTGGGGAGGGTGCAGAGATGGGCTGGAAGGGAGGAAAGGAATGGGGGGGTTCTCTCTCCTCTGTATAATAATCTGCTTCTGACGAGAAGCTTCTGTTCTTTTCCACTGGAAAGCTTTTAAGAACACTGAAAAGGACAGGCAATTATAGGAAGGTTAGGTGCGCTTGATTGGATGTTGTTACAAATCACTCATTGTCATACAAGGCATTTGGAAAGGAGGCCATCAGGACTGATTGCCGTTTAGGGTAAGTGATTTCTGTTTAGAGTGAGCGAGCAGATGAAGGCTTGGCTGGTGCTGGTTGTCCTCTCTCCCTGTTTGCTGTTGTGTTGATGGTTTTTCTTGGCAAGAAGGGTCCTTGCAGATGCTCACAGGATGTGTGGATGGGAAGAGGCTGGAGACCAGCCTTCTAATCCCATTCCCACCCCACCCTTCCCCCCATTACACTGATAGGGATACTGAGTGTAAGGAGAAGGGGAAAAGAGACTGGTCTAGCCACACACAGCAGGTCAGTGGAGACGCTAGACCAGAGTCCAGGTCCAGACCCCAGGCCAGTGTTCTTGCCTGTGGCCAGGCTCTGAGCTGACACTCCAAGGGGACTGGGTGTTTCTGTTAACACACCCCATGGACAGTTATGCAGGCTGAGCATACCTCACGTGGCAGCCCTTGAGGTTCCAGGTGCCACTTCATGGTTAGTTCCTCTGGATCCTCTCATACCCTGTCCCCACACACCCTCTTTACTTCTGTGTCTGAAACACCACCATAATGGAGAAACTTCCTTGGATCTTGGAGTCTATTCTATCTTTATGACTCTGAATTAACCTGCAAGTGTTCTGGGAAGGATTGCACTGTAAGTAACCAGGGAACAGTGAACTAGTAGCAGAGGAATCCACAGATGGGGAAAGATGGTCGAAGAAAGAACATCAGAAATAAACTTCAGCAAATCCTCCATTTGGTCCAGCAAAAATTCTCCCACGATTTTACCAATGAGGAAGATGAGGTAGAGGATGGCCAATGAACATACTTTTTTTTTTCTTTTTTTTTTTTTGAGACAGAGTCTTGCTCTGCCACCCAGGCTGGAGTGCAGTGGTGTAATCTCGGCTCACTACAACCTCCACCTTCCAGGTTCAAGTGATTCTCTTGTCTCAGCCTCCTGAGTAGTTGGGACTACAGTCATGCACCACCATGCTTGGCTAATTTTTGTATTTTTAATAGAGACAGGGTTTCGCCATGTTGGCCAGGCTGGTATTGAACTCCTGATCTCAAGTGATCCGCCCGCCTCAGCCTCCCAAAGTGCTGGGATTACAGGCATGAGCCACTGTCCCTGGCCTTTTTATTTTATTTTTAACTTTTTAAATTTAATTTTTAAAATTTAATCTATTTATTTATTTTGAGACCAGGTTATGAGACTGGCTAATTTTTGTATTTTTGGTAGAGACGAGGTTTTACCATGCTGCCAAGGCTGGTCTCAAACTCCTGGGCTCAAGTGATCCACCTGCCTTGGCCTCTGAAAGTGCTGGGATTACAGGCGTGAGCCACTGTACCTGGTTCGAATGAACATATTTATGTTTGGAGTCATCCCTGTGTTTGTTATGCCAGTTTTGAGTATAAACTGTCGGGGTTTGAATTGTGTCCCCCTGCAAAATATGTTGAAATTCTAGCTGTCACGACCTCAGAATGCAACCTTATTTAGAAATGGGGTCTTTATAGAGGTCATGAAGTTAAAATGAACTCATTAGGGTAGATCCTAAACCAATATGACTGGCGTCCTTGTAAAGAGGGGAAATTGGGACAGAGAGACAGACATGCACAGGGGGAAGACTATGTGAAAAGACTCAAGACTCAGAATGTCATGTGAGGGCAGAGATCGGGACGATGAATCCATAAGCCACGGAACCCCAAATACTGCCAGCAACCATCAGAACCCAGGACAAGAGCGTGGAACCGGTCCTTTCCCACATCCCTCAGAAGGAACCAGCTCTGCTAACACCTTGATTTCAGCCTCCAGGACTGTGAGAAAATTCATTTCTGTTTAAGTTACCTTGTTTGTGGTACTTTGTTACGGCCTTCCTAGGAAATGAACACAGTAAGAATGTCCTTATCCCCCATCTGTTTTTCTTCTTATTACATAACTGGACTGTACAGCTTTATTTTATTGGGATGAAACCCCTCTGGTGGTGTGCTGGTTGTGTTAATGTTTTCTGGATTTAGGATAAAGCAGGGCCTGGTTGTGTGATTGAGACTGTGGGACAATCTTAGCATCTCTACCTTGTACCAGCAGGGAAATTCCTTCATTTAACCATTTAACAACTGTTTGCTGAGTGCCTACTAAGCACCTGGCACCGTGCTGTGTGCTGGAGACACAAAGACACACAAAACACTTTCCTCCCTTGTGAGGAGCTCATAGTCATGCAGACAAATAATTGTCGTGTGATGCTGTGCAACACAGCGATGGTGGTGGTACAGAGTATTACAGGATCACAGAGCAGAGGAGGGGACCTGGGAAAAGGTGGAAGAAGCAGGGAAGACACCAGAGAAGAGGTCACAGGAGCTGAACCTCTAAGAGGTCCTCTAGGGCACTAAGTAGAAAGGCTGCTCCATGTGAGGTGACACCATGAATAAGGGAACAGGGACACAGAACAGGGTGTGTGTGTGTGTGTGCACATGTGTGCATGTGTGAGTGCCTGTGATATTCTTAGAAGCAATGGATTCACTCATGCACAGCACAGTAGCTCAGGCAGATCCCTCATAAGCTGAGTAATGCCTGTTCTTGGAATGGATCTCAAATCCAGCTGACAAGGTTTGGCTGTGTCCCGACCAAAATCTCATCTTGAATTCCCATGTGTTGTGGGAGGGACCTGGTGGGAGGTAATTGAATCATAGAGGCAGGTCTTTTCTGTGCTGTCCTTGTGATAGTGAGTAAGTCTCACGAGGTCTGATGGTTTTATAAGGTGGAGTTTCCCTGTACAAGCTCTCTCTTGGCCTGCTGCCATCCATGTAAGATGTGACTTGCTCCTCCTTTCCTTCCACCATGATTGTGAGGCCTCCCCAGCCACATAGAACTGTAAGTTCATTAAAACCTTTTTTTTTTTTTTTTTTTTTTTTTTTTTTTTT
The DNA here is from genome assembly GCF_000001405.40 of Homo sapiens. NCBI lineage: Eukaryota > Metazoa > Chordata > Mammalia > Primates > Hominidae > Homo > Homo sapiens. The sequence goes on along the minus strand of NC_000008.11, from coordinate 21,463,682 downwards.
TGGTAAATTGCCCAGTCTTAGGTATGTTTTTATTTTTATTTTTTTGAGAAGGAGTTTCACTCTTGTTGCCCAGGCTGGAGTGCAATGGTGCGATCTCGGCTCATTGCAACCTCTGCCTCCTGGGTGCAAGCGATTATCCTGCCTCAGCCTCCAGTGTAGCTGGGATTACAGGCATGCACCACCACGCCCGGCTAATTCTGTATTTTTAGTAGAGACGGGGTTTCTCCATGTTGGTCAGGCTGGTCTCGAACTCCAAATCTCAGGTGATCCACCCACCTTGGCCTCCCAAAGTGCTGGGATTACAGGTGTGAGCCATCGCGCCCAGCTCAGGTGGGTGCAGTGTGAAAATGGACTAATACGCCAACCTAAAACAGGCCTCTCTACTGAGTGTGGGTAAGTGTGACTTTGGTCTTCAGCTACCTGAGCCAGTCCTTACCTTGGTAGTGTACTTTGCCTACACTTCTGAAGGAAATTATCTGAAGTTCTTTTTCTGATCATCTTCCTCTTTTATGGAATTCTCCTCTTAGCTTCCAATGCTTTGACACAGGACATTCAAGTTGATTCAGATTTCCTTTGCATCTTAGACCAGGGTCTTCCTAGAACCTGTATGTGTGAATGTGTGTGTGCCTGTGCCATTCTTTTAATATATTTTCTTAATTAAAAAGAACATTAATCAATTTAAAGGTTGGGTATGCTCGGAAACTGCCTTGCTCTGTTGCCTACTGGATGGATGTGAGGGTCTCAGTTGGGAGAATGGAGAAAAAGAACTGAGTTTGAAGCAATAGCTTTAGAGAGACATTTCATAATTTGCAAAAACACCTGAAGTCCAACTTCACATGTGAAATACCTTCATAAAATTGGAGTGGGCTTTCCCAGTACACACTGTTCTGGGACCAAGCTCTGAAAGGACAGATGAAGAAAGCCATCATTGTTGATTATTGGTCATTAGAGGATGCCCAAGACGTAATTTATTGCTGTGTTCCTGTGATTCATCTTAGGGAATGAGCATTGGACCAAGAATCAGACCTGGGTTCTAGTACTGGTTCTCCTACAAGTGACCTTGGGAAAATCATTCCCACTCAATGGGGCCTCAGTTTCCCTATCTATAAAATGTTTCTTCCAATTCTAACATTCTATCATATTTCCTTTATATATTCCCATCATCTTCAAGGCCCTGAAAATGGTACTTGTTTTTACATGGTCATTTGTAAGTCAGGCACATTTTTGAGTATAGCGTATATGAGAAAGTCAAATTCACTACCTGGTCCTTCCTAGCTAACAAACTTGGAGAGTGGGGCAAAGTGAAAGGCGTGTGTTTGTGTGTGCATGCATGCACGCACACACACGTGTGCATATATGTGTACATCAAATTTTCCTTCCTTTTCCTGAGACTTGGAGCTATTGTGGAGTTTAAAGGACAAATCATAGCTCAAAGATGGACTCATATAGCTTGATGTTGTGAAAATGGCATAAAATTAAATTAGAATCCTGGCTCTCCTACTTAGCATTTTTTGGGAATTTGCAGGTCACCTAACCTCCATGAACCTATTTCCTCATCTGTGAAAATGACTTTAACTGTAGGATTCTTGAGCAAATCAAGTTGGTTTATTCAACAAGGCTTTATGAAGTGCTGACTGTGTGCTGGACATTGTTTGGATACTGGGTAATCCAGAATGAATAAGACAGACTGCATTCCTATCTTTTAAGGAGGTTATAATTCAGTGGGAGAGATGGAAAATAAATAGGTAAATAAGCAAAAACACAAAAAATGTAATTAAATGCTATAAAAAGCAAATAAAGTGCTAAGATAAATAATTGTGGGGGGGGGCCTAATTTAGATAGGGTTATCAGAGAAGATTTGTCTAGGAAGGAGAAATTGGCCCAGCGGGGTGAGGGGTGGGCAGGTGTATAAAAGGATTGTCCAGGAAGCAAGAGTGTGCTCCCCTGAGCTGTGAATGGTCAAAAGATGTTGTGCATATGGAAATGTCTTATCAACCTTATGGCATTGTAGGAATGGCTGGGGGATTCATATTAAGTCTCCTTAGGCCTTGTCTGTGGTAGCTGTGAAGTCTTTTCTCAGTTTGGGCCCTGCAAAAAATGTTCCCCCTCCAGTTTGCGTCCATGATTGCACTGAGAGCATTTTCTATTAGGTGGGTAGGTGTGTGCGCACATGTGCATGGGAAATGTAGCATGTGTATGAGTGTCTACACTCTCCCCCGTGTGTATGGAAGAGCAGGAATGACTGCAGGCCTGTCACCAGCTCACACTGAGAACATCATCTGCATCACTTGTTCTAATGATGAAATTAAGCCTACTTCACAAATAAGATCAGTTTCTAACTCTGAGCCAGGGACCAACGGATCTGGCTCATTTTCCCTCCTCTGCTTTCCCCGAAGATAAAAAAGGTTTGCAAATTGTGACATCCACATCAAATGCTAATGGCACGGTGGGGACTCTCCAACAGAACTGATAAACTTCTCAGATTGAGGGCAGACTGTTAAGAGAGAACAGCTCCAGATGTAATATTTGGTGCTCACTTCCAAGAAACATTAACATTTTGGAATGTTCAGAAGTAAAACTCCAGGAAATAAAAGTCTGGGAGGAATTACATGGGTGGATCTGATCCAATAGAAGAAAGCAAAAGCTGGTCACCTTCAGCTTTCTCCAGGGACCTGAGTAGGCCAGGAGCTTCAATGTGTCGATTCTGGAAAATAACTCAATATCTGAAACACTGATCTAAGAAAAAACACAAAAACCCAACATTCCTGACCTATTAGGGCTTTAAGTTCAACGCTCCTCATGCTTAGATGAGGAAATTGAGTCCTAGAGGGGTGAGTTACTGTGAAGGGTCACATACCTGTTTGGTCACAGAAAGAACCAAGATAGCAGAACTCAGGTGTAGTGATTTGTCCTTCACTGTCCTACACTGAATTCCTAATGTCACATGTGGAGGAGTGGGCAGAAGCTTCTGTTTCTTTGTTTCATGGTGTTGCCAATAATATCCAGTGTTATAAAGCCTGAGAATCAAGATGTTAAACCTCAAATATGTGTCGTGCCTTGTTTTCTGCTGGGCTACAGATAAGCTTTTAAATAAGGGCAGGTGTTGGTGCTTTGCCATGGGAAAGGCCCTGGGCACTGGTGTGGTGGAGCAGAGAACTGCATCCCGAAGCCAAGAGGGCCTCTCCTTCTTTGCCTGACAGACACAAATAACTAAATTAAAGTAACCATCTTAATGGGGAATAAATTAGAGGGTTAGGTTAAATAAGCCCGTGGAAGCAATTTGCCACGTGTTCCTTCAAGGGAGATTTGGCAGAAGGGGCAGGGGCCTACATTTCCTATTAAGGCCATTGCTGGAGGAGATTGGGTGGCTCAGGGGTGGTGGATGCAGATTAGGAGGTGTCTCCTTGGAGGCCTTGCTTGGAGAGGTGGAGGCCGAATGCCTGTGCTCTGGGGGCACCTGCACCCCTTGCATCAGGGCCAGCACTGTCCAGGCAGGGGCTGCTTTGTCTCGCATGCTGTTGAATCACATTCTGTTGCAAGTTCACCTTGGTTATGCGCTGCCTGTAGCACATGTGAGAGGGCTGTCATAGGTAGGGGTCCCTGATAAGCAGACTCTGAGATGCAGATAGGTTATTAAAGAGGTCCCTGGGGTCCACACCAGGGGAAGGGCAAGGGAGGAAGTGGGGTTGGGCAGAGGGGAAAGGGCAGTGTGATGTGAGCTACTGATTGCCGCAACAGACCCCAGGGTCCATCCTGGAACTGAAATGACCTCCAGAGTTGTCCTGATTTGGGCTGAGATGGCCAGGCCTTTTTCTGTCACTGTGTTGAGGGCGCCCTGGGGAGGGGCATATTCATGGGTGATGCAGCTCTGCTGCTGGGCAGCCTCCACTGGAGCTGACAGCCGGGCCTCTGCCAGTGCCACTCACAGCAACCTGGGCACGGGAGAACACAACAGCAGCTACGACAGGTGTTCCAGAGAAAGGACTGCTTTTATTTTTCTAAACTTATCTTTAGGTCTACTGTGTGTGTGTGTGTGTGTGTGTGTGTGTGTGTGTGTGTGTGTTTGTGTGTGTGTCTGTTTGAGATGGAGTCTTGCTCTGTCACCCAGGCTGGGGTGCAATGGTGAGATCTCGGCTCACTGCAACCTCTGCCTCCCGGGTTCAAGTGATTCTTCTGCCTCAGCCTCCTGAGTAGCTGAGATTACAGGCACTTGCCACCATGCCCAGCTAATTTTTGTATTTTTAGTAGAGACAGGGTTTCACCAGGTTGGCCAGGCTGGTCTCAAACTCCTGACCTCAGGTGATCCACCCACCTCGGCCTCCCAAAGTGCTGGGATTACAGGCGTCAGCCACCGTGCCCGGCCTGTGTGGGGTTCTTTTCCCCCACACTGACTAATCTGACCAATTCTCTGACACCACCTGGGTGTCCTACAATTCAGTGCAACTCAATTGTGATGCTAAGTAGAGTTAGTGCAGACCCCACAGGTTAAGGGCTCAGTCCCATAAGAATGCCCCCTATTTCAGATGCCAATATAGGTTCCCTGATCACTCACACTTCTGTCTGACTCAGCTACAAATTGGAGGTCCCCATGACCTCCTTTTTGGGTTCAATAATTTGCTAGAGCAGCTCTGAGAAGCCCAGTAAACAGTTTACTTGCTATTGTTGGTCAATGGTGAGAAAGGGTATTTTAGAGGATACAAATGCACCACCAGTTGAAGGGATACATATGGTGAGGTTTAGAAGGGTCCTGAGCACAGGGCTTCTGTCCCCAGGGAGTTAGGGTGTACCACCCTTCCAGCATGCTGATGTGTTCCTGTTCACCAATGCAGAAGCTCTCTGAACCCTATCCTTTTGGGTTTTTATGGAGGTTTCCTTATAGAATCATGATTGATTACATCATTGGCCATGGGTGATCAACACAGCCTTCAGCTCCTCTTCCTCCCGGGAGGTCAGGGGATGGGGTTGAAAGTTCTGACCCTCTAGTCAGAAGGTTGGTTTCCCTGGCACAGTCTCTATTCTGAAGCTATCCTGGAGCCCCAGCCATCAGTCATGCCATTATCATAGAAAAAGGCATGTTTCACTCGGAGATTCCAAGGGCTTTAGGAGCTATGTGTCAGGAAACAGGTGGAAGACCAAAATATATAGTTCTGTGTAGAATGAGGAGATGATTACGTCAATAGAAGACTACATATATGACCCTGGTCACATATTATGCTCCCATAATACTGTATTTTTACTGTACCTTTTCTAAATGTACGCATATGTTACAATTGCCTACAGTATCAGTAAAATAACATGTTGTTCAGGTTTGTAACCTAGGAGCAACAGGCTTACCATATAGCCTAGGTGTGGAGTAGGCTGTACCATCTAGGTTTGTGCAAGGACGCTCTACAATGTTTGCACAATGACGCATATCTTAGAATGTATCCCTTTTGAACACATGACTGCATTTATCAGATTGCAGCCTCACACTGCCCTTATAGGCATCTATCCTCATAGCCCTTATAGGCATCTATCCTCGTAGGTGTTCAGTGAGGCTTGTCTATTACCCTGACCTAGTTCTGGATCATTGGAATACAGGCATTTTGCTGAGATATCCTGCCCAGGACCCCTTCAGGCCTAGGGGCTCCTCTGCTTTCTCTGCCGTTCTTTGGGGAATGGGAACCGTCCAGCTACTTCCATCATGCTGGAGTGTGGAGATTCATGCGAGGATGAATATGGCCCAGTTGTACCATACTGTCACTTCCTCTCTGGGTTTATGCACTTCTGTAGAACCCACCTGTTAATTGTTCTGTTGTGTCCCCCTGCAAATCCATATGTTGAAGCCCTAAACCTCCCCAGACCCATGTGACTGTAGTTGGAGATAGGTCCCTTAGGGAAGTAATGGAGGTTAAATAAGGTTATAAGTTTGGGACCTCATCCAATAGGACAGTGTCCTTACAGAAAAGGAAGAGACACCTGAGAGTCTTCTCTTCTCCACAGGAGCACAGAGGAAAGGCCAGGTGAGGACCCAATGAGAAGGCTGCTGTCTGCAAGCCAGGAAGAGAGGTCTCACCAGAAACTCATCCTGCTGGTGCTTTGATCTGGGACTTACAGTCTGCATACTATGATACAATAAATTCCTGTTAAGACGCTCAATCTATGGCTTCCTGTTACGACAGCCTGAGCAGATTGAGACAGCATCCCCAGAAAGGATCTAGCTGGAGCATTGAGCTCCTCTGCTCTCCTATCCCTTCCAAATCTCATATTCTTACCCTTTCTTACCCTGTCTCGTCGGCCAGAAAATGTGTTGCAATTTGGTTGTAAGAATAAAGATGAAGTCTAACAATAGATTTAGAAAAAATAGTTACGTTCATAAGAGATTCATAGCTGTAATATACAAAGAGCTCTTAAAAATTAATAAAAAGATAACCGAACAAAACAACAGGCAAATATGAATAAGCAGCTCACAGAGGAGCAAATCTAAATGGCCAATAAACACATTAAGAAATGCTCAAGCTCACTGGAAAATACAAATTAAAGCAGCATTGAGTTACCACTTTCTACCCATCACACTAGCAAACATTAAGAAGACCAATAATATCTATTGTTGGAGGAGATATAGGGCAGAGGGAATTCATACACGCTGCTGGAGGACATGTAAATGGTTTCAGTCTTTTTGGAAAATGGCATGGCAATAGCTTGTAAAATAAAAAGAATATATATCCCCTTCTACCCAGCAGGCCCACTTCTGGGAACCTATTTCACAAAAATAAAAGCACCAAAGAGTAAGGGTAAGATATGCAATGTTGCCTCAAAGGAAACATCCATCAATAGGAATAGTTGAATAAATTACAGTACATTCATATCACAAATATTAGGCAAACATTAAAATAAATTAATTTCAAAGCTGCTCATTTGGAGAAATCTACAAAATATGAAACAAGCAAAGTGCAGAGAAGTGTATAAAAATGATCCTTTTGTAAAATAGTGAAAACCTTCCTTATATGAGAGGTGGAGGGAGAAAGGGAAAGAGTAAATCTTCCCCAAACTGAGCTTGTGTGATATGATCCTATTAAATATTGTGGCAATAAATAAAGATGTGTATGAGAGAATTCGGCCACCAAATCATTATTTTAGGGTTGAGAAATTTCAAGTAATTTCTTTCTCTGTTATACTTCTATGTACTGTTAGAAAAAGTTATAATGAGCACTTACTTTTATAGTAGTAATGCATTTTACTTAAAAAAAAAAAGAAAAAAAAAAAGGATCTCGCCACCCTCTCCAGTCCAGCACACCGCAGCCCAGCACAGAGGATGATTAATTCACGTCACATGCTTCTCCCAGGAGAGGGGCTGTAGGAACGACTTAGATGCACCTTCTGGGGACACCCAGCGGTAGTGTGTTAAGTCCCTCCAGCCATCCCCTGGAAGCTCCTCCTTTCAGTGCCGTTTCCTTCCTTGGGCCCCTGAGCTTGGGGTCTCAGGCCTCAGTGATGACTCATCACTGTGTCCCATCCCTGGCCCTAGATGGGGCTGTTCCACCAGCTGCCACTGGGTCTCTAGAGAAGCCAGGCCTCTCTTGCCTGGGCCCCAGATCCTTGTGCCTCTGGTTCATTTTCCAACTCTCTCCCTGAGTTAATGACCAGTGGCCCTCCTTGGGTAGTGCCTAGGAATCCTACTGTTTCTCACCCAAAAATACCTTCTCAAAAGCTCATTATTCCTTTAACTCTGAATTTCCTGAATTGCCTTTTCAGATTAAGCAGAGTCACCCCTCAGTGTCTGTGGGGGATTGGTTCCAGGACTCCCTGTGGATACCCAGATCCACAGATGTTCAAGTCCTTTATATAAAATGATGTGATATTGGCATATAACCTAAGCATATCCTCCTGTACACTTTAAGTCATTTCTAGATGACTTATAATACCTGATGCAATGCCTACACATCACTTCATTCTTGAGGATTCATCGTAGTACTTGGTGCATGGCAAAGTCAAGGTTTGCTTTTTGGAACTTTGTGGAATTAAAAAAATATATATTTTCAATCTATAGTTGGTTGAATCCATGGATGCAGAATCCACGGATATGGAGGGCTATTTTTCTCTCAAACCCCAGACCACATCTCACATTTTACCTTTCTATAGCTACACCATTTTTTATGTCCCTCCTCTTCTGAGAGGTGCTGGTCGTTTGGCCAGGGCTGGGAATGAGCTTCCTGAAGGACTCCTAGGATATCCCACAACAGGGAGGTGGAGAAAATGCAAGACAGAGACCTCCAGGAGGAGAGCAGGGGAGGAGCCAGAGAGAGCAGAGACACCCACAGCAAAGTCAGGGGCAGAATGAATGAGAGGGAAGCCACAATGAACGAGTGAACAGAAGTAGGCTGGGAGCGGCCGAGGTCCCTTTGTGGGTTCAGCCCTCAGGGGGTGGTATAAAGGCATCCATGTCTTGATGGGGTGCTTTACTCTTGGAATGTCATGAGCAAAGGTTGATGTGGACCAGAGGAATCAGGAAAAATTTTAAGGAGCCAGAACTCTAATTGGATGCTGGAGAATGGATATATACATTTTTAAACCTATTCATATTTTAGATAATCACACGAAAGCTGAAAAGGACCTTAGAGATAATCTGGCCCTATGCTGTCAAGTATAGTAGCCATTAGCCTCATGTGACTATCGAGCCCTTGAAATGTACTAGCTAGCTGAACTGAGATGTACTGTAGTGTGTAAGAGACATATCCAGTTTTTAAGACTTTGTATGAAAACAATAATGTAAAATATCTCCTAAAATTCTTTATATTAATTATAAATTGTACTTTTGGGATATATTGGATTAAATGCAATATATCATTAAAATTTATTTTACTGCTTTCTTTTTATAGCACAATCTTGGCTCACTGCAACCTCCACCTCCTGGGTTCAGGTGATTCTCCTACCTCAGCCTCCTGAGTAGCTGGGATTACGGGCATGCATCACCACGCCTAGCTAATTTTTTGTATTTTTAGTAGAGACGGGGTTGCACTATGTTGGCCAGGGTGGTCTCGAGCTCCTGACCTCGGATGATCTGCCTGCCTCAGCCTCCCAAAGTGCTAGGATGACAGGTGTGGACCACTGTGCCTGGTTTATTTTATTTATTTATTTATTTATTTATTTATTTATTGAGACAGAGTCTCACTCTGTCACCGAGGGTGGAGTGCAGTGGCGCATTCTCGGCTCACTGCAAGCTCTGCCTCCTGGGTTCATGCCATTCTCCTGCCTCAGCCTCCAGAGTAGCTGGGACTACAGGCGCCTGCCACCACGCCCGGCTAATTTTTTGTATTTTTTGGTAGAGACGGGGTTTCACTATGTTAGCCAGGATGGTCCCGATCTTCTGACATTGTGATCTGCCCGTCTTGGCCTCCCAAAGTGCTGGGATTACAGGCGTGAGCCACCGTGCCCGGCATGTGCCTGGCTTATTTTTTAAGCCAACTACCAGAAAATGTAATGTTCCATAGTTGGCTCACATTGTATCTAATCTGTTGGACAGGGCTGCTCTAGACTAGGGGTTGGCAAACTTTTTCTGCAACAGGCTAGTTAGTAAATATTTTAGTCTTTGCAGGTTGTATGGTCTCTTTCCCAACTATCCAACTCTCCCATTGTAGTGCTTGAGGCCTGTACAGAAACAGGTAAAAGGCCAAAGGCCTGTAGGCTATAGCTGGCTGTCCCATGTCTGGAGCAATCCTCTAATTATAGAGTTGAAGTTATTAGTGCCTGGAGGGAGAGAGACTTACACACATCATGTTATGCTAATACCAGAATTTACTAGACTTTCTGCCTGGTCTATTTATTTCCATTTTCAATAAATAAGCAAGAGCGCAGGTGTCCCTCTATGGATAAAAATACTATTCTATGTAAATCTGAAGGCTAGTTAAAGATGTGATAAGCATGGCTGTCTTTTACAAAAATACACGTTAATTATTGTGATTCCTGAAAGAGACTTCTCCAAGACTAAATCCAGCTAAAAGTGGCTCAGGTATTTCTGTTGATAGCTTTGGTGTCTCTCACTCCTCTTCTGATCAATGGTAAGGGTCTCTGTGAGTAAGAATGATGAGGTTTTTCTAAGCTCTGGCAAGACAATGAGGCCTTGGTGGTCCCTCAGAAAACACCTATGTATTTTGGGGCAGTCGAATTTGGATATATGTATTAAACAAATATAGAATTGGGAGAAGGGTGAAAGTGGTATCTTGATTCAGTTGGCAAAAAATATCTAATTGATTATTCTTTGCCTGTGGGTTCCATCTCTAGCCTCGAGTCCTTTTGCTCCTCAGGACAAATGAGTAGGTCGCCATGCCAACCTGCCTGCTCTGGCATTGGTGATGGCTCCTTCATATTGGGTGTGGGTCACTACTGTGGCAGGAAGTGACCCACTTGACATTCAGGTTCCCTCTTGGGTAGAGATTTCAGCATAAGAGCATTTCATGGTTCCTAAAATCCCTCTCCTTTGCTGCGTCCTAACTGTACCTTGCATTTTGGCCACTAATCAAACCTGATCTTCTCTTTCATGACTGTTTCACGCTCTTTCCCTTGAGAAACTTGTAATCTTCTTGAGGCATATTTCTATCTGTTTAACAAATATGACTGTTAATAATTTTTAAAAATGTGTTATGAAATATTTAAGATATGAAAAAGCTTTACAGATGAATATAAGAATGCCCATGCATTGCTCTGTGTACCATTTCCCACAGCATCTTCCCAGGTAACCTCTGCCTGAGTTTGTTGTTTATCATTCTCATGCATTTTATTTTTTACACATATGTATGTGTCTCTAAATATTATGTTCTACAGATTGAAAAATTTTACATAAATTGTACCATCATGTATATATTCTGCTACTCTTTTTTGTTTTGTGTTTGATATTTGCCAGAATTAGGTTTCAAAAATTTATCCACATGATACATTGATTTGTTTTTGCTGCTAAATAAGTTTTCATTGTATAAATATGCAATTTATATTTCTGTTCTCTTGGTGATGAATATCAGGTTGTTTGTAATTTTTGCTCTACAAACAATGCTACCTCAAATATTTTTGTGCCCATTTAGAAGAATCCGGGCTACATACCTTGTAATGGATTTCCTTGAGCCTAGGATGTGTACATGATACAATTTGGCTTTCTGTTCCCACCCAAATCTCACCTTGAATGGTAATCTCCAAGTGTTTAGGGAGAGGGAGACCTGGTGGGAAGTGACTGGATTATGGGGGTGGTTTCCCCCATCCTGTTCTCATGATAGTAGGTGAATTCTCACGAGATCTGATGGTTTTATGAATGGTAGTTTTTCCTGTGCTCTTACACAGTCTTCTCTCTCCTGTCACCTTGTGAAGAAGGTGTCTGCTTCCCCTTCTACCATGATTTTGTTTTCTGAGGCCTCCCCAGCCATGTGAAACTGTGAGGCAATTAAACCTCTTTCCTGCATAAATTACCCAGTCTTGGGTATTTCTTTATAGCAGGGTAAAAATGAACTAATACAGTACATCCGCAGCTTTATTGTATAGTGGCAGATTGGTCTCCAATGTGATTGCACCAATTTGTATGATACCCACCTTCCTATCCTTCCTTTTTCTCACCAACACTTAGTGTCATAAGACATTCATCTTTTGTTGTTGTTCATCTGTTGGTTATGAAATGGTAGCGTTTCAGATTGTGTATTTTTTTTCCTGATTTCTAGTGAGCTTGATCTTTCTGGTTTTTCATACTTTAACTTGAGCTTTTTGTTCTGTGAATTGCCTGTTCATATCTTTTGCCCATTTTTCTATTGAGCCATTTGTCTCTTTCAGTAATAGACATTTATACATTCTAAAAAGTTATCCTCAGTTGGTTATGTGGCTTACAAACACCTTTTCTCAAGTTCTGGGTTGTCTTTGCCACTTTTAACAGAATCTTCAGGGAAACAGAAGGAATCTTGCTATGTTGCCCAGGCTGGATTCCAACTCTTAGGCTCAAAGGATCCTCCCATCTCAGCCTCTTGGGTAGCTGGGACTACAGGAATGTACTACTGTGCTTGGCTGAGGTTTTCTACTTTAATATGGTGATAAGCTCCAGTCCCACGTGAGGTGATGTGGAAGCTGTGCATGGGGGCCAAGAAGTGGGCTCAGGGACACACGTTTCTTTAACTCCCTTTACCCATCAGCCCAGGGAACCCTGATACAGATAAAATAGCTAAGCAGACTAGAGGAAAAGAAGGCAGTCTGTGTTCTCTGCTTAGTGATTTTTTAGGTACTTAATATACTACTTTGAATCCCATGGTAATATTTGCCAAATGCCTCAATCGTAGGATAACTTAATTAAATATTACTTATAAGAATTTAATATTCATTATTGGCTTCAATTACTGTCTTTGTCCCCTCCCCTCTTTCTCCCACACTGGAGTGCTCTCTCCCCTCTCTTATTCCAAAGCTCTAATTAGGCTAATGGCTGCTGCTTGCAGTGACCTTGTGTCTGTTGAAAAACAAAAAAATAAATAAAGGCTCTCTTTGGTTTGCTTTCCCCAATGATCTTTGCATGTGGCAGCTCCAGCTCTTGAATTCCATGTTTCTTTCCTTTTTCAAATGCCTGAGCTCACTTGGGCTGTATAGCAGAATTAATGATGTGTATTTGAAAAGTCTTGGCAGCCAAATTGCAGCAAACACAAGAGGGCTGCAGCATTGGAGAGAGGGAGGAATTGAGAAAAACCCTGAACCTTCCCACAAGGACTCAGCAGCAAAGACTGCCACAAGGCTGACAGGGAAAAGCTTTCAAAGGAGGGGGCATGCACAAACCAAAATGCATTCTTTTTTATTCTTTCTTTCTCCATCTTGGAGCTTAATAGCATCCTTAGCTCCCCTCTAAGAGCGTTTCTTCCGAGGCTTTTGGGAGTCTTTCCCAGGGTCCTGCCTATAGCCCGTACACCACTGAGGGACCATCATGAAGGGAGGAAGCCAGGTGAGAGGTTTGTTCTCTGCTCTGGCTCAAAAGTCAATCTGTGCACTTATAGGTGCTGTATGTTGAGCTGGGCATTGTGGGGATGAAACATGGGAAAGCCCCAGTTTCTGGGAGCCAGAGAAGCACAGAGGGAACTGTACTACAGTCAGCTTGGGAGAGCAGGAACAAGCTTTATCAAAGAGCACTCGGGTTGCTGAGCAGCGAGAAACTGGTTCTGACAAAAGCTAGGTATGGGAAGGAGGGAGTTAGAGAGACTGACTCCAAGAGTAATGTTCGAGGTGTGCCTTAACGGGTGAGAAGGAGGTGGAATTAACCAAGGCGGGGATGCCATCTGGGCAGTGAGAAAGGGGAGGTGCTAAGTGCGTGTGAATCAGAGGAAGCATTACCCCAAAAGCATTTGGAGTGGTGCTTCCTCTGGTGGAGCTGGAACATAGGGAAGTTCTCTGGGGAAGCAGGATGACTCTATGCCTGGGAAGGTGAGAAGAGGAGGTGAGAAGGCAGTTTGCATCCAGGAGGTGAAGACCTTGAGTCCCAGGTAGGAATTTGGTCTCTATACTGGGAATACTTTATCCTGGGAGTATACTGAAGGTTTACAACATATAGGGGATGATGTAGTCTAAGGTGTGTTTTAAAGTAATACCTCCTGTAGCAGTAAGAAGGGTGAGTCTATGAGGAGATGAAAAGAGACAGTGCATGGAAGAGACCAGAACCAGACAGAGCAGCTGGCAAGCACTTGCTCACATGAGTAGAGATGCAAGTCTAAAATTAAAGGCACTTGGGAGGTAGATTCAGCAGGACGTGGTGACCAAGGGGACGTGGTGGTTGTCCAAAGCTGGTTAGCCCTGATCATGAGCCATGCTGCAAACTCCCGTGAGGAGGAGAGAGTGATTGAGACCAGCTGCAGGCAGAGGCCAAGCAGAACTAACCCAGAGAGAGGCTGTCCCCAGTGGCCCAAGTCACTAGATTCACAGAGACAGAGCAAACTTAAGCCTGGTCCAGGCCCCTTGACATCTGAGGGGTCATGTCTGAGAGGGCAGGGTGAGACACAGGGTTAGAGCTTCTAGAGGATCCCAGGGAGGGAGTGATGACATCAGGACCCTAGCCTAATTCAGGGTTCCAGGCCTGACTTCAGTACTAGTGCAGAGCCCAGGATGTAGCCCATTGTTCAGACTGTCCCCAATTTCTGTTATTCAGGAAGGAGACTTGTCCACCTACTGCTTCTAAATGTACCCAAAGGCCAAGTTCACTCTCAAAGCACCCACGCCACCTAGGTTTGTAGCCACAGAAAAATTCTACAGCCCATGTACAGGCAAATATCTTTGCAATGGCCTCTTTTTGTTGGGATACTGAGCTGAGCCTATCTTTGGAGTCACTGATACATGTTGGGGTCATCTGGGCAGAACTGAAATTGAAAGTGCTGACAGCAGACTGGAATAGGGCAAGGAGGAAGTGAGGGGAAGTGACTTTCCCTAGGACAGCCCTTACTTACTGAATGGCAGAATTGGAACCATAGTCAACAACTTTTAACTTCTATTCTCATGTCTCTGTGTAATAGAACTATGGTCCTGGAGAATTTTCTTGTTTCCTCTTAGATCTTAGACCCCCGAGCCAGCGGTGGTTGTGCTGCCTGTACTAATGGCAGAGCCGTGGCTGAAGCATATTTTCAGGCGGCTCTTGTTATGGCTATTTCCCAGAAGGCTGGGCAAACTGAGTATGGTGTAGAATAGTGGTTATGGGAAAATATTCTGGAGCCAGACTGCCTGGGTTCAAATCCTGTTACTGCCACCTACTAGCTATATGTCCTTGGGCAAGTGATTGAGCTTGCCTCTACTTCAGTTTCATATTCCGTAAAGTGCGTAGAGTAAGCAGACGTCCTCAGCGGTTTGGTTAACGCCTGTTTTCTTAGTATAATTATTAACGGTATTCCCTTTTCCTCTCAAAAATATCTTGTTTTGGATGAAACATCATATGGTCACTCTAAATACAGGGTGAGAAGAGTACCTATTTTATGAGGTTATAAAAATTAAATATGTGAAGACTCTTAGATGTGTCTGATAATATATGTATAGGCCTCTGTTATTAATGATATACCGGATATTGCATTAATTTTCCTAGGGCAGTCATAACAAATCAGTACTAATTAGGTTGGTGCATAAAAAAATTAATGGCAAAAACTGTAGCTACTTTTGGACCAACCTAATACACACTAGAAGGCTTAAAACAACAGGAATATATTCTCTTACAGTTCTGGAGGCTACAAGATGGAATCAAGGTGTCAGCAAGGTTGCCCTTCCTCCGAAGACTCTACAGAAGAATCTTCTAGCTTCTGCTGGCAGCTGGTGACCCCTGGCAATCCTTGGATTGTGACAGGATCACTTTAATCTCACGCCTTGCCTTCACTTGGATTTTTTCCCTGTTTGTATGTCTGTATAAATGTTCCTCTCCTTATAAGGACACCAGTCATGGGATTAGGGGCTTATCCTAATCCAGGATGACATCATTTTAACTTGATTACCTCTCAAAGACCTTATTTCTTTTTCTTTTTCTTTTTTCTTTTCTTTTCTTTTTTCTTTTTTTTTTTTTTTTTTTTGCAATGGAGTCTTGCTCCGTCGCCCAGGCTGGAGGGCAGTGGCACGATCTTGGCTCACTGCAACCTCTGACTCCCTGGTTCAAGTGATTCTCCTGCCTCAGCCTCCCAAGTAGCTGGTATTACAGGCGTGCACCACCATGCCCAGCTAATTTTTGTATTTTTGGTAGAGATGGGGTTTCACCACGTTGGCCAGGATGGTCTCAATTTCCTGACATTGTGATCCGCCCCCTTGGCCTCCCAAAGTGCTGGGATTACAGGTGCGAGCCACCAGGCCCGGCCAACCTTATTTTTAAATAGGGCACCTTTGCAGGTTCCAAGTGGACATGAATTTTTAGGGAAATGTTATTTGAGTACAGACAGATAATATATCTCATGTCTCAATTACATTTGGAGCTATTTGACTTTTATATTTAGCATGAAACTTGGTGTGGCATAGTAGGTAGTTGATCTTTGATAGATACAATGTTGCAAAATGATGGCCTTTGTGGGTTTATTGTGGAGGCAACAGCTGAGGCAAGGGAATTAGGGAAAAAAAGAGAGGCAGAAAGAAATATTTCTTCATGTCATCTCTCCCTTGGCTCAGCGGAGAATCTAGTTTCTAGGAGGTGTCAATCTCATCGCTTGCCTCACCCTTTGGCTAATCTTTAAAAAAAGAAAAAAGCCTTCAAATCATTCTTAAAAAATAATTTCAACAATGCAAATCAACAACCGCACACACAAAATCCAACAAAAAGACCCCTCGGCACATCAAGAAGATGCTGATACCAAAAGCTGAAATAGCTTCTCCATAATGCAATGAAATGTATTAAATTCAATAGACATCAAAGGAACTTCGGGAGCAATTGCTGAATTTCCGAAGTAAACAGGGCTTTCAAAAGAAACAAAAACAGCACTGGGATCTGGGGGGTGGGAGCGCATTTTGAGGGGGCAAAGCATGGAATCCCCGGGCTCTTGATCAAAGGGGGAATTCTTTAAAAAGTAGCAATAAATGAAGACTTGAAAACTGTTTTTGATCCAAACTGCCCCAGGTATGGGTACTGACTGCAAAAGACAAATCCATTTCCAAATAAGGGAGGCCAACAATTCCGTCTCCAGCCTTACATTTTGCAGGTTATTCAAAGGAAAGAAATAATTCCAGACAAAAGGGATCCAGATAAGCAAAATGCAGCCTCATGTGGGCTGCAAAGCAGCAGAGGGCCTTTGTGTCTGGAATAGTTTAATGAC
Organism: Homo sapiens; assembly: GCF_000001405.40. Classification (NCBI taxonomy): domain Eukaryota; kingdom Metazoa; phylum Chordata; class Mammalia; order Primates; family Hominidae; genus Homo; species Homo sapiens. The sequence continues at coordinate 21,446,937 of NC_000008.11, read as the reverse complement.
AATTCTGGCACCCTCAATCTCGGAGACATTAACATTTTAAAATTGAAAGGTGGGGTGTGCGTGTGTGTGTGTGTGTGCATGTACTCATGTGTGTGCATACCTAATTGTGTGACTGGGTGTCTGGCAGAACGGAGAGAGAGATGCCCCCACGGGCAGAAAAACTACAGCCCATATACTGTTCAATGGGATTCATGCTACCCTGTTAGGGACACCGAGTGGGTTTATTGTGGAGTTCTCTGAGATCATCAAAGTATAGAATCCTGCAGGCTGGGGATCGCTCAACCTCCCTCTTAGGGTTCAAATGTACAAAATACAGTTCGAAAAAGATAAAAAGTGACTTGTCCAACATTACATAGATTCATTAAATGACATTCCTTCCCCGACAGGCTAAATTTGGAATTTAACCCCTTCCCTGCTTATATAGCTATCTGAGGAATAAGAGGATTTTTCTCAAGCAATCATATATAACCGAGTGTCCAGCCCAGTGGTTCCAAAACCTGTCTCATTATTAGGATTACCTGGCTGATTTTAAAAACACAGATTCTTATTAAACATAAAGTTGCTCTGAACATTCATGAGCAGGCATTTGTGTGCACAGGTGCTTTCATTTCTCTTGGGTAACCACCTAAAAATGCAGTGGCTGGTTCATATGATAGATGCATATTTACCTTTTTTGAGAGATGGTTGAACTGTTTTCCAAAGTGGCTGTGTCATTTTATATTCCCAGCAGCAGTGGACAAGCATTCCAATAGCTCCACATCCTCACCAACACTTGCAATGGTTGGTCTTTTTAAATGTTAGTCACTCTAATACTTGTGGAGGGATATCTTGTTGAGGTTTTAATCTGAATTTCTCCAGTGATAAATGGGGTTAAGCATCTTTTCATGTGATTATTTGCCATTGGTATATCTTTTTGGGTGAAGTGTCTGTTCAAATATTTTCCTGATTTTTAGATTTTTTTCCTCTTATTATTAAGGTTTAAGAGTTTGAATGTGAATGTTCCTAGAAGCCTTATTTGGAATGGCGTCACACTGGAAACAACACAGATGTTCACTAACAACTGAATGGCATATCCTTGGGATTGAATCCGCTCAGCAATAGAAGGGGACATGAAAACATGTGAGAACACACATGAATCTCAAGACAATTATACTGACCAACAGAAGCCACATACTGCATGATTCCATATTCTATATAACTATAGAAACACATACTGTATGATTCTATATTCTATATAAAAGTGCAAACTAACTTAGAGTGACATAAAGGTCAGTGGTGGCCTGATGGTGTGGGGGATCCTGGGAGTAGGGGAAGGAGAAGAATTATAAAAGGCCTTGAGGAAACTTCTGGGGTGATGGACATATTTATGATCTTGGTTATGGTGATGGTTTTACCAGTGTATATGTACGTGAAGACATCAAATTGTTCACTTTGAACATGTGTAGTTGGGCATAAAAAAAAAAAGATCTAGATCTGAATTTGACTGAAAATCAAAACCAAAACCACATCACCTCTCTGCATCTTAGTTTTCTGCATCTGTGCAAATGGAGTCATAACCTGAAATATCTTCCCAGTACTCTTGTGAGGCTTAAACTAAGTAAGCAAATGGAAGTGCCTGGCCCAGAGTAGGTCTCAGTAAGTGGATATTCATTTAATTCCCATTTTCATAAGAATCCTCAAAAGAGAAGTGGTGGGCTCTAGGAGAACACCCCAGGTGGGGGCCCTGGAGCATGTGTGTGTGCCTGTGAACGTGTGTGTGTGTGTACATGTGTGCACACACATGTGTCCAGGTGAGGCTGACTCTGACTAGCCAAGGTTTAGCATGAAAGTCCCTGAAGACTTTGGGAAGTGGGATTAGCATTACTAACATCCGTGTTTACTTCCTACATTCCCCACCAAAAGGCCTTAAGAAAAAACACCAGCTCCCATGTGGGATTGCAGTGATTAATGTTTATCTCATTCTGCATCAGGGCTCCAGGCTGGAAGCTTGGGCTCCTTTCTGCCAGCCTTTATCATATTGTTACCTGGTTAACCAGCTCAGATCTTGCAGCCAAAACCAAAGGGAGGCAGCCCAAGTGGGCGTCTTTCTTTACTTCCCTGCCTCTTCCTCCCTCTTTGAAAGCTCTGTGGCTTGCTGCTCCATTGTCGGATGAGCTACAAAGGCTCTCCAGGTGCACGGCGAGCAGGAGTGTGACACGCGGGCACGCATACACGCGCTCGCACACACGCTCTGCTTCCAGCCGGGGCCAGGGTGATGAATTGCGGCATTTGAAAGTCTCCTTATCGCGGTGATGCACATGGGCTGGGATGTGTGTGCCTGTGCGGGTGTCGGAAGAAAGCAATGGGGAGCCTGGAATGAGAAAATAGAGCTCCTGGCTCCCCTTGTCCCTGCCTCTTTGTCTAGATGCAATTTCAGATGCTGCTGGGTGTCTTGTCAGCAAGTCTTTTGCAAAATAAATGGAGGTAATATTTTTTAAAAAGCTGATTTGTTCAGTATTTAGCCCACGGAGAAAATGTGCACACACGTCAATGAAAGACCTGCTCCCTTGTGTTGATGTGATGCCAAGAAGGAAGAAAGCAACCCTTTACTGAGTGCCTACTGTGTGCTAAGTCCTTCATGGACATATGCTGGCATGAGCCTTGGCACCTCCTGTAGGAGGCAGGTACTAAATAAATGCCACCAGGCTTGAAGTGGGTTAAAAGTTGGGGAGTTGCCTCTGTCCTCCTGTCTATCACGGATGGCCTGGTGTCAAGAAACGCGCCTCCACCTAGGAGGTGCTGGGCACCGTGGGCAGGAAACTGAAAAGGCACATCTTGAATTTAGAGAGCACTGGACTTCCACGGTAAATCAAAGCACTTCTTTCTGTCTTTTTTTTTTTTTTTTTTAAATTATTTACTGTCTTCATTAAAGACACATTCTGCTTACTGTTAGGCTGCAGGCAATACTAATGGAATTAAAAGAAAGAAAAAAACTGCAGGCAATTAAATGACTAAGTCCTTTTGTCCTGGAAACAACTCTGAAAAAAAGGATGTATCATTTCTCCAAAGACTAGGGCAGGGAGTTGACGGATTTTCCCCTCCTCCCCACCGCTTACCACCTACTCTTCTGTCTATTTTTTGGGGAGTGGTGAATGAAGAGCATTAGTTCTTCTGGAACTTTCCACTCATGTTTCACATACTGCCATACTGTCTTCCCAGCTCACCCCAGTGACAACTGTGCTGAGAAGGTCCATTGCATTTACTTCTTGTCAAAAGTGTTACTACCAGAGTGAGTGATTCTATGGGAAGCTTGAGGATACTTTCCAGATAAGGGATCTTAGGTATGAACCATCACTGGCTGAGATAATTAATACACATTCAGTGCTTTACCGCTTACTCCATTTCTACTCCCATTTGGTTCTTACAGCTTTTCTGTAACACATGTAGGTGTATTTGCCCCATTTTACAGATAAGAGAACCGTGGCTCAGTTTGAGAAATTTAAAAAAACGTGCCGAAGGTCAAACAGTAGTGAAACCAGAACCTTGATCTCAGGTCTCCTGACTGCTCTACTGTTTTCTCAGTGCCTAGGGCAGCATATTTTCTGAGTCAGAACTCCAGGTATATGATTTGAGAAGACTGAGTATTATGATATTTGCATCAGAATCATTCTGGGAAGTTAAAGGGTCCAGTCTTTATCATTGCACCATATTGCTGGCGTGGATCCACCAAATGTGAGCCTTAGAGCCTCGAGAATAAGAGGTGAGGGCAGGACAGGCTCTGAGTTGACCTGCAGAGTGGTTGCGGAGGATGCAAGTTCTTGAGACTTCTGCCTTCTAAGACCCATGAACCATCCAAGCAAATGCTCGGGCTGTTTTCTCTCTGTGGTCACCAGATGGTCTCCAATGTGGACAAAGCCTGTAGGCCTTAAAATAACAACAGTTTTAGATTTGGTTGCCAATTCACATGTGTGATTTGCTCTTAGCTACCTATTTTAAAGTCGTTGGTGGTTACCATTTTGCCTTGGGCAGCCTTGCCCCCGATGACTGGCTGTCTTCCACAGGACTGGCAGCCAAGGCAAAGGAAGAAAAAGGATTAAAAATTGGAACTTTCCTTTCTTATCTATTGACAAAGTCAATGCTATCTTCCCAGTTCATTGGAGTAATTGTGTTTGGTTCTTTATGAAAGGCAATTTTATTAATTTTTTTTTTTTTTTTGAGATACGGTCTTGCTCTGTTGTCTAGGCTGGAGTGCAATGGCTTGATCATAGCTCACTGCAGCCTCCTGAGAAGCTGGGACCACTGGCATGCACCACCACACCCAGGTAATTTTAATTTGTTTGTAGAGACAGAGTCTTGCTATGTTGCCCAGGGTGGTCTCAAAATTCTGGGCTCAAGCAATCCTCTTGCCTTGGCCTCCCAAAGTGCTGGGATTATAAGTGTGAGCCACTATGTCCAGAGAATTTCATTAATATTTAATGATAGCAATAGTATCAATAATATCAACAGAATCCTTTCCAAATGCATAGAGCTTTGGAGTTTGCAGAGCTCCCACTGAACAGCCACAGGCACCTCAACTTTAAGTTGTTCAACGTGAGCTGTTTTCTTTGCTGTTCCCTTCTGTCAGTGTTCCCTGACTCAGTATTGTCACCATCCCACATCCTGATGTTCAAGCCAGAAACCCTGGAATCACCCCAGATCCCATACCACTCTCCACATGCAGGCAATCTTCCAACAAAGTCGGTTCTTTCTCCAGTTTTTTCAATTTACCTGTGTTTCCCCATTCGCAGTACCAATGCTTTATTCCAGGCCACTGTGGTGAGTCTTGGTGGGAGGAAAGGCTCAGTGTTTCCCCATGGAAACTGAAAAGTCTAGACATGTGTTCCTAGGACCCTGGGCAATTGGATGTTCCCATTTGGGACTTAGAATTTGGAGTAAGAGCTGCAAAGAAATGGGAACAGTTTGGAATTGACTGCAGTGGCTGCTGCAGCAGCGTCTTCATTCGCACAGTGAGGCAGGGGGCAGCCATAGGCTGGGGAATATTCTAGCCAGCAGTGGTGTTGGCAGCATCCTAAACCACCTGTCCCGTTGGGCAGCTGAAGCTGGGGTCTGGCCTCCTTACCTCCTTGGGTGCTACCCATTTGCCTTGTCAATTCTGTGAGATACCCAGCAGCTTTACAATGATTGCTTTTTTTTGATTTAACTGGGTTAGTTCCTGTTGCTTGCAATCAAGGACCCCGACTAGGGCGAGGTCCTGGCCTCTCTGCTATGCAAGACATTTCCTAGGATGCTACATGGACAAAATCCAACAGCCTGCAGCCTCAGGGCCCTATGAACTGATGCGTGCATTTTAGAATTGTCTGGAATGTAGTTGGGCAACGCTGATGTGGACTTTCCACTAATATGGTCTCACCTCCTCCCAGGCTACTTAGAATCTGAGGAAAACTCAAAGATAAAACCATTTAAGGCACGTAGAGCAGAAGGAATTTTACTTGCAGAGAAAGTTTTTAAAGGATTGGCCACCAAATAAAAATCGCTACAAATATTTACAGGGAAAAAACAAAGCACAAGATTTTCAAGGTTATCAAGTTGACAGTCTGCCCTTGGTGGACAAACAACAGTTTTCTCATATGAGTATCGTGTTTCCCAAGTTTATGACAAGTCTTCAGCTTTCAGCTTTGAAAATTCAGGGCACAGCTGTTCTTGTTAGGGAGTCAGTAATTTACAAGAAAGCTCAAGGTTTCCTTTATTTTTGAAACTAGAGCTAGACAGGGAGGCTCTGGGGCTTTTGTTGTTATGTTTGCTTGTAGAGTTGGTGCTGGTTATTCATGATAGTTCTGTTTTACAAAGTTGCCATGAACACTGAATTAGCCAATACTTACCCGTTGTTCCCAGGGGAAATACAGGGTTAGGTTCCTGACAACCACTGTTCATAACATTTTCATCAATCAGTCAATACAGGACCTTGTTTTATGTGTTTCTGTTTGAAGATACTATATTTAATTTGCATCATTGATTCATTAACATTGAATCACGGCCAACACTATTATTCATAGCTGTTTAAAGCCTGTCTAACACACATATTTTCTTTATAAGACACATCACAGCCTTCTTGTGCTTGGGAACTCTAGACAGCTATTGAGCACTACACTTGGGGGCCATTTTAAATAGTGAGATCACCAACAAAGAGCAAGAAAATACAAAAGACGTGGCACTCAATGGACCATTGAAGAGGACACTTGTTTGCAGTATGGGAGGTGAAGCAAGAAGGCAGAGTGTTTGTTACCTTGTTGGAACTCCACTGGGAACATGCATATAAGCAACTCCAAGTTTTTGCCACTCTGTGGATGTCCAAGTAGTGCGTTGAGCATTGGTTTTAGGATTATGAATCAATTCTAGGGTGTGCAGAGTTGGTGAATAATGAAGACCAACTGTATGCATGCATGCACGTATGCTGTACATATGTATTTTGGCTTATCTAAGGGTACAAAGAGCTTTCTATATCCCTTTATTGTGAGTTGAAAAAAGTAAAAATTAGTTCAGACTAGATGAGATGTGCATACTGTTCTTTAGTGGCTGAAGGTCAAGGTGTGAATTTTGTTTCCAAGTCAAATCTCCTTAGGCCCTTCACATGAAAAAACAGCTATACCTCTAGGGCAGTGGTTCTCAAAGTGGGGTCCAGGAGCTCTTAGTGTCCAAAACTATTTCAGCTGGTCAATGAGGTCAAAACTATTTCAATAGTAGTGAGATGTTATTTGACTTTTCCACTCTTGTTCTCTCATGAGTGCAGAGTGGGGATTTCTAGGGAATTCGGGACATATGACGATACCATTGCTCTGCTAAACCAAAGTTTATCCCATCAACATACATGTGTAATTGAAGACCTCAGTAATTTGTCTTGAGAACAGAATAATTTGTACTCCCTGCTTGAGGTTGGGGAAAGTCCTCTAGGGGTCACTTATAGGATGGGTCTGTCCCTTGCTCACTCTCGGATGCATCCAGACCTCCCCTATTTGCCCACTCTGACTTCCATGATTGTGCAAGCTTTGCCCCTTGACCTCTGACCCCTCTGCATTGTGAGACCTCATGGTCCCTTGACCCCTGTTGGGACATGTATCCTGCTGCTTTGTTGCCTTTGGTTCTCTTCCCAGGCCTGGCTGCCATGGCTGTGGACAGAGGCAGCTGCCGCTCCCAAACGTCCTTTCTAGCTCTGACATGTGGGTTGTCCATGCCCCTTCCTGGTGGTGGCCACCTCAGGGTGCTGCTGCTTCCACAGACTTGTCTGTCACTAATTAGGCTGTGCTCCTTCCTCCCCCATCTCCTCCCTTGTACTCTCTCTTCCTATTTCCTCTTCTGTCTCTTCTCATTCTCACTTGGTTTTGTCCAAGTAGGCAGCCCAGTGGATTTGTATCAATAAGAAGCAATCAGGGACTGCCATAATACTTGCAATCAATAGATAATTGCATCAGGGTGATTCCATTACCTCAGGCTTCCATGCACTGATTACCGCTGAGGCCTTGCCATTCCAGTAGCTGTATCTCTGCTGTGCTGCAGGCTTTGGTGGAGCAGAGGGTAGGGGGCTGCTAGGTTGAGCCCCGGGGAGCCTACCCCGGGCCTAGGCAGTTGTGGGGCCCATCAGGGTCCAGGGTCAGGGTCAGGGTCAGACACCAGGAAATCAGACACAGGCGTGAGAGTCTGATGGGCTGATGAATGAGTCCAGAGGTAGCCTGGAGTCGGGCAGCAGGATCAACAGGACTAGAGCCCTGAGAAGCACATTCTGGAGTGGCCTTCTTGGATAGAGGCAACTACCCTCATGGCCCCCAAACCACTTTAACTGATGTTTAATTTGTATTGTGCTTTTCAATGCAGATAGCGCTTTCTCATACAGGACCTCACCCCAACCCTACAGGTTAAGTGTGACCATCCCTACTATACAGGTGAGAAAGTGGGATCCCAGAGGGGAGGCCGGGCTGAGGGCTCAGTGTTACTCAGCTTCCAAGCTGAGAAGCCACAACTCAAACTCGATATTGAATTTAAAGTTGTAATCCACAGTGGAGTTCAAAGTTTGGTATGCTTTTTCTAATAGACCCAGAAAAATAAACAAACCCCACTGCCTTGGTAGAGCACTTCTACACATGTCACTTCAGCTGTCCTGTGAGAAGGGCAGTGTAGTATATTATGGACATTTGACAGATAAGGACCGTAAGGTTCAGATTAGGGTGACCAGTTGTCCTGGCTTGTCTGGGGCTAAGGGAGGGCTCCTGGAATTTTCAATGCTGACCAGGAAAGTCCTGAGATGAGTGGCCACCTTAGTTCTGGTAAAGCTGTGTTGACTTATTATAATGGCTGCTGATAGATTCCTTTCTCATAGCAATAAGCTACTCCAGGTAACTGCCTGTGCACCCATTTTACCTCTTGTCTTTAAGACTAATATAATAGCAACAGCTATGATTTAGTGAGTGCTGATGGGACACCATGGCGTGTCACATAGTTGGTAATAATAGCCAACACGTTTTTAGCACTTTCTGTGTGCCAACCACTCTTCTAAGCACTTTACAAACATTAACTTGTTTAATCCTTTTTTTTTTTTTTTTGAGATGGAGTCTCACTCTGTTTCCCAGGCTGGAGTGCAGTGGTGTGATCTTGGCTTACTGAAACCTACACCTCCTGGGTTCAAGTGATTCTCCTGCCTCAGCCTTCCAAGTAGCTGGGATTACAGGCACTCACCACCATACCCAGCTATTTTTTTTTTTTTTTTTTTTTTTTAGTAGGGACAGGGTTTCACCTTTTTGGCCAGGCTGGTTTTGAACTCCTGACCTCATGTGATCTACCCACCTTGGCCTCCCAAAATGCTAGGATTACAGGTATGAGCCACCGCGCCTAGCCCCATTTAATCCTTTTACAGAGGAGAGAACAGAAGCAGAGAGAGGTTGAGTATTTTGTCCAAGCTCATGCAGCCAGTGAGGGATGAAAACAGGTCTCAAATGTGGCCATCTGACTTCCGAGTATCCCCTTGTAACTACTTGCCTCTGTAATCTTGGACAAACGCTTAGACAACAGGAGATATTTCCACTGTGATCTTTATGGAAAATAAAACTGAGGGAGAGAGTAATTTCTTGTTAAATGAATAAATGAATGAGTGAATGAATGAATGGGGAGTCCTATAACTTTCCCGAGATCACAAAGTGAATGACGCCTATTCCCCTGTATACAATGGGACACTAGTCAGTAAAAGAAATAAAATAATAGAGATGAAGGTCAAAAGCAATATGTTTTGGAGAAGAAGCTTGACACAAAAGACAACATTCTCTTTCATAGGAGTCCTTATTTATGAAGTTCAAGACTGGATCAAATCTATAGTGATAACTTTCAGAATTGTTCTTGCCTATAGATGGTGGGGGTTGACTAAAAGGGGTCCTAAGGGAAATTTCTGGGGTGATAGAGATGTTCTATGTCTCTTTTTTTTTTTTTTACTATACTTTAAGTTCTGGGATACATGTGTGGAACGTGCAGGTTTGTTACATAGGTATACATGTGCCATGGTGTTTTGCTGCACCCATCAACCCACCATTATATATTAGGTACTTCTCCTAATGCTATCCCTTCCCAGCCCCCCACCCCCTGACAGGATCTGGTGTGTGATGTTCCCCTCCCTGTGCCCAGATGTTCTCATTGTTCAACTCCCACTTATGAGTGAGAACATGCGGTGTTTGGTTTTCTGTTTTTGTGTTAGTTTGCTGAGAATGAGGGTTTCCAGCCAGGTTTGCATCCAGGTCCCTGCAAAGGACATGAACTCATTCTTATTTATGGCTGCATAATATTCCATGGTGTATATCTGCCACATTTTCTTTATCAAGTCTATCACTGATGGACATCTGGGTTGATTCCAAGTCTTTGCTATTGTGAATAGTGCTGCAATAAATATATGTGTTCATGTGTCTTTATACAAGAATGATTTATAATCCTTTGGGTATATACCCAGTAATGGGATCACTGGGTCAAATGGTATTTTTAGGTTTAGATTCTTGAGGAATCGCCACACTGTCTTCCACAATGGTTGAACTAATTTACACTCCCACCAACAGTGTAAAAGTGTTCCTCTTTCTCCCCATCCTCTCCAGCATCTATTGTTTCCTGACTTTTTAATGATCACCATTTTAACTGGCATGAGAGGGTATCTCATTGTGGTTTTGATTTGCATTTCTCTAACGATCAGTGATGATGAGCTTTTTTTCCATATGTTTCTTGGCCGCATAAATGTCTTCTTTTGAGAGTGTTTGTTCATATCCTTTACCCACTTTTTGTTGGGGTTTTTTGTTTTTTTTTCTTGTAAATTTAAGTTCCTTGTAGATTCTGGATATTAGCCCTTTGTCAGATGGATAGATTGCAAAAATATTCTTCCATTCTCTAGGTTGCCTGTTCACTCTGATGATAGTTTCTTTTGCTGTGCAGAAGCTCTTTAGTTTAATTAGATCCCGTTTGTCAATTTTGGCTGTTGTTGCAATTGCTTTTGGTGTTTTAGTCATGAAGTCTTTGCCCATGCCTATGTCCTGAATGGTATTGCCTAGGTTTTCTTCTAGGGTTTTTATGATTTTAGGTGTTACGTTTAAATCTTTAATCCATCTTGAGTTAATTTTTGTATAAAGTGTAAGAAAGGCGTCCAGTTTCAGTTTTCTGCATATGGCTAGCTAGTTTTCCTAACACCATTTATTAAATAGGGAATCCTTTCCCCATTGCTTGTTTTTGTCAGGTTTGTCAAAGATCAGATGGTTGTAGATGTATGGTGTTATTTCTGAGGTCTCTGTTCTGTTCCATTGATCTATATATCTGTTTTGGTACCAGTATCATGCTATTTTGGTTATTGTAGCCTTGTAGTAAGGTTTGAAGTCAGGTAGCATGATGCCTCCAGCTTTGTTCTTTTTGCTTAGGACTGTCTTGCCTATACAGGCTCTTTTTGGTTCCATATGAAATTTAAAGTAGTTTTTTTCTAATTCTGTGAAGAAAGTCAGTGGTAGCTTGATGGGAATAGCACTGAATCTATAAATTACTTTGGGCAGTATGGCCATTTTCACGATATTGATTCTTCCTATCCATGAGCATGGAATGTTTTTCCATTTGTTTGTGTCCTCTCTTATTTCCTTGAGCAGTGGTTTGTAGTTCTCCTTGAAGAGGTCCTTCACATCTCTTGTAAGTTGTATTCCTAAGTATTTTATTCTCTTTGTAGCAATTGTGAATAGGAGTTCACTCATGGTTTGGCTCTCCATTATTGTATAGGAATGCTTGTGATTTTTGCACATTGATTTTGTATCCTGAGACTTTGCTGAAGTTGCTTATCAGCTTAAGGAGTTTTTGGGCTGAGAAAATGGGGTTTTCTAAATATACAATCATGTCATCTGCAAACAGAGATAATTTGACTTTCTCTCTTCCTATTTGAATACCTTTTATTTCTTTCTCTTGCCTGATTGCCCTGGCCAGAATTTCCAACACTATGTTGAAAAGAAGTGGTGAGAGAGGGCATCTTTGTCTTGTGCCAGTTTTCAAAGGGATTGCTTCCAGATTTTGTCCATTCAGTACGATATTGGCTGTGGGTTTTTCTTAAATAGCTTTTATTATTTTGAGATACATTCCATCAATACCTAGTTGATTGTTTTCATTATGAAGGGGTGTTGAGTTTTGTTGAAGGCCTTTTCTGCATCTATTGTGGTAATCATGTGGTTGTTGTCATTGGTTCTGTTTATGTGATGGATTACGTTTATTGATTTGAGTATGTTGAACCAGCCCTGCATCCCAGGGATGAAGCCGACTTGATCATGGTGGATAAGCTTTTAAAAGTGCTGCTGGATTCAGTTTGCCAGTATTCTATTGAGGATTTTCGCATTGATGTTCATCACGGATATTGGCCTGAAATTTTTTTTTTGTTGTTGTGGCTCTGCCAGGTTTGGTATCAGGATGATGCTGGCCTCATAAAATGAATTAGGGAGGAGTCCCTCTTTTTCTATTGTTTGGAATAGTTTTAGAAGGAATGGTACCAGCTCCTCTTTGTACCTCTGGTAGAATTCGGCTACCAGAATCTGTCTGGTCCTGGGCTTTTTTTTTGGTTGGTAGAATATTAATCACTACCTCAATTTCAGAACTTGTTATTGGTCTATTCAGGGATTCAACTTCTTCCTGGTTTAGTCTTGGGAGGGTGTATGTGTCCAGGAATTTATCCATTTCTTCTAGATTTTCTAGTTTATTTGCGTAGAGGTGTTTATAGTATTATCTGGTGGTAGTTTGCATTTCTGTGGGATCAGTGGTGATATCCCCTTTATCATTTTTTATTGTGTCTATTTGATTCTTCTCTCTTTTCTTCTTTATTAGTCTGGCTAGTGGTCTACCTATTTTGTTAATCTTTTCAGAAAACTAACTCTTGGATTCATTGATTTTCTGAAGGGTTTTTCATGTCTCTATTTCCTTCAGTTCTGGTCTGATCTTAGTTATTTCTTGTCTTCTGCTAGCTTTTAAATTTGTTTGCTCTTGCTTCTCTAGTTCTTTTAATTGTGATGTTAGGGTGTTGATTTGAGACCTTTCCTGCTGTCTCATGTGGGCATTTTGTGCTATAAATTTCCCTCTAAACACTGCTTTAGCTGTGTCCTAGAGATTCTGTTCCATTGTATCTTTGTTCTCGTTGGTTTCAAAGAACTTATTTATTTCTGCCTTAATTTCCTTATTTACCTAGTAGTCATTCAGGAGCAGGTTGTTCAGTTTACATGTAGTTGTGTGGTTTTGAGTGAGTTTCTTAATTCTGAGTTCTAATTCGATTGCACTATGGTCTGAGAGACTGTTATGATTTCTGTTCTGTTGTATTGCTGAGGAGTGTCTTACTTCCAATTATGTGGTCAGTTTTAGAATAAGTGCTATGTGGTGCTGAGAAGAATGTATATTCTGTTGATTTGGGGTGGAGAGTTCTGTAGATGTCTATTAGGTCTACTTGGTCCAGAGCTGAGTTCAAGTCCTGAATATCCTTGTTAATTTTCTGTCTCATTGATCTGTCTAATATTGACAGTGGGGTGTTAAAGTCTCCCACTATAATTGTATTGGAGTCTAAGTCTCTTTGTAGGTCTCTAAGAGCTTACTTTATGAATCTGCGTGCTCTTGTATTGGGCACATACATATTTAGGATAGTTAGCTCTTCTTGTTGCATTGATCCCTTTACCATTATGTAATGCCCTTTTTTGTCTCTTTTGATCTTTATTGTTTTAAAGTTGGTTTTGTCAGAGACTAGGATTGCAACCCCTGATTTTTTTTTTTTTTTGCTTTCCATTTGCTTGATAAATCCTCTGTCCCTTTATTTTGAGCCTTTGGGTGTTTTTGCACATGAGATGGGTCTCCTGAATTCAGCACACTGATGGGTCTTGACTCTTTATCCAATTTTCCAGTCTGTGTCTTTTCACTGGGGCATTTAACCCATTTACATTTAGGCTTAATATTGTTATATGTGAATTTGATCCTGTCATTATGATGCTAGCTGTTATTTTGCCCATTAGTTGATGCAGTTTCTTCATAGTGTCTATGGTCTTTACATTTTGGGATGTTTTTGCAGTGGCTGATACCGGTTTTTCCTTTCCATATTTAGTGCTTCCTTCAGGAGCTCTTGTAAGGCAGGCCTGGTGGTGACATCCCTCAGCATTTGCTTGTATGTAAAGGATTTTATTTCTCCTTCACTTATGAAGCTTACTTTGGCTGGACATGAAATTGAAAATTCTTTTAAGAAGTTGAATATTGGCCCCTACTCTCTTCTGGCTTGTAGGGTTTCTGCAGAGAGATCTGCTGTTGGTTTGATGGGCTTCCCTTGTCGGTAACCCAAGCTTTCTCTCTGGCTGCCCTTACCAGTTTTTCCTTCTTTTCAACCTTGGTGAAGCTGAAAGTTATGTGTCTTGGGGCTGCTCTTCTAGAGGAGTATCTTTGTGGTGTTCTCTGTATTTCCTGAATTTGCATGTTGGCCTGTCTTGCTGGGTTGGGGGAAGTTCTCCTGGGTGATATCCTGAAGTGTGTTTTCCAAATTGGTTCCATTCTCCCCGTCACTTTCAGGTACACCAGTCAAACATAGGTTTGGTCTTTTCACATAGTCCCATGTTTTTTGGAGGATTTGTTCATTCCTTTTCATACTTTTGTCTCTAACCTTGCTTTCATGCTTCATTTCATTAAGTTTATCTTCAATCTCTGATATCCTTTCTTCCACTTGACTGATTTGGCTATTGATACTTGTGTATGTTTTATGGAAGTTCTTGTGCTGTGTTTTTCAGCTTCATCCAGTCATTTATGTTATTCTCTAAACTGGTTATTCTAGTTAGCATTTCCTGTAACCTTTTATCAAGTTTCTTAGCTTCCTTGCATTGGGTTAGAACATGCTCCTTTAGCTTGGAGGAGTTTGTTATTACCCACTTTCTGAAGGCTACTTCTGTTAATTCATCAAACTCATTCTCTGTCCAGTTTTGTTCCCGTGCTGATGAGGAGTTATGATCCTCTGGAGGGAAGAGGCATTCTGGTTTTTGGAATTTTCGACCTTTTTGCATGGGTTTTTCCTCATCTTCATGGATTTATTTACCTTTGGTCGTTGATGTTGGTGACCTTTGGATGAGGTTTTTGCGTGGTCGTCCTTTTTGTTGATGTTGATGCTATTGCTTTCTGTTTGTTACTTTTCCTTCTAACAGTCATGCCCCTCTTCTGCAGGTCTGTTGGAGTTTGCTGGAGGTCCACTTCAGACCGTGTTTGACTGGGTATCACCAGTGGAGCATGCAGAACTGCAAAGATTGCTGCCTGCTCCTTCCTCTGGAAGCTTCATCCCAGAGGGGCACCCGCCAGATGCCAGCCAGAGCTTTCCTGTATGAGATGTCTGTCGACCACTGCTGGGAGGTGTCTCCCAGTCAGGAGGCATGGGGGTCAGGGACCCACTTGAGGAGGCAGTTTGTCCTTTAGCATAACTCAAGCACTGTGCTGGGAGATCCACTGCTCTCTTCAGAGCCGGCAGGCAGGAATGTTTAAATCTACTGTAGCTGTGCCTACAGGTGCCCCTTCTCCCAGGTGCTCTCTCCCAGGGAGATGGGAATTTTATCTATAAGCCCCTGACTGGGGCTGCTGCCTTTCTTTCAGAGATGCCCTGCCCAGAGAGGAGGAATCTAGAGAGGCAGTCTGGTTACAGAGACTTTGTGGCACTACGGTGGGCTCTGCCCAGTCCGAACTTCCCGGGAGCTTTGTTTACACTGTGAGGGGAAAACCGCATACTCAAGCCTCAGTAATGGTGGATGCCCCTCCCCCACCAAGCTTGAGCATCCCAGATCAACTTCAGTCTGCTGTGCTGGCAGCGAGAATTTCAAGCCAGTGGATTTTGGCTTGCTAGGCTCTATGGGGGTGGGATCCACTGAGCTAGACCACTTGGCTTCCTGGCTTTGGGCCCCTTTCCAGGGGAGTGAATGGTTCTGTCTTGCTGGCATTCTAGGTGCCACTGGAGTATGAAAAAAAAACTCCTGCAGCTAGCTCAGTGTCTACCCAAATGGCCGCCCAGTTTTGTAGTTGAAACCCAGGGTCCTGGTGGTATAGACACCCCAGGGAATCTCCTGGTCTGTGGGTTGTGAAGACCATGGGAAAAGCATAGTATCTGGGCTAGATAGCACCGTCCCTCATGGCACAGTCCCTTGTGGCTTCCCTTGGCTAGGGGAGGGAGTTCCTCAACCCCTTGAGCTTCCTGGGTGAGGTGACGCCCCACCCTGATTCTGCTCACCCACTGTGGGCTGCACCCACTGTCTAACCAGTCCCAATGAGATGAACCAGGTACCTCCATTGTAAATGCAGAAATGCCCTGCCTTCTGTGTTGGTCTCACTGGGAGCTGCAGATTGGAGCTGTTCCTATTCAACCCTCTTGCCCAGGAATATTGAGATGTTCTATGTCTTGACTGGGCTGTTAGTCACATGGCTGTATCTATTTGGCAAAGCTCGTTGAATTGTACCTGTTAAGAACTATTCATCTTATATGTAAACTTTACCTCCAAAATGTATAAAGCACAAAAGAATAGATGAAACAGAAGAGACATGATTCCCAAGTAGAGGTGTCTGTCCCCAAAGCCTGACTTCTGCCTACTGTTTGGATAGAAAGCTCCTCTGTGTACAGCTAGTCACAGGTGGTGGCCAGGTGCGCCGCCAACATTAGGGGGATGTTCACAGGTAGGGGAGCCATCGAGGAGGAAGCCAGTTGAGCTGGTTCACCTGAGCCCCTGACCTGGGCCATGCTGAACTAGCCCCACAAGTGAGGATGAATTAGATGGAACCACCGCCTGGAGCAGTTTCCAGCCCGGGGATGCTGTCAGTATAACAGAGGTGGACCACAGGGAACAGCTTCAGTTGATATGGGACTCCAGTCCTTGAATAAGGTATGGGGTGGGGTGCATAACCAATAAAGGAAAAAGGGGATCCTAGTTTCGGAGGAATAGGGGTCCCAGGGACATAAGAAATACACAGTCCCAGCCGGAGGGAATAAGGATGGAATTCAACTACTGCACGTGGAGTAGAAGGTAGGAATGTGGTTTTCAATGGAAGCCAGAAGAATAGGAATGACACTTTGGCCCAAAGCGAGAGCTGGATTATCAGAAAGTCTGACTTCAGCTGAGTCTCCAGAGCACAGAGCCAGTGTGGTATAGCGTGGCTCTGTTGCCTGCTAGTGTGTGACCTTGGGCTGGTTACCCAACATCTCTGCTCCTCAGTATCCTCCAGTGGAAATAATGACAGTACATACCTCAGCACAGTGTTCTGAGGATTAATTTATTTTATATGTCAAGCCGTTAGACCAGTGCCAGCATCACAGTTGTTGTTATGTTATCACAAGTGTTGTTAAGTTAGGACCCTTAAACTGACACTAACTGAAGACATAGTTGGTTGCTAGCCCTGGTCAAGGGTCCATTTGTGGGTTAAGTAGCTCCAAATGTGAGTTGTGGGGGTTGCAGATGCAACAGGACTTGGTGAGAATTAATGAAAAAAAAGAACAAATTTGGCTATCCCATTTCATGGGATAATATATCAAGGCCTCAGGAGGTTAACACTGGTCTGAGATGGCACAGCTAGTTAGTGGAAGACCCGGGGCTACCTGTCAGTTCTTCTGCTCCCCGTCAGAGCTTCTCCCATCAGCTCAGAAACTGCCATCCTCCCTAGCCCTTTGGACTCATTAACTGACCCTGTACAGAGTTAACCTTGATCAGGAATGAGGGCTGCCCCTCTGATCTTCAGTTTGTATTGTGTAGAGCATCTTGCCCGGCACTTTGCTGGTGGTTTGGCAACGTCCTCATTACATTCTGGCTTGTGTTTATGTCAGAGGCACCTGTCACCATGTCACCTTGGCGCCTTGATCACATATTTACCTGTCAGATCCACAAGCTCAGGGGCTGACAGTCTGCCATTTTTACAGAACACACCATTCTTCGTGGTGAGTCTCTGATCCTGACCCCAATCTTTCCTTTGTTCTTTGTGTTTCTACACCTGGAAGTGTCAATATCTGCAGCAAGTCCCACTTCTTGTGCCCCCTGCCCTCTCTCCCCTAGAAAGAAAGATGGATAAGACCCAGGAGAAAGATCTCTGGCTATAACTAGTGTGGGAAGGGACAGGGAGCCTCAGCCCTGGGAAGCTGGACAAGGCAGATCTGTGTGGAGTGGTGGTGGCTGCAGCTGCTGTCTGCGTGGAGTCTTAGAGTTGGCAGCAGCTGTGGCCAGCAGTGGCTAGGAGAAGGGCTGGGGTTGCAGGCAGGGGGTGGTTGGCCAAGCTTCCCACATGCTCTAGCTGGGAGGGTACTCAGGAGGTGTCTCTGAGTAGCCTTCCTGATTCCTTCTTCCAAGCAAGAAAAGAAACCAAGGGGAGCTTATTCTGATCATTTCACTCAGGCAGTCATGGTTTAGTTGTTGGTTTGTTTCCTAAAATCATTCACTCGCTCACTCATTCATGTATTCAACAATGTGTTAATAAAGTAGCTATTTGTTTAGCATCCAGGAACCAGAAGAAAATTAAGTTTTGGCTTTACCGGGCAAGTTAAAATGGAGACAGAAAAATATTAAGTGTGGGGAGTGAACCCAGATTTTAATAACATTAAATTCTCCTTTTAAGTCTATTTCTTGATACATAATCAATAAGATGCAGGACAACCATGTGTGGTGCTGCTACAGGAGCACCCAGTGAAGGTCGCCTTTGGCTCACAGAGATGTGCACTGTTGGCCAGGGTAGCTATGACACTCCTCTCTGCTGAACTTGCAGGAGGATACTCTTGGGGAAAATCGGCTTGGATCCTGAGAAAGTCTCTTGGTTACCTTCTGAGACTCTGGGAACCTTCCATCTCAATGGTCTGGGGGCCCTGGAAGTTGGGTAGATGTTGCACACATACCTGTAGCTATACCTAAGAAGAGGCTTCTACAAATGCCCAAGTGTTGACTGGCTGATGCCTAGCCTTTAAGCAGCGCAGCATTTGTGCTTCTGTCCAGGATACCAGTGCATGCTATGGCATGACTCATATCAGAATATTCTCGATCTCTCTAAGTCTGGGCTACATGCTGCTCTGCTGAGTACTGATAGGACATGAAAGGGTGAGTCTTACCATTGGTATGTGTGTCAAAACTCTCTGCCACCCTACTCAACTCCAAAATGTGCAAGGCCCAGGGCAAACCACATGTCCTGCCTGTTAGCCACCACTGGTATAGGTGGTGTATGTCATGTTTGGAAATGAATTAACAGAAGAGAAAAAATGTTATCAAGGATCCAAGAAAAAAATACCAAGAGAAATAGAAACATTAAGGAAGAAAATGGGTTGAGGTGAAAGCAGATTGAAAAGAAGATGGATGAAATAGGAATAAAACTGAAGGATCCCTTAATGCAATAGAATAAATAAAATTCATATGGCAGGTAGTAAAGCAGGAGTTAACACTGCTAACACTCCAGTTATTGATGAGAAGAACAAATTCTTCTTATATTCAGAGGGGAAAAAATAAAGAGATGAAGGTGATGGGAAGATAATGGGAATGGAGAAGGGAGAAGGAGATACAATGTAGGAATCATAAGTGTTGCTGATGAATAATCCAGAACAATTTATACAGAAAGAACAAAGTCAAAATGGAAGAAAATGTATATTGCAAATTGGCCTAAATACGCAGGCAAAATAAATTTAAAGGGAACGGCATCAACACACATCCTCGCTAAATTTTTGAATTGCAAAGATGGAAAAAAATAGAAACAAATAGTTTGACTATGTAGTTACAAAAATTAAAATTAAAATATCTTCCAGCTTCTCTGCAAATACAGGACAGTAGGGTAATTCTGTGGCCCAGACAGGGCTTCGTATTCATCAAACCATTTCCTTTTCTGTCTGGGAACACAGGAAGACATTTCCCAGCCCGCTGGCATGTAAGTGGCCCTGTAACTAGTTCTGTCTGATGATCTGAGGGCAGAAGCCACCCATGCCCCTTCTGGCCTGGCCCCTAAAATCTGCTATGAGATCTACTATTCTCCTCCTTTCTTCCTTTCATTTTCTCTGTTCATTGATCAGCCAGATGCTGAAGGCAGAGCAGAAGACCAGGTAAAAATGAAAAGAGCCTGGGTTCCTAAGTCTTGTCGCAGAAGGCTGCCTTCTGTTCCCCAAAATGGACTTTGACAAGTGTTAAGCCACTGCGATTCCGAGGTTGTTTGTTACCGCATGTAGCTTGCCTTCCTATAAAGAGCTACAGACTTTGAGGGAAAATAATCATGATTCAAGTATTTTTAAAATTTAGTCAGGCTATCAACACAAGAGAAACACAATTTCGGAAACATAAGAGTCCAGAATGTAGAACAATTCTATTTCCTTCTTGAGAAAAAGTACTGGAATATATTCCAGTTAATAGAGACACGTAAAGAATGAAGAATTTAAGCACAAGGAAGTTACCAAAGAAAAAGCTTGGGGCTGGGCACGGTGGCTCATGCCTGTAATGGCAGCACTTTGGGAGGTCGAGGCAGGCAGATCACTTGAGATCAGGAGTTCAAGACTAGCCTGACCAATGCGGCGACACTCCGTCTCTACTAAATATACAAAAATTAGCCAGGCATGGTGACGCGTGCCTGTAATTCCAGCTACTCCAGAGGCTGAGGCACGAGAATGGCTTGAACCCGGGAGGTGGAGGTTGCCAAGAGCCCAAATCACACTGCTGCACTCCAGCCTGGGTGACAGTGTGAGATTCTGTCTCCAAAACCAAACAAACAAATAAACAAAAAACCCAAAAAGCTTGTGTGGTAAGCACTGAGATCAGTTAACTATGGAGTAAAATCTAAATAATTCTTGTTAACATAGCTACAAAGTAAAATGGAAAGTAAAAAGTCATTCTCAAAAGTGAAAAAACAAAAAACACATTTTATTCCAAGAATGGGGTGAAAGAAGATTTGAAGGCATTAAAAGCATACTGGTTTCCTCATCTTACAGGGATAAGTTAATAGGTACTGTTTATTTTTGACATTGATTATTAGAAAAACAAAGCTCAAGAATTATTTTCTAAAACTCAGAAGGACCACTAAGAGTTTAAAATGTTTTCTACCATCCAGGCTGTAAGAGGGGAAAATACATGAAGAAAATAATTTATGTTCTCTCTACTAAATAGGAATTTTAAAAAGAAGGAAAATTACAACGTAAAAACAAGTCAAGAAAATCAGAAAAGTTGAGGAAGTTCCAGGGACAGAAATACTAAAATGAAGTGACAGTATTAAGTCTAGATGTAAAATTTATGACAAAAAAGTAAAAGGGTCAACCTTTCCATTGAAATACAAAGACTCTTAGATTAGGTCAAATAATAAATGTCAACTACATGCCATTTACAAGATATAAATCTAATCTACAGTGATCAACAGAAAACGATAAATAAAGGCTGGGTGAAAAATATCAGGAAAAGACATACAAATTGTAGTAGTGACAATATTAATATAACAACAATAGAATTTGAAGCACAGAGAGTATTATGTAATATTGATGAAATAAAAATCCAGAATAAAAATGTAGCAGTCATAAATGAAACAGTAGATGATGTCAAATCATTGAATATTAAAATATTTAAAGAGAAAGCATTAGAAAATATAAGGAGAAAATAACAAAAAATATTTGTGGAGGGATGGCAATATATTTTTCTCAGAACATAGCAGATGAGGTGGGCAAAAAATGAAGGTGTGAGGTATGTGGACAGTGGAATTAGTAACTTTTATTTGATAAAATGGATAACAAAGTTTAACTCTATGAAGACATCATAAACCTTCCTTTCAACTATTCTTAGAACAGTGAAAAAACTTAAAAGTTTAGTAAGTACTAAAAATCAGTGTTTATGTAGAACATGTTCACTGACCACAAATAAAGCATAGATAACAATAAAAAAAGTTTTAAATAAGGCAGATCTGAGATCTTAGAAACTAAAAACTTCTCAGCTTAATTGTTAGGTCAAAGAAGAAATGTAGACTATAAAGTAACAACAATAAGAATAGTTTATATAAAGGCTTTTATGGGGTAAAGTAAAAGCTATACAAAAGGGAAAATTCATAGGCTAAATGCTTGTATGATTACAATAAAATGAAATAATTAAAATATTTTAATAGGCAACAAAGAAACTGAACATAAAGGGAAAAAAACAGGAGAGCTATTCTTGAATTCAAATAGCAGTAGAAAGACCTAGAAAGTCTAACAGGAAAAAGGAAAAAACAAATACATTAGGTTGCTGCCACAGTAATTGTGGGTTTTGCCATTAAAAATAATGGCGATTATATAAAATTATAATAATATGACAATAAAAATACAAAATATTTAATACAATAATAATACAAATATTTAATACAAAAATAGAATAATACAAAACCTTAGATATTAGAAAGTGAACATAGCTGCAGATACTGAAAATACAGCATGTTTCATGATATTGACATATAATATTCTAAACTTTAAAAAAATTTTGATCACAGGACATAATTTTGTAGGAAGATATTAATCACCAAATTGACTTACAAATAGAAAACTCATATTGTTTGAAGAAATTGCAAGAAAAAATTGCTGAAGAATTACCTTTTGAAAAATGCTCATGGCTTCTTATAATTCAGTTGACTAAATTTCAAGAAACATAATTTTTAGGGAGAAATTAACAATTTCTAATCATATATAAAAGTGGAAAACTTTCAAAATCATTTTGTGAATCTAACATAATCCTATCATAAAAGAAAAGTAAATAATGGTTTAATTTCTTTTATGAAATGAGAATAAAAATCCTTAAATGCCATCCATTGCTATTAAGAAAAGAATACTATACCACATGCAGTTAGGCATTTCTCAAGAATGTAAGAACCACTTAATGTTAGGAATTCTATTAATACAATCCAGGAATAAGTGAGGCAGAGAAAATTTGAGTTGATGCCTCAGTGACATTTGATAAAATGCCATTTGTTTGTAAAATATCTTCATAAAAGTTTAATAAAACTTGATATAATATCGTTTATCACAAATGAAAAGTTCAATCTTACAGGTGATGGTGAAATACAAAAGGAATTATCATTAAACTTGGAAAAGCATAACGATACTGCAATACCACTGTCATCTAACAATGTTGTATACATTCTAGCTACACAACAATGAAGTGGATTAAAATGGACTATGGTATAACTATATAATGAAATACAATGCAGCAGTGGTGTTCACATGAGGTGACTGTGAGGTGGTTGTGTCCCCCATGGGAGATTTGGCAATGTCTAGAGACATTTTTGGTTGTAAAGATGAGGGTACTACAGGTATCTAGTGCATAGAGGGCAGGGATAATGCAGGGTATATTACAATGCCCAGGACCATCTGCCATAACAAGAGATATCTACCAGTGGGTACTCTTGAACAGCCATTAGCATCTGAGATTCAACCTGTGCAATATTGAGCTTGTACTATATGAAATGTACCACACTAAATATGTAATTTAATCTTATTTAATCCTCACATACCCTCTGTAAATCTAGTACCATCATTATACTCTTCTCACATACTAAGTCATTGAGACATGGCGAGATTTCTATAACTTGTTCAAGGTCACATAGATATTAATGATAGGGACAGATTTGAACCCAGGCATTCTGGCTTCTTTCTTTTTCTTTTTCCATTGTGCTAGCTTGCTGACATTAAGTGACCAAAGGAGGATTCAAAATTATACATGCACATCATGATTCATCCCAATTTTGTAAAACACTGTACATATTTAAATAAAAGTAAATATATCTTGGTTTTTAGTAGTAATCTTGCATGATGGGACTTCTAAAGTGTTTTAATGAACATGTATTATTTTGTAATCAGATAAAACAAAAATCCAGTAAGTCATATAAAAGGATCATTGGAGCTAAATGTATTTTGATATTCTCTTATAAAAATTCAAAGCCTAAATCGAGAATCATGCTGCCTCTGCATTTATATGCATCAGGAAAAAAAATCACCATTCAAGAACATGCACTAGAATCCCTTAGGGTGCAGAAATCCTGACTAAAACTGGTTGGCTTAAACAGAGAAATGAGTTGGTTCATGTGACTGAAAAGTCCTGGAGAAAGGAATGTGCTAGCTTCAGGCAAGGCTTGATCTTGTAGCACAAAATGTTTGACCCAGACCCAGTTTCTCTGTCTCTCTCTGCAGTGCCTGACTTTGCTTCCTTAGTGCTGGCTGTACTGGAAAAGCAAGTCTCTTGTCTGGCATCCCTTGCAGCCATCTAGACGTTTGCTCTGATTGGACCACCTTACATCACATGAATGTATGGATTGGCCTTGCCTTGGTTTTGGGTCTCACTTCTGGAACTTCCCTGGTGTCCTCTCATTCCCTAAATAGAAGATGGGGACATTCGGAAATGGAGCAATTTACATGCATTGGGGAAATGAATGGTGAAGATTGAACCAATGCAGGTCCACTACTTTAAGCGATGAGGGGAATAAGGCTCAATTGTATTAAATATCCACTTTGGTACATTTATTATCTAATAACAGACAACACATACACTGTGTTAAGAGTAAGGAGAGGTCCCTGAAGGATGCAGTTATAAGGGAAGGTTGCCTGGTAGGGATGGGACTAGAGGAAACTCTTCAGGGACAGATCAGAGTTGGACTGGCAGGCAGAGGAGGGATGCGTCTGGGTGTTTAAGTGTAACACAGCAAGGCTAGGCGGTGTGTAGGAGCAGTGCTTGCCTGGGACCTAGAACAGCCACAGCAAGGAGCTGCAGTGTGAGGAAAGGGCTTAGCATGAGAAGGCTGGCTGTCTAAATCTTGCTGCTGCAACCCCTTATCTCTAACTGGAGAAGAATACTCACGGGAAGCCATTGTGTGAAGGGTGTTCATACGCTAGTTGTTAATATTTTATATTGCAAAGCTCCTTTGTTTTTTCAGCCTCATTTTCCACATCTGTCAAATGGACAAAATAACATAACCACAGGATTGGCATGTTGATTAAATAAGATTGTCTCTTTGGGTCTGCTGTAAGCTGTCATTAGGAGAAACATATAGAAAAGGGGTTTTGGAATGAGCCCAGGACTAGATGCAGAGTGTAATAGGGAAGTGGGGCACACTTACGTTTTAAAAGTGAGAGGAATCCCTGGGTTCCCTCTTATCCCCAGATGCACTGCCCTGCCTTCCTGGGACCTCGAAGACCTCCCTGTTTCCCTATGAGACAGCTGACTCATGTGGCCATGAAGGTGGGGCTAGCAAGAGAAGACAGAAACTCTGGATGGCAGGGGAGCCCAGAGAGCTTCAGGGGAGGAGGGGCTGGGAGCGGCTGCATTCTGAGAAGGGGCAGGAGCTCCCAGGGAGGAGACAGAAGGACTTCTTGGGCTGAGTCTGCCAGAGACCATAAAAACCTCAATGTATGAAATTAGCTTCATTCTGTAAAATAGTTACATCAAGGCGGCTGTCAGGAAATCAATAGCATGCTGTAATTATGTCCATAAACATGCTGAAGAAGCAGGGGAGGTCAGTGGCAAAGGAAGGGGGTGGCCACTGCAAGGCCTTCGAAGACATGAGTCATGAAGCTGTGGGCAGTGGAGCCACCCCAGAGGGAGCCAGCTCCTCTCTTCTGCCACCGATTAATCCAGGGAGAAGGAAATTCAATTTGGCAAACATTTATTGAGCATTTACTTTAGTCCAGCCGCTGGGGGCAGCAGCAGTGGGCTAGGTATTGGGTTAGTGGGCCAACTCTCTTAATCCAAATCGTACTTTGCAAATATGCCAAGTGGGAAGTTACTGGAATTGACACAGCGCTAGTAAATATAGACCTTTTGGGGAACAAGAAGAGAGGAATTTGCCCACACTTCTTCATATTTGGATTTACAGATACAGCTGATTCTGCTCTGAGGATGGTGCTTGCAATTCCAGTGGCTGATATATGACCCACTTGCACTCAAAAGCTCTTCCTTTAAAATTCAAATACTATACATTTTGGAGAAGGACGGAAACTCACAATTTCTGAGCGCTCAACAGTTCTGTGCTTTACCTATATTATATCGTCTTCTCAAAAATATAAGTTGGGAATTTGAATCTCCCATTTTATAGATCAAAAAACAGGCTCAGTATAAAGAGGTGATATTTTCAACATTATGTTGATAGTAAGTGGAAATTTATGTATGATTCATACTTTAGTCTGAATTGCTTTAATTGTCACAGTGGTGATTAGGACAAGCTCCTGGCTGATACTGATTTTGCTCAGAAAATAAGAATGTTGGCAGTAGAGGTGTTTGTGTGTTGGCTGGGACTGGAGAGAGAAGGAAGAAGGTAAATTTGAGCTGGGGAAATAGGGGAGAAGGGCAGACAGTTCTGGATGAGCCTCGGGTGAATTGGCTGGACAGGGGGCAGGAATTGTGGCAGGGGGAGGAGAGGAGGTCATCGAGAAGGGGTGCACTGGTACTATTGCCCTCCAGCCTGGGGCGGGGTGAGGGGCTCAGGACATCCACATCCAGTGTCTGACTTGGACTAGCCGTGCCTGGTGAGACTTTCCTCTCACCTGTGTGATGGCCCGCTAGAGTATTCTAGACGAGACTTCTTTTCCAGAATTTCTCAGGAAATGCATGTGTTTTCCCAAATCTTGAGAAAAATCAGTTGAGAAACTGGGTAAATGGTGAAAAGCAATATAGGTCTCCTTCAAGAATGACCGAAGCTTAACAGTCAACATAAAGATGTTACTACTTTGAAAGAATCTGCTGAGATAAAGTAGAAACTCCTGACCGCAGGAGTTAAAGCTCAAGGTCTTAGTTTCCAGGACTTGGACAGGAGCAGGTGGGAGAGTAGCGGTCATTCTAGCCAGGTGCTTGGAGTCTTTGACATGTGAGAAGAGTGAGTTCATTGCCCTGTCTGCTGCTAGTGGTGAGTGCTTATTGCAGATAAAATAAATATTAGTAAGATGATACACATGGATAACTTTATACAGATTCTGTGGGTGGTGTTTCAGGAAATAATACATTTTGGAAGTGAAATAAGTCATTAAATTGGCAATTTCAGCATGTGAGTCTGTGTGGTGCTGTTAGGAGTGCTTGCTAGGAGATCCAAAAATTATTTCGTTACTACCCCAAAATGTTTATGGCTTGAATATTTGCTGTAAGTTACATTACAGTTATTTGCAAATGCTTTAACAGAAATGCAAAGAGAAGATTTGGATGTTGTGGGAATACTACACCATTAAAGCAGAAACTGATTTAAAAATCTAAATTAGCAGAAGCAGTAATGAATTCGAAGACAAAACCAAAGTCAGATCAAGCAGACAAAATGCTTTAGCCATTAAAAAAGGAAATGAGCTTATGTAAAGCATCATGGACCTTAATGCCAGCTTGAAGTCGCTTTTTGACACAATCTTATCAGCTTGAAAAACGTCAGTGCAAAATGAAAGAAATTTTCTGTCCAGAATATTTGTCACACGTACAAAAAGATCGAAACTTTTGGGTAGGGCAATTAATGCATTGTGTGTTTTAATGTTTCATTTTGAGAATTTAAATGAGCATTTAAATATTAAATATTGTGCTGTTATTTTTAAATTTTAAGTAACTTTTATTTGGCATTCGTTTTCTGCTAATATTCCCTTCCCTTCTTTTAATGTTTTTGATCATCAAACGTCTCTATCGGGGAGAGATCATTTTTACATATTGAAGTTTATACTCTTGAATTATATTGAATTATATAATCTTGAAGTATATACTTATTGCAGTATATGAGCTTGTCATAAAATATTTTTATAATAACAATAAACCATTTATGATGATAAAAAACATTTATGATGTTTTTAATAAAAACTTTTGTGATAACCTGAAAATGATTCACTGTTTATTATATTAACTCATTATTATTTAAAAACACGGAGATGAAGTGTTATGAAAAATAGGGAATAACTAATGAATGGAGGGGACTCCCAAGAATTACCATTAATTCTGATGTCTTGTTTTTAAATTGTGCAGATTACTGTCTGTTGGGAATTAGGAAACACTACCCAGGAGACTCGGGGCACCTATACCTATAATATTTCTCTCTTCTGCTGCTGGCCCTGACTCAAACCAACCATCACCATTGCAATATCAGAAAAGCAGACAGGCAAAGGGGAGGACTAGGCAAAGGGGAGGACTGGGCAAAGTATGAGATGCAATTTGGTGCTGCCGGTGCAAGTATTTATCATTAAAAAGAGCAGTTCTGACAACGGCCTTTAGAACTGGGTCAGCCTCAGATGTCTGGCTTCATCTGGCCTGAGAGTTGCTGAGTTTCCTATAGTCTACGTGTACCTGATTCAGTTTCTCAACTTCACAGCCCCGCCTGGGGTACCCTGGGGTCGGTCAGTCCTAGGCCGACATGCTGGGTGAAGTGACATTTCTGTGGCCCCTTCCTCCTGCCATGTTTGCCATGTCCTGGCATCTGTACATCCTCCCAGCCGCTTTTTGGAATGGGTTCCTATTCTCTGGATCCCCGGCCTAGCTTAGCGTCCAGTTCTTGGCGCTTTATTTTTTTTGTGGTCTTTTAGAAACATAATCAGAACTTGGTGGGATTAATTACAACAAGACTTTTTTTTTTTTTTAAACCAAATACCTACTAGGATTAATAACAGCTGATAAAGGAGCATAGGCCTTACTAGCTGATAGTGTTACAACACTTAACAATTATGCTCCTATAAAGCTGATAATAGCTTAACTGCTACAGGGGGTGGGGGTGTGGTGTCAGCTCCTCAATGGGGCCTTTAGAAGAATCTAAACCTGGGGATAAGTGGCAGAAGATGTTAGTCACCTATTCAGGTGCCATTCCACCTTCCTCCCACTAATGGAACCTAGATCTCATTCAAGAAATGAGGGCTTCATGGAGCTCTGCCTTTTTCAGAGGAAGAAAGCTGACCAGATGAAGCCAGTCAGTATAATCCCATTTCTTTGGCTGGGACTGATCAGGCATGAGTTAGTGGCCCTGCTGTAGTTCATGTTAAGTAAACGAAGTTTACTGGGTGGGGGGTGTCCGAAACCATCTTCATTGGTCTCATAAAATGGGGATATATTTTGTTTTCCTTCTGATTCAGCTATGTAAGGAAGAGATGCCTGGAGCCATGCACTGCAGCCATTGTGTGTCCTAGAGGGGAGCTGTCACCTTGCCAGGTTGCAGAGCAGAAAGTTGGGAAGAACTTGAGGTCTGAATGACCTCTTTGCATGACTTTATTGACAGCCTGGAGCTACTCCATCTCTACATAGAGACTTCTATGTTTCAGATAGCATTGAGCACTTCTGCCTGTCTCTTGCACTTGGCAGTGAAAAGCATCTCAGATATAGATAGCCTTTGCCCTACCATGAGGTGAGTTTTGTGGTATAACATGCAGAAGGACTTTTGAAAAGTTAAAAAGTCTATAAGTTGAAGCTATTTATCTTTATCCCTCCCCCCAAACACACACATAATACCAAATGGTGCAACTCTATGCCTTGAGACTGGTTAGACAGGGAAATATTGGGAGGCAGGAGATCTTACCAAGGTCTCTCAATCCACACCCCATAGCCGGCTGGCTGCTTTGACATCCTATGAGGCTGACTCAACCCTCATTGGAAAGAGTGCAGCAAGAGGAGATAGCTCGTGATGGTTGCCAGACCTGGCTTTAGGTTTATCTCTGCAAATAATTTGCCGTGAGACCCCAGACAAGTTAAGCATCCTCTCTGAGCCGCAGATGCCTCTCTTAGAACCTGGAGGTCATAGCCTACGTCTCTCTCAGGATCCTTTCCAGGATCAAATAAGCAAGCGTGTAGTTTTCAAACTACAATCCTGGAAAGTGATGATGATGTTCATGATAATAGTGATAAAGATGACTTTGTTCCATCTGGCTGTCAGTATAATTCTAAAAATAATGAAAATTGGAGAGAGCAGCCGGTGGACAGAAAAGGGTCGCAGAACAGGTGGGAAATCTGTGAACCCTGAGGTCTGAAACCTACCAGGAGGTCAATTTCCATGTAGGCGAGAAGAGCATTCAGAGAAAATGTGGGTTGCCATCTCCTTAATGCAGACACCATGAGCCTCCCGGGAGTCGATCTGTGCCTTCCTTATTCTGTTCTGACACATTTAGAAGAGTTTCCATTCAAATGGGCTTTCTCCATTTCTGAGCCTCACTTTCCTGGGGCCGCCTGTGTGCCATGTGCAGCCAAGCACTGAGCTCCGGCAGTGTCTTCTTTTACTGCGTTCTCTGAGAACACCCAGACGTGGCAATTCTTTTCTTACAAATGGACCTCTTTACACAAAATTAATGAGTTTGTTTATGGACATAAATCAACATCTTGTAAATTGAGTCATATCGTAAGTGCAGCAGGAGAGCTGTTTAGCTATAGGAATCCTGTGAGGACTTCTTAGGTACATCAGCTGAGTGGGTGAAGAATAAAGGTTTGAGTCTGGCTGAATCTGATCCTCCAATAGAGTGTGCTGTCTATCCACAACTTTCTCCTCTATTTCACCTTTGTGATCCTTCCCTCACCACCCCTGGGTGTTCTATGCATAGGCACACTGGTTCCTTATCATGTGGGATGTGGCCACATTCCAGCTTGGTGAACTCTTACTTAAACGTCAAGGTCCGTTCCAATTGTCCCCTTCCTTTAACTGTCCCCTGCTTTCCCTGCAGCTTTACTTGACTATTCCATTATTAGTAAATTGGTTTATCTTGATACCCAGATAATTTTAAGTGTGCCTTCACCATAGCACTCACCGCATTTGTAGAGGTATTTGTTCACTTGTCTGTCTCCCTCTGTTAGAGTATGAGTTTCTGAAGGGCAGGGATCATGTCTTAAGCATCTTTGTTATCACCTGCACTGGCACAATGCCCTGAATACAGAAAAAGTAATCAATAAACGTTTGTTGAATTAAATTGAATTTGTAAATTAGACTTGCTTAAGGGAGAGCACACCTGTATTCATTTCACAAAAGAATTCTTGGCTATATAAATTATTTTGCTAAAGAATCTCTTGAAAGGGTGAGCCCCCTGGTGTATGTGCAATAAGATGCAATTTCAAATAGGCCACGTTCCACATCGTGTGTTGCAGGAGTACATTTCCTGCTTAAAGTGGGACGCCCACATTCACATCCTCAGCCTGCAATCAGCACCTTGTTCACAAGTGACATTGATAGTTCATAGAATGATAGTTTTTTTTTTTCTTCAATCTCTGAGGAAAATCCCTGGGGGCATCCAGGGTACTGCCTGAGCTTCTGAAATGACCCTGCAGTCTGCTGAAGACATAGGGAGACAGCGTGAAGGCCGGTTCTCTCAAGGAGGAGCACTCATCTGGGTTCCCATCTCCCATCAGCCTTCATGATAGTCCATTTCAGTTCCGCCCAGGAATTGTCCATCTGTCATCACTCATTAAAGATGTTTGTAAGGAATTGCAAAATATTGAAGCTGATGCTTTTTTTGGCACTAATATTGCTATTAATATTGATATCCTTGTAATGCCAATGTCATATTAATCGTGCTTCTTGCAGGCTCCTTCGACGTTGTTCTCTTCACTTTAATGTTTTCTAGTCTTGCCCTGCAGCTTATTTTTAAGGATTTAAAAAAGTTATTGATCACACAATAAAAGGGAGCAAGAAATCAAACCTGGCCTTTACATGGCTCTAACACAGTGTGTGTTGGAATGGGCATTCTTTAAATGCTGTGGGATAGCTTCCTTCTTTGAGCAAGATGGGCATGGTGGATCTTTAATCACTCATTTACCCCTGGAAACGTCTTGAATGCTGTCTGTCGCTCAGGTACCATGGGAGGTGCTGGAGCCCCAGAAGGGAAGAGTCAGGGTCCTGCCCTCAGATGGTCATAGTCTGGCAGGAGACACACACTCAGGAAATAGCTCAGCAGTGAGAGGTGCTTCGAGGGGATGCTGTCTTGGTCTGTTTGTGTTGCTATGAAGGAATACTTGAGGCTGGGTAATTGATAAAGGAAACAGGTTTATTTGGTTCATGATCTTGCAGGGTATTCAAGATGCATGGCTCCAGCATCTGCTTCTGGTGGGGGCTTCAGACTGCTTCCACTCAAGGTGGGAGGTGAAGGGGTGCTGGTGTGTGCAGAGATCACATGGAGAGAGAGGAAGCAAGAGAGAACAAGAAGGGGAGTGCAAGGATTTTTTTTTTTTTTTTTTTTTGAGATGGAGTTTTGCTCTTGTTGCCCAGGCTGGAGTGCAATGGCGCTATCTCGGCTCACCGCAACCTCCGCCTCCCAGGTTCAAGCAGTTCTCCTGCCTCAGCCTCGCGAGTAGCTGGGATTACAGGCATGCACCACCATGCCCAGCTAATTTTTTGTATTTTTAGTAGAGACGGGCTTTCTCCATGTTGAGGCTGGTCTCGAACTCCTGACCTCATGTGATCCGCCCGCCTCAGCCTCCCAAAGTGCTAGGATCACAGGCGTGAGCCACCGTGCCTGGCTGCAAGGATCTTTTTAACAATCAGCCCTTTTAACAACCAATAATAGAGCAGAACTCGCTTCCCTGGCCCCCTCCTGCCTCAGGGAGGGCATTAATCTATTCATGAGGGATCCACTCTTATGACCTGAACACCTATCATTAGGCCTCACATCTAACACTGGAGATCAAATTTCAACATGGGATTTGGAGGGGACAAACCATATAGATGTAAAAGCAGCATCAAGAAGGCCGCCTCTCCTGGCCTGATACAGGAGGCTCAGGAGAGCCTCCCTAGAGTTGCTGACAGCAGAGATGCGTTTTGCTTTAAGCTGAATTTTGTCCCCCCTCATGTTTCTATGTCAGAGTCTTAACCTCCAGTACCTTGGAATGTGACTGTGTTTGAGGACAGGGTCTTTAAAGGATGACTAAGTTAAAATACGGCTACTGTGCTGGGCCCTATGCAATAGGACTGGTGTCTTTACAAGAAGAGGAGAGCAGGACAGGGACATGCACAGAGGGATGACCATGGAATACACATCTACACCCCAAAGGAGGAGGGCTCAGATAACAACAACCTTGCCAACACCCTAATCTGAACTCCCAGCCTCCAGAATTGTGAGAAAATAAATAGATGTTGTTGAAGCCCCCAGTCCATGGTACTTTGTTATGGCAGCCTTAGTAGACTCATCTAGGCCTTAAGATAGACCCAAGTAGAGAACATCCACTAGGCTGTCCAGATCCTGGGATGATTTGGGAATTAGAACACATGGAGAGCATCTGGAACCTCTAAGGTGAATGTGGGAGAGCATATTAAGTGAGAAGAGGAGATGGGAACATGAACACGTCTTGAGAACAGGACTTCCCAGTCTTCTTTCTCTTTGCAAAACCCAGGCAAGGTATATAAACAGTCAAGGCTGGGCACGTTGGCTCACGCCTGTCATCCCAACACTTAGGGAGGCTGAGGCAGGTGGATCACTTGAGGTCAGGAGTTCAAGACAAGCCTGGCCAATATGGTGAAATTCCACCTCTACTAAAAATACAAAAAAAAAAAAAAAAAATTAGCTAGGCATGGTGGCACACAACTATAATCCCAGCTACTTGGGAGGCTGAGGCAGGAGAATTGCTTGAACCCAGGAGGCAGAGTTTGCAGTGAGCCCAGATCTTGCCACTGCACTCCAGCCTGTGCGACAGAGTAAGACTCCATCTCAAAACAACAACAACAAAAAGTCAAAAACTACTTTTAGAAGAAAAGTGTTGTGATAGTTCCAATTATTTGTGAGTAGCTTTGTGTTTATGAAGTACCTCCCTGTGTTTATCACATTCACCCTACACTTGGTGTACATAGAGATGTATTATTTATCACTCACATTTTATGAATGAGGAAACTTAAATTCAGAGGAGGCCCTTTGAGGCCCAGGTCCTCCTCACTGCAAAACTGTCTGTAGGAACAATTTCTGGTTGGGGGCCAGCAAGGGGCTAGGCCTGTGTGCATCAGATGACAGTGGAAGGAGCTACCTCTCCCCAAACTCTGCTGCTTCTGACTTCCCTATGCAGGGTGTGTGCACCCCGGTCTCCTGTAGGAACCTGAGCCTTTATTTTGCATAGAAGTGTTTAAGGGCTGACTTGCTCCATTGTTTCATGCAAGGGTGGGATTTTGTTTTGTTTCCTTTATTTTTGTAGACAAGAGTCTCGCTCTGTCACCCAGGCTAGAGTGCAGTGGTATGATCATAGGTCCCTGCAGCCTTGAACTCCTCAGCTCAACTGATCCTCCCATCTTAGCCTCCTGAGTAGCTGGGACCACAGGCAAGTGCCGCCATGCCTGGCTAATTTTTTTTTTTTAAGAGATGAGGGTCTTACTATGTTGCCCAGGTTGGTCTTGAACTCCTAGGCTCAAGTGATCCTCCTGCTTCAGCCTCCCAAAATACTGGGGTTACTGTTTTCTTTGTTCCAGCAGGTTCTTCTTTTTCCCAGCCACCTCATTTTAAGCTCTGACATCCCTCAAATGTGCCCTACATCCTCCCCAGCCAGGCCTTGGTCTTCTGCTCCTGGACATCCCGGCCTTCACTGACCACCGTCTGAACAGGTCCGAGCCCTGCTCTACCCTGTGCTTTGCTTGAGCTGCTCCCCCAGGCTCCAGCCAAAGCCAGTGGAGTCTTCCTCTGCTCAGCCTTTGCTTACTTGAGAAAGGGAAGGGGGAGGCACAGAGCAAAAGAAAAACTTCTGCAGCTTCAAGTTAAGACCCATGTCTCTACCCACAGAGCCTCTGCTGGTA
Source organism: Homo sapiens (assembly GCF_000001405.40). Lineage (NCBI taxonomy): Eukaryota > Metazoa > Chordata > Mammalia > Primates > Hominidae > Homo > Homo sapiens. The sequence continues at coordinate 21,412,806 of NC_000008.11, read as the reverse complement.
TTCCTCCCGAGCGTCCCGAAGGCAAATGTAACTTGCTTCCTTGCAAATAAGTTTTCCTGATAGACTACCCAGTCTAGGCTATGTGAGGAATTCTCCCTCTAGTCTAGGGGAAAAAAAACAGTGACTGCGTCCCTATTCCTTGAGAAATAATAACCTTGACCTTGTTTTGCTAAAGGCAAGTTCTCCTTTTATCCTGACCTGGATTTCACCACAAAATGTTCTTGTGTTAACCCTGGGGATGAATGTACCATGTGTGGAGATGTTCTCTGACCCTCAGATTTCTCTCCTGATAATGGAAGAGGAGATTTATATGTCCCTCTCCAACCCTCCATGGGGGCCTTATCCAAAAACCCCACTTCTCTCAATGAGCCTTGCAGTGAACACTCTGGATGGGGCAGGGCTCAGATATCCCCTTCATTTCACAAATGAGGGATTCCAGGCCTGGCCTGGGGAGGAGAACATGGCTGGCACTGCACTGGCTCTTCCGATGCAGTGACTGGCTGGGAGAGGCAGGGGTCAAGGTCAAAGCAGGAGCTAGATGTGCAGCCCTGACTCTCCAGCCAGCCTGTCCTGCCGAGCACTCCTTATGTCCTTCCTTAGGGCTTGCATGGGAATCTGCCCTCCCTGCCAGGCCTCCTGCTGCCACCTGCATCTCTAAGACCCAGGGCACCACCTCAGGGGCCCGGTGAGCATTCTCTTTGATCCATGATCCTCTGCCCTCCTGGTTCTCCCTCCTGGTTCCTGTGGGAGCAGCCCTATCTGGCCAGCCCAGCTGGAGTCTGTTTCATGTCCTGTAGCCCCTCAGGATGAAGAGTTTACATTGGTGTCTGGCTTCTTACTTCTCCGTGTCACATGGGGGAGGCAGGGCTGGAATTTCTCCCTCCACCAGGCAAATGGGGAAACAGAGATGCATGGGCTCTTGGTTTGTAAGGTCACAGCTTGCACCTTGGATAGGTTCCTGCGTTCTCTCATTTACACCTCCAGGTCTCTTGTCTAGGAACTGTGTGGTGTGGCCAAGCTGAGCCCCACACCCCAGCACTTATAGCTGTACCTGTCCCCAGCTCCTCCAGCTGGGCAGCTTCTCCTTGTTTCTTGGTGGCTGGGGGGGGCAGTTTCTGCTGAGCAGATGGCAGTCAGTGCCCCCTCATGCCTGCTCTCTCTTCCCTGGTGGGGAGATGAGGCTGCGATTCTCCTTCTAGCTGTTGTACTCAACTCTCTGCTTTCCCAATCTGATGGGCAGGTGGAAGACATTTTCCAGCTGGTGCCATTGGTGCGGGTGCTGAGCCAGCAACTGCAGGTTTGATTTGCAGCCCTCTCCACAGCCTGCATGAGAGGGCCTCTCCGCTTCTCCTGCCCTTTGGGGAAGGCTTTAGCCTGTGTGTCACTGTGTCTCCAGGCCTGTGTGTGTGGCCAGACTCTTTGCTTTGATCCCACTTCAGACTTCAGCTTTATTATTTTTCCAAGCACACTGATTATCCCCCTAATCATGCCAGGAAATGAAAAGCCACAGCCGCTTTCAGCTCAGTGGCCCTGTAGATCTCTGTTGTATTATGAATGTGAAAGTTGATTGAACCAGGGAAACAATTTGAAAGCAGAATTTCCAGAGTGACCTTCATAAGAGGAAGCCTCATCCAAGGTCTAGGGCAGCTCAGGCTGGCTGTGAGTGAGGAGCCACGATGGATGAGGGATTGCAGCATCTTGGCCCTGCCCAGCCTCTGCGGGTCTGGCTGGCACAGAATGACCCAGCTGGACCAGCCTCAAGACTCTGTCAGCCCAGATCTGGGTGCACAGAAGAGGAAACAGGCTGATTCTACAAAGACCAGCCCCAGAGTTCCGACCTCTGCAGCTTTAGGGGCTCCCTGCTTTGGCTCTGGCCTCCTCCCTCACCTGCCTGGTGATTCACATTTCTCCATAGCTGCTTTCCTCCTTCCTCAGGGTGGGGACTTCCTCTTATTCACATGTGTGTCCTAGATACGTGGTCTCTAGCACAACATAGGGGCTCCACACTTTTGCTGAACAGATGTCACCATTATAAGTCCAATAATGATGACGAAGTGGAGAATGTGTAAATAACATTGATTGTGTTCTGGATGTTTTAAATATCACTATGAATTTAATCTTCATCATCAATTTTATGGGAACCTAGGTTTGTTGTTTCTCTAGCCCCTCCTTTTTCAAATTCTAGTGATATCTCAACTATATCTTAACCAAGATCTAATTGCAGGGCAAATGAGGGATCTTGAATTTGCAGCAACAATCTCTGCCTGGGATTGAGTGCCGATTTCCCTTCTTTTCTTGTCTCGCCTTCCTCTCTGTTCCAACTTCCCTTCTTTCCCCTCCCCTTGCATCTCCAGCCTGCTCTGTGGTTTGCCTCCGTTCCTGATCCCCTAACAGCGGGTACTGGCTCAAGAGCTGCAGCGACTCCCCTGTCTCCGTGAGCCCCCAAGCCCACGCACACTGCTTCACGGCTTTCTCTGCTCTTTGTCACCCACCAGCAATACCTTTAATTTCATCATTTACCTCCTGCCTTCCCAATTGAATGTCATGAATATTGTTTTTGTTGATAGCTTGCTCATTTTAAAAAGGTGTATTTGCTATTCTGTGGGCTGGAGGTCATGGCCCAGGTGCACATAAAACAGCTTCTAAAATAAACATCACAAAGGCTATCCTTCCTCCCCAAGGCACTGGGGCTGCCAGGCAGAAATGGATGGGCACACCTCCCTGAGGGGCAAGGAGCAGGCCTTGAAGCAACTGTCGGGTTCACCGGGGATGGTCTAGAAGAGCTCACATAACCAGGCTTCCTCAAGGTGTCTTCCCAGCTATACAGCAGTAGCTTATTCAACAAACACATATTGAGCATGCATTGTATACAAGGATCTCTAGAGCCAACAGAAAAGAGAGTCCTAACCCTCAGGGTGCTGAGGATGTGGCTGGGAGAACAGGGAACATGATGACAGTTTTGACCTGCCAGGTGCTAGTCTGACTGCTTTATAGAGAGTCATTCACTGAGTCCTTGTAACAATCTAGCAGCTGGGTAGCATTAGTATCATCCTTCCCATCGTACAGATGAAAAGACAGGTCCAGCAAGGGTAAGCAAATTGCCCAAGGGTGCAAAGCCATTAAATGGCACAGCCAGGACCAAAATCCAGCCAGTGTGAAGCTAACTACACTCTGCCTCCTAGGTTATCCTGCCCCTGTGTGTGCTGCAGTGTGATGCTGGAAAAATACTAGCACCTGGGGGCGTTGGAGGAACATACACATATAAGGTGCAGTGAGAGTTCCTAAGAAAAGAGCTCTTCTGGGCTTGGGGAGGGCAGAAGAGGCTTCCTGGGGAAGATGGCACTGGATCTTTATGGAGGAGCAGGATTCGAAATGGTAGAGGAGAGAGGTAAGGGGAGGCAGGAAGAAGGAAAATATCAGGACATGGTTTCAGAGAGAGCATGCGATGGCAAGCGTGTGTGTGTGTGTGTGTGTGTGTGTGCGCGCATGTGTGTGCCTGTGTGCTGCCTGCTGGAAGTACAAGGGAAGGACAAGGATGCCATCCATCCAGTGTGTCCACTGGCATTTTATTGGTTAGAGGTCTGGGATGTGCAGAATCTTATTTGGTGAATCAGAGCTGGGCATACTGGGGCAGAGAGACTGGGGGGCAGCGATTACCCTTCAGCCCCACGGCAGACTTGTTGTGTGTTTCTGTTCCCCACCCTCTGCCCCCGCCCAGCTGCCTTTCTAAGCATAAGCTGCTTGCCTGGTGCAGACTGCCATTCTCAGTTTTCTTCAGCTGTCACGGTATTAAGTGTAAAACAACAACTACATATATTTATTTTATGTTATTTACAAACTGGAATGTTCAGCAGGAAAACAAATTGAGATTTCTGGGCAAAGAGGCAGCATCTGATGTTGGAGTGAGATTTCTCTCGATTCTGATTCACTTGCTCTGTGGCTGCGGGTGCCTTTGGAGGAGCCCAGAGGGGCTCTGCCTGGGGCAGGAGGGAAGGCTGTGAGGGACGGAGGGTGGCAGATGGAGACAGAGGTGGGTGGTGATGCCTTTAGTGTGGACTTTGCAGGATCCAACCACCTGGGTCAGGGACATACCATAGGTCCAGTTAGCAAACAGGGATGAACACTGATGATGCCCCTGTTGGCAGGTCTGGAATGCGCCATCTACTCTGCAGTACATGCGTGTGTGTGCCTGCTCTTTGGTGCCTACTCTTGCCATTTTTTCCTGAGGGATTCTGACCTCCCTTCTTCAGCGTGTATCAAGCAGAGTTCTCATTTTCCAAGTCTTTTTTGGTAGCTGTGGCCCCTTTCCCTGAGACAGGTCATTTCCCATTTTGTTGATGCAAAATCGTGTTACCGAAATCCCAGAATCAAGGTATCCATCTCCCCCATTCAGCAGTTGCTTATTTGTCCTGGGTTCCAAGCTCTCTTTGAGGGGCCGTGAGCCATGACGTTGATCTCTACTCAAGTTCCCCCCTCCAAGACCTCTTCTCTCCCAGGACTGGGCTCTCGACCTCTGCTCATCCACTCAGCAAATCTAGAACTTTGTGGAGTTCCTGGAAGAGAAACCCTTTATTTCATCTTGGAATTGAAGCAGAAAGAATGGACAGGTTTCAGCAGCCACATAGCCACGCTGAAGGAAGACTTTCTGGGCATGACCCCCAGACCATCATTCCCAAACCTGGACATGAGGAGGAGCAGGGTCCTGGTGCTGCCGCCCAAGCCTCTGGATGCATCTGGTGTGAAGCTAATCAATCCTCAGACCTCTCCATCGGGCGAGGTGATAGGTTCTATTTTTCTCCTTTCTGTCACGGTTTGTCACTTGCATCTGTGAAAGAGTTCTGAAGGCTGCAATGCTGACCACTGCTAGATGAATTGGACAGCAGAGTGGGGAGGAGGAAGGTGGCATAAAAGGAGGCCTGGAGGACAGGCCAGCCTGAGGCTGCTAAGGTGGAGGGCAGCCCCATGCCTGGACCCCTCACTATACTCTTTGTGATTTAGAGAAGGAGAGAGGAGAAAGCTGGTGTGAACCCAACTCCTCATTTTATGTCTATGAAAGTTGAGGTCCCGGGAGGAGCATGATTGATCGAGGACCACATAGTGGGTTGGTGGCGTATTCTTTATTCTGACCTGATAGTTCCAGGATACAGAGCTGTTGGGTTGGGAAACACACTGATGTGGTCATTTTTCTTGGAAGAAGCAGGCAGTAGGAAGGGAGACAGTGCTGGGAGTGGGGTTGGGGCAGTGGTTGAAGCCTGGAAAAGGAGAACTCAACATTTTCCAGGGTCCTAAATCAAAAGGTGCCCCTGCAGAGATTTACTTTTAAAACCAGCCACTGCCACCTCTATTTTTATCCTGTCACATTACTGCTGGCCCCATCTGGAGCTGGTCTGCTCCTCCTGGCCACTCATCCTTCCCTCAGAGCTGAGAGGAAAGGAGCTTCATTAGTGGCTGGGCGTGAGGGTGGCCCTGGCTGTGGCTCTGGGAGGAAATTGGCTGTGGGTTGGTGGCCAGGGAGGGCAGTGCCAGGCATGAGTGGGTCATCAGAGAGGGAGCAACTTGCACAACCTGAATGGCAATACCAAGCTTTGCTGAGATCAATACCAGGGTCATTCTCTCAGCATCACTCCCTAAGGAAGGCAGTTTCCTACATCCATGGTCTGCATTGTCTCTCTGATCCTCTGAAGAAAATGATCAAAGATATAAATACATACACATATGCCCCCTATATACACACAGGCACGCAAGCCACACAGACATGCATATATATACACACATGCATGTGCACACACATACACAGACACATGCACACATGCATGCATGTACATATACACATATGCACCTCTGCGTGTATATACACATATGCATTCATGTATGCATGCACACACTATACACATACATGCGTATATATACAGATACATGCATATACACAAACCCACACACATGCATATACACACATACATACAGAGAAGGGTGGGAAAACTCAACTTCAGGGCTGCCTTTTCTCTTCCCTCTCCCTCTAGGGAGCCCTCTCACAGGAATGAGTTACTGAGAGCCCCAGGGACCTGCTCAGCCAGGGCTCTGCCATGTGTACAGGAGGTTGGCAATTCATTCCTCCTGACGTTTCCAAACCTCTCCTGTTCAGTGTTTAGTGAAACGTTTTCTTTGCAGAACACCTTTTTATTTGCAGAGAGGAGGAATGAGTCCATGTGTCTGAAAGCCATGAGGAAGTTGAGGGGCACAGTTGTGGCTCTGCTACTCTTGCACCTTGGCCAAGTCACTGTCCTTCTCCAGGCCTTGGGTTTCTTATCAACAAACACTGGCTCTGCTGTGCTCGGTCGACCTTTAAGATTCTTGGCTTTGACTTCCTAGTCTCTTCTCTTGGTGCTGAGTTGATTTTCACAGCCGGGCTCCTCCCGGTGGCTCTCCTGGTCATCTGGCTGGCCTCAGCACTGCTGAAGGAATGCCCTCCCCGGAGATCTCAGGTGCATGGGGACTGGTGGCTGAGTGTTGACAGCTGCTCAGGGCATACCTGACAGGACGCTTTGCCAAGGGAAGAGTCCTTCAGGGCTGAGCCGTGACCGTGCAGGCTGAGGGTCCCTGGGGGGAGTAGGTGGAGGGGTTGCCTGGAGTCATTGAGATGGACACAGCAGAAGCAGCTGCCTCTGGAGTGGGGGCTTGTGAGTGGGTATGTGTGTTGATGAGGGTGAGGGGCGGAGAGTGTCCAACTTCATTGCTTCTGATTCTGAATCTTGCATAAATAAAATTCAGAATATTTCAGGTTAATGTTGTAAGTTGTCACATACGAGGGTTGTCAGATCTGAACTTTCTTTTGCAGCAACAGTAGCACGTGAGTATGTACACAGTTTTAATCTCCTCTCTCAAAAAGTTATTCACTCCTAAAAGTGGAGGCCAAGTTGGTGATAAATTGCTGACTCCTTCGACATGAATATTGTTCAATTATTCACAGATGTGTTTGGCCTGACAGAAGCCTCTGCTTCAGCACATTCCATGGGTAACCGAAGGCATTCATGCTAACGTAGAATCAGCTATCATTAGCACAGACTTTCTACAGCTTTCAACCACTCCAGCGTCGTCTTTCTTCACTCTATCATTTTCTCTTATGATTTAATTAGTGTGAGGCTGGAATCCTGGGCTCTTAATTTACCCAGGAAGTTGAACAAACTGAATTCTGCCACCTGCTGAATTTCCCAAGTGGGGCTGTCTGCTGTGTTCTTCACCCGCTAAGCGACAGGGTGGGACATTGGCTTTGAAGGTCTCCCACACCCAGCCTTTGGGGTGAGCAGCTTGGCCGTGGTAGGGTTCAGGATTTGGAACATAGGCTGCTTGCCCTAGGGTGTGGGCTCCAACCCTTCAATTTCCAGTTGGACTGATCTAAGGGATAGTTTTCTACCACCTGGAAGGCCCATCTGCCTTCATCCTCCTAGCCTGGGTTGTCCAGTGATCTCTTATCTAAAGAGGGGCAGGTGCCTTAGAGACCACCAAGAGCAATGGTTTTCAAGCTTTCTATTGTTGGCAGTGGAATGCTTTTCAAATGCAGTCTTGTGCAGGATGCCACCTGTCCATGAGAGACATGCAAAGTCACTCTGGTGGAAACAGGGGCAGAGCCACATGCTCACTTTTCTCCCCAGACACCCAAGACCCTCTCAGGAATCCCATTCTGAAATCCCTGATCAATCAAAGTGCAACTGAGAGAGGCTGCGACTTGGCCAAGGTCAGACAGCAGCTGCTGTCAGAGCTGCACCAGGATGCAAGCAGCTCGAGAGACTTCTCAATATTCTGTTCACTCAGCCCCTTCTTCCCCAGCTTTTCCCAAATGCCACCTTCTTCATTAAGCCTTTCTCAATACCTACAACTTGTTCTGCTCATTTTTTATTCAACAAGTATTTATTGAGCTATATGCTGGGCACTGTTTTATGTGCAGAAGAAGCAGCAGGAAACAAATCAGGTGAAAATCTTTGCTCTTCTGAAGCTTATATTCTAACGGGGAGAGAGAAACAATAAAGAAATGAATAATTAGATTATTTAGTGTATTAGGTAAGTGTTTGCTGAAAAAGCAAGTCAGGGAAAGGAATGACAGAGAATGGGGCTTGTAATTTGAAATAGGTGCTCTCTTATGTAACATCATATACATTTCTGTTAATTAGGATTAGAGACAAGTTCTGTTTAGAAATAACTCCAAGAACAGTTTTTATATTTTATTTTCACATTGGAAATCGGTCAGATTTGCTTCAGCCTCAAAGATTGTGTTTATGTAAAATTAAATGAGCACTGGCAGTGAGCTTCACCTTTTTTTTTTTTTTTTTTTCAAATGGGAAATGGGTTAAAGAGGAGAGGAGTAATATATGGCCAAAGAGATAATAGGACCAAATCACTCAGGACCATACAGGTCATTGTAAGAAACCTGGCCTTGCACTTGGGTGAATAGGGAAGCTACTGTATTGTTCTGAACCAAGGGATCACATGATCTGACTTGGTTTTTTTGTTTTGTTTTGTTTTAATTTTTTGTTTTTTAGATGGAGTCTTGCTCTGTGGCCAGGCTGGAGTGCAGTGGTGCAATCTTGGTTCACTGCAACCTTCAACTCCTTTGTTCAAGTGATTCTCCTGCCTCAGCCTCCGTGCCCAGCTAATTTTTGTATTTTTAGGAGAGACAGGGTTTCACCATATTGACCAGGCTGGTCTCGACTTCCTGACCTCGTAATCCACCCGCCTCAGCCTCCCAGAGTGCTGGGATTACAGGCGTGAGCCACTGCGCTTGGCCTTGGGTTTTAAAGGGATTCCATCTACTGCTGTGTTGAAAATTATAGGGGTGCAAGGGTGGAGGCAGGGAGACTAGTAAGGACACGGTGGCTGTAATCTAGGTGAGAGATGATCCTAATGTACACCTGTGTGGTAGTAAAGGTGGTGAGGAGTGTTTGCATTCTGAATTTATTTTGAGGCTAGAGTCAACAAAATCATCTAAAGGATTGGTTGTGAGGTGAGAGAGCAAAAGAACAGTCAAGGATGATTATAATGGTTTTAGCCTGAGGAAACAGAAAGATGTCATGACCCGAGATGGGGAAGACTAACGAAGGAGCAGGTTTAGGATCAGAGACTCAGTTTTGGAAAAGTTAACTTTAGGTGTTTGTTAGATGTGATGTGAAGATTCTTCTGTTCAGCGGTGAAGCTTCCAACCTTTTAACCCCCAAAACATTATCACAGTTTCCCAGAGGTACTTAATCATTTTCTATGCAGGGTTACAATTATGTATGCACATGTCTGACTATTGTTAGGACAATATAAGCATCCTGGGGTCGGGGACCTTGTTCATCCTGGTATCCTCCAGTGCTTTAGCACAGGGCTGGGCAGATGGTTTGTGCTTAATAAATGCTTGTTGTTATGAATTCCGCAAACATTTTGGAAAAGTTAGAGAGTTAGAAGAGCAGTATGATATAGCTTAATATCCCCCAAATTGTTTTCTTTTGAACATCGATCCCTTGAGATGTTCAATTATGAAACAGATCTCATAGTTAAATACATTTGGGAAATCCTATATTCTATACCCCTCTCTTTGAGCATCACATATCACAGTTCTTCCACACTAAAAGGGATTCAAAGAATCTTCCCAAATGTACTTTACTCTGTTCAAATCAATGTCTCCCAATCATATCTGACTACTTAACTTTTCTTCAAATTACACTATGATACCTTCTGTAACTAGGGTTCTATATGAACACACCATGTTGGGTGATGAAAATGTTGAGATCTGTTAGACAGAAAGAGTGCTGGCATTAGCAATCTGAAGACATAGGCTCAAACACCACAATGTGATCTTGGACAAATATTGTCAGCTGTCTGGGTTCAGTTTCCTCATCTAAGGGAATGAAACTGGTTGATTTATATGGCTATGGCTCTAATGTGAAACATGCACATTTTATACATGCCTTTCATTTGTGGTTCTCCATGTGGCAGGGCTGGGCTTTAGGACGTTAGTTTAGACACTGTGGTTTTTATTTAGTATCCTGTTTCTTCATACTGCTCACCCGAATGTCCTCTGAGTGTTCCTAGGGAAACTCCTGTTATCCCCTAGCCAACTAACCCCCCAATCCCCAACACTGATATGTGTCTCTCTCTTTAATTTCTATCCCTACCACTTTCCCTCTCTAGATAATGGGTTAGTCTCCAGAGCTCTCCTGCCTTGCCCTTGTCTCCCACAACCCTACATTTTCCAGTCTGGCCAAATGACAGCTAGCCAGTGTCTGCTGGGTTGTCAGAACACAATGGCTTGTATATTTCTCCTCCCTGGTAACTCCAATTTTGGCAGGCCCCTCTGCAGGTTAGTGCCTGGGTCCAAAGAAGTATGTATCTGATGGTAGGAATCTCAAGATTATGAGGCAGCTGTTACACAAGTGTGTCTTGCAATCCTTCATACCACACTAGAAAGAATATTAACTTCTTCATTTACTTGTAGGAGTCTTCTTGGTATGTTCAGAAATCTCGCAAATGAAGTCTATGGAGAGCAAGACAGATAAAAAAAATGTTCAGATGAACCCCCCATTATGTACAGCTAACCAATATATGTGGGATTTAAAATATGAGTCTTTTAGAAGTGTGACTAAGCTAGGGCAAAGTAAGTGATTTCCATAGAGGCTGGCATTTGTCCTTTGTGTCTTAAGTGTTACACATATAGGATATAGAGAAAAGGGCTACAATCTAAACAAAGTGAAAATACTCATGCATAAAGCTGAGGTCTTTCAGTGAGCGACCTGAAAAAGTTACCCACCCTACAGAGGGAGACAATGAGAAAACATAACTGTTGGCTCTAGGTAGAACAGAGTAAAAGAACATTTCTCCCCTGAGAACTTTTATCCACAAGCCTTCCCTCATGCTTTCATGCATATTTGGTGGTCTGTATTTGTTACATGTGTGACCTGAAAAATTACGTGCTGAAAATTTACTTTTAAGTTTGGTAATGCCCCTGGATATTTTGAAAAAAAAATATAAACACTCTTTGGAGGAAAACTCTAACCACAGGCTTGGAAAACTCCCACAGATAAAGATCCTAGGAACATAAGCTCACAATGAGAAACTGATAAGTACATGAGGACACAAACCACCATTAGTGAGAGTCAGCAGAAACAACCAACTGTACAATCAGAACCATGACTGCAGACGTTGGAACTAGCAGAAAGAGAATTCAATGCAAAGATGTTGAAGGAGTAAAAGAAGGGATTAAAACCCCTCAAGAGATTATACAAATTGATCAGGCAGGATTGAAAAGTAGCCAAATAGAACTTCTAAAAATAAGAAATGATTACAAATGAAGTTAAAATCTAGTGGACAGTTGAAGACAAGATTAGTGAAGTGAAAGATAGATCTGAAAAAGACCTGCAAAAGATGTTGAGAGTCATGGATGGTAGAATGAGAGAGTCCAGGATCTCTATCACTGGAATAGAAAAAGGAGAAAAAGAAGAGAAGAGATGCTACTCTGAGGTATATAATGACTGATAATTTTTCTAATTTGATAAAAGATACCAAGGCCTACATTGAGTAAATCCACACACAGATACACCACAGTGAAACTACAGGACATCAGAGACAGAGATCTTAAAGGTAGCCAGGAACAAAAGACAAATTACCCTAAAGGAATGAAAATTCGGTTGTGATAACTTCTCAACACCAACAATCAAACTCTGAACTTAGGGAAACGAGATTTTCACACTTTAGAGAGAATATGACTGTCAACATAATGAGATATAGGAGGCAGGACTCTACTCCAGAGGTGGGGCTTGGACACTGGACCAAATAGAGGACTAGCTAAAATGGGTCCAGGGCTGAAGTAGCTTTCCATAAGACATGCCCACCAGTGTGCCATGTCCGTTTACCATTGCCATGGCAACACCTAGAAGTTACCATGGCACCCCACCTGTTTCCATGGCAATGACCATGGCAACCCAAAAGTTGTGACCCTTCTCCTAGAAATTTACTCATAAACTGACCCTTAATTTGCATTTAATTAAAAGTGGGTATAAATATGAGTGCAGACCTGCCTCTGAGCTGCTACTCTAGGCATACTGCCTGTGGGGAGCCCTGCTCCACAAGGAGAAGTCCCTCTGCTGCTGCTGTGCACTACTGCTTCAATAAAAGTTGCTAACACCACTGGCTCACCCTTGAATTCTTTCTTGGGTGAAGCCCAGAACCCTCCCGGGCTAAGCCCCAATTTTGGGGCTTACCTGTCCCGCATCAACAGGACCCTATATCAAATGAAACTCCTTTCATGAACGAGGACAACAAAAAGAAATTTTCAGACAACCAGGCCTGGGGAGCATTTTTTGACAGCAGCCTTCTCTAAAGGAACAGCCAAGGATTTTTAATTTAGGAAGAAGGAAAATGATTTCAAAAGGAGGGTCTAAAATGCTAGTTAGATGGGTGAGCAAAGAAAATAATAGATTGGTAAATTGAAACAAACATTGACTGTATTAAACAATATTAATATACCTAATTTGTGGATTAAAATAGAACCATAATCCTGGACACTTACAAATAAGTCAGGATGGGAGTGGTTGAATTTAAAGCATTCTATGATCCCTGTTTTTTTTGAGAGAAGAGTAAAGATGATTTATGTAGCAGACAGCACTGTCCTCTTTCTCCTCATTTGCAGCTATGGTAGATACTAATATGTGACCTTGAACTCATGCTGAAAGCATCCAACCTGGACGCACCATGCTCCTTTCCTCTTCATGCTGAAAAGCCTTCTCCAAAGCCATGGGAGACCAACAGGCCCTTGTGCAAGTGCAGAATAGAGGTTTGGGGGATTATTGACCCTGTGGGGATCCCCAACTAATGAGGAATGGGAAGTGATAGATAACTGCTTGTACTTCCACATGGATAATTCTAGAAGTCATTCGTTCAGATGGGAAATTCTAGAAGTCATTTTTCATGTTTCTCAGAAAACCTGGCAGAATTCTGTCATGGCAGAAAACCTACCATTGCTCACAGTAGTGACCTTGATAATGACCCTTGCTAAGGGTTTTTCCTCTTGTTCCCACCATTCTGTCACTCCTTTGCTTTTTTGGTTGCCTGCCAAATATATTATCTGCCTTTAAGCCCTTGTATTAGATTCTGTTAATCAGGGAGCCCAAACTATGACAATTAACTTTTCACTTTAATAACTGTTAAACTTAAGCATAAAAATAAAGTGAATAACTTCCAAAACTAGTATAAGAAAAACTGGAATGGAAGGAGAACTAAATTAATCTAAAAGAAGGAAATGGTTTTTAAAAGTTGAAAATAAGATGGTAGAAGTAAACTCAAATGTATGAGAAATTGAAGGCCATATGAAAGGGCCAAATGCCCTGTTCAAAGGTAAAGAATGCCAAACTGGATTTAAAAAGCACAACAAAACAGAAATCCAGATATATGCTGTTTACAAAATACGTAGCAAAATCCAAGAATAGAGAAAGATTGAAATTAAAGGATAGGAAAAAATCATAACTAGATAAATGTTAAAGGAAAGCTAGTATAGTACATAAATCTCATATATAATAGCCTTTAAGGCCAAAAATATTTTTGGAGATAAAAAGCTCACTACAAATTAATAGCGTTTCAATATATACCAATTCTAAATTTGAATATATCTAACAATATAGCTTCAAAATATATAAAGCAAAAACTGATGCAACTATAAGGACAAATTGACAAATTTACAACCTAAGTGGGAGATTTTAACATCCTGCTCTCAATGAGTGACCCAGTGATTTTTTTTGATGTAGTCAAGCAGATCAGACAATGGCAGAGAAGATTTGAAAAACACATTTAACAAGTTTGACTTAAGAAACGTGTACAGAACACGCACAAACAATTGAAGAATACATATTCTTCTCAAGTGCACATAGAACATTTATAATAATTGATCAAGTATGAGGCTGTCTGCCTTTTAATGAATATAGTCTTATAAACCACATTCTTAGGCAACAACAAAATTATGCTATAAATGACTAAAAATGAAGAAAACAGAAATGAAAGAAGCTTTATGGTGAATATGTAATAAAAACATCATTGTGACAATCTTATAAATCAAATCTTGTGAGGGTTCAGCTTAATTGGTACCTACAAATAAAATTATGGCTTTAAGTGCTTATATTGTAAAGAAGAGGGGCTGAAAAGAAATGAGTTAAGCATCTTACCTTAAACAGTAGAAAGTAATAATAGAAAATACTCAAGGAAAGAAGTTAGGAAGTAGTAAAGACAAGGTCAGAAATTACAAAAATGAAAAACAGAGTTAATAGAAGGGAGCAATAGATAAAACTTGCTTCTTTGAAAATCATAATGAAATTGGCATATCTCTGCAAGTCTGATAAGGATATAATGAGAAAAAACAAGTAAATAGCAATTAGGATGAAAGAGACATAACTATGCACTGAGGCAGCAGAGATTAAAAAGTAATTAAAATAAAAACTCCATAACTTAAAAATTCAGACAATATGAATACATTCTTAGGAAAATAAAAATCCCTAAAATTGAATAAGAAATGATTTTATAGCCTTTAAGGTACTGATTCAATATTTTAAAACATCTCTTCGAAGAAGATACCAGGTACAGAATTCTAAATATTAGGTAAGCTTTTAGGGAACAAATAATTCCAAACTTACATAATATTTCAGGAAGTCAAAAAGAGGCCAGTGTATCTTCAAAATGAAAATTTAACAAAGTCAGTACAAGAAAGGGAAGTTACAGGGCAATTTAACAGTTTATTATTGATTAAACATCTGAAACAAAATATTAGCAAATTGAGTCTAAAATCAATGATAATATACTATGACCAAGTTCATATGATTACAGGAATATAACGTTAGTCCACCGTTTAATAGATAAATATTATTTGTCACAATAGTTAATTAAATAATATTTTTTATGATAAAAATTTTTAGCAAACAAAACAGAAGAAACTTCTTAGCCTGATACACTATTCTATCTGAAATCTATAGCCAAAATTTTATTCAGTGGTTAAATATAAAATTATCTCTATTTAAAGTTAGGAACAAGAAAGGATTCTTGCCACTATAATTTGTATTCAACAATATACTGGCAGTATTAGCCAATGCAATAAGACAAGAAAAAAAATCAAATATTCAAGAAGTAGAGTGGATGAAATCATATTATTAGCAGATAATCTACTAAAATGCTCAAAATAATGTACAAGAATCCTTAGAATTAATAAGATAATCTAACCAGTTTTCAGGTTTTGATTAATATAATTGTCAATTGTCCGTGTATACTGACACATGTATAAATCAGCTACATGCATAAATGCAATTTAAAATGCTATTTGTGGGAGGAAAATAAAATGTAATGTATCTAGAGATGATAAAAGCAAAGACTTATATAGTACTTACCATGGGCTATGCACTATTCGAAACACTTTACATATAAATAAAATAGTTTAGAATAGTACATGGCTCATGATAAGTGCTATATAAAGTCTTTGCTTTTATTATCCTAGATATATTTTGTTTATCACTACATTATATTTTTGATTTATATATTTTCTTTTGTGTTTGTGTATATATATTTATATACAGTATATATTTTACATATAGTATATATTACATATATTTATATATAATATATAAATATACAAAAATCCATGCATCCTTATAAGAACCCTATGAGGTAAGTACTATTAATTAGTTCCACTTACAGCTGAGGAAACTGAGACCCAAAGAGATCACGTAAGTTGTTCCATATTCCACAGTTAATAAATTGCAGAGTGGGAATTCAAACCCAGCATCTGTTTCTAGAATATGTGCTCTTAACTGCTATTCTATAATTTTCTTTTTGGAGAAAATTATGCCACTTTATTGAAAGACATCCAAAAGGTCTGAAAAAAATAGAGACTTACCATGATTGTAAATAAGATTATTTGAAATAACAATTCTTCCAAAATTAATATACATAGAATGGAGTTCCCATGAAAATCCTGACAGAATTTTCATGGAAACTGATAAGCTAATTTCAAAATTTATATGGAAAAGCCAAAGGTCAAGAAGAGCCAATGCATTCCTGAAAAGTAAGAATAAGAGGGGAGAGGGATAGTTGTCCTATCAGACAACAGCATAAAATGTTAATGGTCCAGAAATAAAGAGTGAGGCTTTGGCACAGGGATAGAAAAATAGACCAATGGAATGCAATTAAGAGCTTCTAAATCGACCCATGCATATGTGGACACTGACAGGTGAGAGTATATCAGTAGGGAAAAGATAGGCTCTTCAGAACATGATACTATTTATCCAGACTTAAAAAATATGAAAATGGATCCCTACTTTGTTCCATACACAAAAATTAATTCCAGATTGATAAAGTTCTTAAAAATGAAAGATAAAAGTTTAAGATTTTTAGCAGAAAATGTGAAAGAATATCTTGAAGACCTTAGGGTAGTTATTTCTTAAACATGCCACACACACAAAAACACCCTAACAATAAATAAAAGATTGCAAAATCAGAGTAAATTAAAATTAATAACATCTAGCTATTATATGACATCAGAGACTAGAAAGACAAGCCACAGACTGAGAGAAGAGATTTGCAACACATGTAACTGACACTGGCTCAGTGTCCAGAATCTAATAAAAAACTGTGAGTAAATACAGAAAAGACCAATGGCCCAAAAGAAAGTGGAACAAAAGAGATGAGTAGAACTTTCACCATTGAGAGCATGAATGGCCAATGAACATGTCAAAAGTTGTTCAGCTACTATAGTCATCTTGGAATCCACATTGCAATAATAATGTGATATAATTTCTTACTGTCTAGATAAACAATAATAAAAAGTCTCAAAATACCAAGTTAAGGATGTGGAAGTCAGTAAGGAGGTGGAACAAAGGAAACTTTTCTGCACTTTTGGTGGGAGTATAAACTGACACAGCCACTTTGAGAAACAACTGCATTATCCAGTAAAGTTGAAAATGTGAATACCCTGTGATCCAGCAACTCTGCTCATAGACACATAACTTAGAGAAATTCCTGCAATTATGCATCAGGAGAAAGACATAACAATGTTATCAGCAGCACTGTTCTTAATACTAGAAAGCTGGAAATAATGCAAATAATGCAACAGCAAGATAGAGAAATACATTTTTTGGTATAGTCACACAAGGGAATACTACACAGTGACACAAGGAGTATATTCTGCAAATACTTCCCAGGTTCCATAGTATAGTTTTGAGATTTCTTCATATTCAGCACTCAGCTGAATATGAAGTTGAATACAGCCAAGTGCTGAATATGAAGGAATCTCAAAACTATACTATGGAATCTGGGAAGTATTTGCAGAAGAATAAATAGGGTACAATTCTATTTATATAGAGGAAAGTCAGGAAAAACTAAACAGGATTTCATTTAGGAATTACAGACACACCTGATAAAACTATAAAGCAAAGCAAGAGTAATGTCAAATATAATTCAAAATAGTAGTAGTAACATATAATTCAAAATAGTAGTTTGAATAAATATAATTCAAAACGAGTGTCCCTCCACCAGTTGGCACTTATGGGGTTTAGAAGGCAATGGCTATGCTCTGTTTCTTCATCTGCATAGTGATACAGGTTATTGTATTACATTGTTTTATTAGTTTCATTCTTTAAACCTTACATGTATTTTATATGCAGTACTTTGTGTATATGATATAGTTCCCATTGAACAAAAGAGAAAAAAGAGTCTATGGAGAAACTTTCTATTTATGACTGTAAGTGTTGCCCTTGACCTTTCCCAAGTGCTTCTGAAAACTTTCAGAAAGGAGAAGAGAAAAAGCACATCACAAATAAGGATGCAAGGCAACTGACAAACCCTGGACAAGAAACTATGTAGTGTACCTGTCAAAAACCAGACACTGGTCCAAGCAGTGGAAGCATGCCTGAAGCTGACACATGCCACCTTGGGCTATAAGCAGGATGCAGACTTCCCCAAAGACAAGTACTTCCATGTAAAAGACCATGGTAATGATATTTTGGTTAAAACCATGAGAACAAGCGGTGTGGCCTGGCCCCAGGAGAGGTGCAAATGTCCCTGGAGAGCAGAATGTGTGACTGCAGAGAGGGAACGCAGCGGGGAGCGGAAGGAGACCCAAGGAGGCAGGGCATTTCTATTACCAAGTTCTTGATGTCTGGCCACCTCTCCCAGGGCGACTGCCTGAGACATAGCAGGCTGGAAGAGGGACAGGAGGCAGGACAGAAAGCCCAGACTCCTGTTTCCAGCCAGAGCATCCATCCTGCAGCTGCTGGTGTGTTGAGCGCAATGGTTCCCTTCTCCAGAGAATATCCCGCAATATGATGAGCTGCCTCCTCTAGAAATGCCTGATAGGTTACAATCCTGCCCCTGGGCATGGGGTGGCGGCTCCAGCTCATGGCTGGCTAATAAGGGAAACTCATGGTGAGCAGTTCTGTGATATTATGTATGGTCCAGAGCTCCCTGAAAGATCAGCCTGAGGCGAGGCTTCAGCTGGAACTTCATCTTTGCTTAGCTTCTTCCTGTGCTGTAGCCAATATCCCTCAGTCCCTTACAAGTTCCTTGTGTAAGAATTCGTTTCCAGGGCTTTGCTTTTAGTGAACTAAATGTGTGTGAGCTACATGGATCTACTAAGCACCTAAAGTTGAGGGTGAACATGCTCCCAGGGAAGAAGAAATTCCAGATTTGGGAGAAGAAATCTTTCACAGTGTGCCCAAAAGTGTACTGAGAGGGTCCCAACTCCTTTCCTTACCTCCTCTGACATTACTCTAGCACATAATGAACTTCATTCACATATAACATTATTTTAGAAAAGGAAACAAATATAGGATCTTTGCATGGAAGTGGTAAATAAAGTGGGGATGGGATAGAGAGGGAAGACAGATGAAGTAAAAAGAAATGAAAAACATACATGACAAGGGGAAGGAACCAGAAACTACAGAAAAACTTCAGATAAATAAATGTTAAGTTGAACTGTACGAAATTGTCCATATGTGACCATTTTTGACTCACAAAAATACAATTTCACACGGCCCAACTTGAGTATTTTTCCAAATTCTTACAGACATTACATATGATATCACTGTTCTTAAAAAGAGCTCAAAAAGAAATAGATGGGTCAAAGAAAAAATAATTAGAAAGAAATGGCATTTAAGTTAGTAGAGCTCTTGAAGAAAATGAAAGATGAAGCAAAAACATTACAGAGACGAAAACCACATTAAAGGCCATAAAACTAGAATGAAAACAGAAAACAATGACTTGGTGTCTTGAAGAAATCATGCAAAACAAAATGGAAAAGTGCAATGATATAGTCATGATTACAGACAAGGTCATAGGAACTGTCATCTGTGGTCACATGGCCTATAACAGGTTCTGCGGGGAAAGTTGTGTGCAGTGGGCTTGGCGCAGTGCTCTTGGGGCTACCCCTCTATGGAAGAGAGGAAGGCAGAAATGGGTAGAGGGAAAGCTCACCTGTGGTGTGGCTGCGACTGAGGTCTTAGCAGATCCCACCTGGAGCTCTGGAGCTAGACAACCCTTCCAAATTGTTCTGAATTGAGGAAGGAGGGCCAAGCCTTTGTTTTTCCTTATTACTCCAGACCCTCATTGGTAATAGGCTGGTCTCTGAGTGATGAAGTTTCTTGGGGCTAAAGGTGATTCTCACTGAGGGACACAGCTTTGAGCCCTTAGCAGCCCTTTGAGCCTTCTAGCAGCTGTGGGCTGAGTACCTTGGCCTAATAGAGGGAAGCTGGTGGGGCAACACAATATCCATGCAAGCCACCCCTCACGCTGCTCATATACACTTGCTTCTTGGGGTAAGTTCACTCCACCCAGAAATAGCTTCTTCAGGACTCTCTTTGGCCTTGCTTCCAGAGATCTTGCTTCTATGGGGTCATATGGCCTAAGTAGCAAGAGCTGCTGGTGCTGCAGCCTTAACCTGCTGCAGAGCCCTTTCCTGCTCCAGGCACCACTGAGAGCTTATAGGCTTCTGTGTCACCCAACAAATAGGTTGCACATGCAGTTTCTTGAACCCAAGGAGGCTCATAAACAGGTTGTGCTTTTTTCTTAGGAACATTATGAAATACAATCATGTGTCCTTTACTTTTGAGGGCATCAGGCCTGTCTCAAATCCCTGGCTATAAAAACCTTACTGATCTATCTTGTCCCTGAATCGTAGAAGGGTTTATCTTACTGAGGCCTCCATTGTACTTGCCACAGCTTGCTCATTCTCTATAGTCAGTAGGATGGACCTCTTGGAGGTTCTGCCAGTTATGTGATTTGATTTTTTGGTCTGGCTGATGGGAGGGGAGGTGGGGTAGATCCTGAGAGGAGTAAGTATTATAAGGCACCAGACTCATTGGAGGCTCTTGCCTGGTCTTTAAGCAAGGGGGATTCACTATCTTCTAACAGTATGGGCCACTTTGCATGCCTAGCAAGTTCTGGGGAAGCTGGGTGTTAAAGATATTCAAATGTAAATATTCATATCCCTCATCCCAAGTCTCAGGGTCCCAAACCTTCCCAAGGAGAGCCCTGACTTTTGCATAAAAGACTTGCCGGCCTGGGGATTCGACTTCCTCTGCATCTCTTCTGAGCTCCCGATCCCTGTTCTCTACTCTGTCTGCCCAGCAACTGCAGTACATTAGGGGTTTCTTAAACCCTGCTAAGGAGACCCTCTGGCTTTCACTTTTTTTCTGGAATTGGTGATGAATCTCACTAAGCATGTCAACACTGCTCTCGTAGGGATCATAGAGAAAGTTCCCCTTTGCCCTCTGAAGTTTCACTGAAAAATCAGCTCACAAAAGGCAGATTAATTGGAGAAAAGGCAAACAATTTATTTAATGTGTACACACAGGAGCTTTCAGAATGAGGACCCAAACATTGTAGGAGAAATTGTCCATTTTTATGCCTAGGTTCAACAAATATGGACAATCGTGTAGAAATATGGTTAGACAAACAGGGCATGATCTAATTCAAACAGAGTGGGTGGGGAAAGCCAGAAAGGCCTGTCTGTCTAGATCCTTCCTGGTGTTTCTGAGCAGCATTGCTCTCTTCTGGGTATGGGACAGGACCCTCTCTGGAATAGGGGTCTTATGACCTAAAGCCAAACAAGGTAGGTCAGATAATTTCTTTATGACCAGTTTTTATATGGAAAGGCATGGGGAAAGTTAGAGTAATATTTTTAGGTTTTGTGGCTGGCTTTCGGGAAAAGGGGTCCTGGTTTCTATGGCCCACCTCGGGAAGGAGGAATTCTAATTTCTATAGTTAGCCTTGGGGTAGAATGGGACTGAGAGACATGAAGGCGGGAGAAGGTCAGAGAAACACTTTTGCTTCTAAGGCTGCTTTGAAGTCCTTCATTTTGGGGTGTTGTTTTCTGAGCCCCAACACTCTTCAACATGTCAACGGCACTCACAATAGTCACCTCCTTCCATCATCCTTATGGTTTTGCTGCTTATCTCACACCCTTGGGCTCCATCTTGTAGAGTAGGTGAGTAGCCAGCCATAAGCAGGAGGGGGAGCCCCTGAGAAAAGGGAGGAAGATCTCACATCCCAAGACCACCCAAATGTGCATACTGAATATGAGCAGAGAGGAGGGGAAATACCTAGGCAGGAAGAAGCACCTGTTAAGGTGCCCCCATTGTCATCCACTCTGCAGTCAAACTGTCAGAATATATCTAGCTACATGCTGATAAGGAAGGGAGGAGGGTAAAGAAGAAATTCCTAAGAAATACATAGGCACAATAAATGTGAATTTAACTGCTACACGAGCTTCCTAGGGTGGCTGCAATGAGCAATGCAGCCTTTAGGTAGAATTCCTGTTCAACACTGGCTGCACATGCATACACCCTGACAGGAAGAATCCCACGAGCCTGGGTGGGAACTAGGTGAGTAAAAAGGCAGAACTTAAGGCAGGAGCAGGAAAACTAGACAAAGATAAAAGGTGGAGGCTGGCTGTGGTGGCTCATGCCTATAATCCCAGAACTTTGGGAAGCCAAGGTGGGTGGATCACCTGAGGTCAAGAGTTCGAGACCAGCTTGACCACCATGGTGAAACCTCGTCTCTACTAAAAATACAAAATTAGCCGGGCATGGTGGTGCAGGAGGTGGTGCTACTCAGGAGGCTGAGGCAGGAGAATTGCTTGAAACCTGGGAGGTGGAGGTTGCAGTGAGCCGAGATTGCACCACTGTACTCCAGCCTGGGCAACCAGAGCAAAACTCTGTCTCAAAAAAAAAAAAAAAAAAAAAAAATGTGGAGACTTAAGACAGAAGAAAGAACATCAAGAAAAAAATCCAAGATCATAAAAACCTAATGGAGAACTCTCACGGCTGCTGCTGGCTCATTCTCTTTCAGGAGCCCCCTAAGCCTTGTCTTTCAGGGTGCACTGTCCCTTTAAATAAACACTGCTGCTGCTGCTTCCAGCCAGGTCACTTCTTAGAGTGTGCTCTTAAGTCCTTAATAAACTTTGCTTACATTACTAGTTAGTTTCTTGGCCGAATTCTTTCTCCCAAGTAAGACTAAGAACTGAGGATTCCCACACTTCTGAGTAATACTTCTCCTAGTATCATTTTTTCGAGTAATTCATTAAACCAGTAGAAGGAGCCACTATGTATTAAATCATATTATAACATGTCACTCTTGTGTAATTTATCTTCTGAACCTAAAGAATGACTTAATTTTATCATGTTGGGCTCAACCCATTATTCTAACCTGACAAGGTCTTGAATCTTGTTTTCTCTTTATTTATTTATTTATTTATTTATTTATTTATTTATTTATATTGAAACTGGGTCTTGCTCTGTCACCCAGGCTGGAGTACAGTGATGTGATATCACTCATTGCAACCTCCACCTCCCATGCTCAAGTGATCCTCTTGCCTCAGCCTTTGGAGTAGTTGGGACTACAGGCACATACCACCAGATTTGGCTAGTTTTTAAATTTTTTTGTGGAGACAGGTTTTTGCCATGTTGCCCAGGCTGGTCTTAAACTCCTGGACTCAAGAGGTCTATCCACCTTGGCCTCCTAAAGTGCTGGGATTAAAGGTATGAGCCATGGTGCCTGGCTGAATCTTGATTTCTTATTCACTGTATTATCTTCCCAGTTCTGTATTGTCTGTAAATTTGAGAGACTTACCATTCATGTCTTTATTCAATTTATTGATAAAAATATTGAACAGAGTTGGGTCAATGTTGATAAAAATGTTGGACAAGGAAGGGGTAGAAACAGATTCTTGAGGCATGACTCATTAGTCTCACTAATTCAACAAATATTTATTAAATACCTAATACCTGCTGGGCAACCTGCCTTACATGTTGGGAATATGATGGTGAACAAGAAATGTTTTATGACCATGAGCTCCTTATGCCCTTCATACAGGTTTCATCCATTAATTTATTTACTTTTTTTGTGCTAGGTTATTTGCCCAGACAATAAACACACCAAAATGTACTATAGTCTAGCCTTGATTATTCCAGAAATTTTAACTTAGTGGATCAGTAAAGATCTTAATAAAGATTCTAGGAATTTTAGTTTAGTGGATCAGTAAAGATCTTAATAAAGATTCCAGAAATTTTTACTTAGTCAATCAGTAAAGATCTTAATTAAGATTCTAGAAATTTTAATTTAGTGGATCAGTAAAAATCAATAAAAATAAAAAGAATGAGGGGGGTCATACAAACAGGAGTTCTTTTTTCAACTGGTAATTTTGCAAAAAATAAAAAGAATGTTGTTTTAAAACATTCTCTGCCATAATATTATCATTTCAGAAAGCAAAAGGTACGATCCTTACCCTCATGGCGTATGTAATCTCATGAGAGCCAGACCTTAAGCAAAGAAACAAAGGAATGAGTAGAAAGAACATGCAGTGATACTTGTTATGAAGGAAATCAAATGGTGCAGAGTAGCGAATAATGGAGGTGGTTAGGAAAGGACTTTTGAAGAGCTGACATTTCACCTGGTGTATGGAGGAATGTGAAGAAGCCAGTCATGAGGAAAGTCTGGGATAGAGCACCCCAGGCAGAGGGAACAGCAGGTATGGTGATACCTGGTGGGGTGGGGGCTGGTGGCTTGGTGCTGGAGAGCTGAAAGGAGACTAGTTGCTGGTGGAGCTGCAGCATTGTGACTGAGGAGGTGGGTCCTGAACTGGGGCTGGAGAGTGTGCAGACACAAGCAGGATATGTTGTGAGCACCAAGCAGGACTCTCCCCGTGCTGCCTGGTGGGAGCCAAGCTGCTTAGTTTTCTAAATGATTTCAGGAAAAGATGCATCCTGGAAATCCGTTGACATGAACCAGCAACTTCAATTTTTCAGTAATTCCCTCCTTCACTGTCGAACTCTCCTTCTCTCTTTCATCTTTCTGAATGGTTTACAAAAATGCCCTGATACCTCTCATTCTTTAAAAATCCTCATTTAGTCTCTTGCCCCTTTCCAGTTAACATTTCATTTCTATGCTTCTCTTTAGGGCGAAACTTCTCTCAAAAATCTACAAATTTCGGGACTCAAAACCTGACACCCCAACCAGGTGCGGTGGCTCACTCCTGTAATCCCAGCACTTAGGGAGGCGGAGATGGGTGGATCACTTGAGGTCGGGAGTTCGAGACCAGCCTGGCCAACATGATAAAACCCCATCTCTACTAAAAATACAAAAAATTACCTGGGCGTGGTGGCATGCACCTGTAATCCCAGCTACTTGGAGGCTGAGGCAGGAGAATCACTGGAACCTGGGAGGTGGAGGTTGCAGTGAGCTGAGATCATGCCACTGCACTCCAGCCTGGGTGACAGAGCAAGACTCTGTCTCAAACAAAATAAAACAAACAACAACAAAAAAATAGCTGAAAATATGGCACCTTGGCATTTGAGAAAACCACAGAAGCAAGAAGGTACTCTGAGGTTCTCCTGCCATTCTCCCCTGAAGCGTGGTCATAAAGGAATTCTCAGACCTACCTCATGTGAAAGTAGTTCATGAGACTCTCATTCTAATGGGGTCATACCCTATACTCAGAGGCCAAGAAGAATCTAACTAACAGGCCTTGCTAAGTTCCCCCCAGGCTATTACCATTAGGTTATATCCCCTTCTTTTTCCTCCACAACTATCTACTTCATTCATCAGACTTAGCAGAAACATAGAATTTTCCCTGGGACTTTGAGTCTTCATTTCTGAAGACTCATGTGTCATGTAAAATTTTGGTTAAATACATTTATTATGCTTTTCTCTCGTTAATCTGTCTTTTGTTGTAGGGATGTCAGTCATGAATGTTGTGGTGGGTGAGGAAAATATATTACTTTTTCTACCCTGCAATATACTATTCCTGTTTTTCCTCCTCTATTCACTTCACACCCACCCACCTAAAGTTGGTTCTGGCTCCCAGTGCTGAAATTGTTGCTGTCAAGGTGTCTGACATCTGAATTCTAAAATGTGCTGCTCACTTCTCTGTCCCACTTTCTCTGAGTCTTACTGGTATTACATGTGGCTACCAGGACTTGCTCCTCTATTGACTTTCACAAATCCTCACGCTCTGGGATCTCCTCTTACTCCATGAGGTCAGTCTTCTATTCTCTCTATCTCTCTCTCTCTCTGTCAGTCTTGCTCGCTCACTCTCTCTTCTCTTCTGACCTATGTTGACATTCCCAGAGTCTCAATACTGGTCTTGACTTTCATCTCTCTATACTCTCCTCAATCCGTGGTTTTAAATACCATCTAAACAATGCATGTTCCAAAATTTGTATCTCTACCCCCAACCCCTCTTTTAGACTCCATATTGATACCTCCTACAGCCAACTTAACATCTCCATTTGGATATCTTACAGATAATCTCAAACTTCACATTGCCAAAGGGGAACCCATTCTTTTCTCTCCTAAAATGATTTCTTCTTCATTCTCCCCGTCTATGTAAATGGAACCCCCTTAGGACCCCATGATGCCCAGACGCCTGGCTTGGACAGTGGCTCCAGTGAGATATCTGGGCATTATGGTTGAGTTCTTCCTCCACATAATGTCCCACATCCAATCAATTAGTAACTCATATTATTTCTACTTCCTAGGTATGTAGAATTCGTTTACTGCTCTCCATTCCCAGCATGAACTCTCTTGCCCAGCCACTTTCTCTCATCTGGGCTAATTCAACAGCCTTCCAACTGGATCTTCTGCTTTGACTTGTTCTCATACAACCCATTCCCATACAGCAAGCAAAGTGTGAGTTTCAAAACGTAAATTGGATTGTGTTACTTCCTTGCTCAAAACCTTTCAATGGTTTCCCTTTGCACAATGAATAAAATCCAAACTCCTTATTGTAACTTAGCAAACCCTACACAATGGACTTTAGCCAAACTCTGGGTCAAGTGAAGAGCTCAGGAAAGCCAGAATTCATGGGCAGAGGTTCTGCAGCTGTGCCATGTAGTACTTCAGTCTATCGGGATCCTAGAATGTGCCAAGGAGAGGGATGCCACCCCCTACCTCTCTTCTTTTTTATTGGCTTTTGTAAAATGTGGTCTCGTTGGAGCCCGGATGCTAGGTGCTCAGGGAAGTCACATGCTCCTGTTGGGAAAGGCAGCAGGGCAGGGTTCGTTGCACCTGGAGGCCCCAGAGGGAGCCAGGGTCATTCATAGCCTTCCCTCTGGGTGACAAACCGTCATCAGTCCCCACCAGAAGCTTGGCCCTCAAGAGGAGCATAGAAATGAAATGTTAACTGGACAGGGACAAAGGACAAAATGAAGGTTTTTAAAGAATGGGAGATATCAGGGCATTTTTGTAAATCATTTGGAAAGAATAAGGGCAGAAGGAGAATTTAACAGTGAGGGAGAAAATTACTGAAACATTGAAGTTGGTGGTTCATGTCAATGGATTTCCAGAATGTATCTTTTCCTGAAATGATTTAGAAAATTAAGCAACTTATGCCTTTATTTTTGATTCTTTAAATACGTTAGTAGAGGTCCAATACACCCAACGGCAAGTTGTTTCAGTGCTCTGTGATGAAATTGGCTGGAATCTAAACCCAGAACTCATTGAGAACAGCTGGGGATGCCTTTATTACCCCATCCCCTGACCAATGTCTTCTGACTGATGTTTGCTCTGTCTTTCCAACAAAGACAGAGGCAAAACAGTGACTGAGTGGCAATGCTCGTCTGCAGCGTTTGGTTGACATTGCACTGTCTGCCCCAAGCAGAGTGTTCCTCTCCCATTAGTACAAATGTATCTGGGTAACCATTCGCATTGTCCTTTCCAGTGTCACCATAGCTCATTATTAGCTGTGACCTGTAGAGCCTGCTCTTTTTGGTATATACTCCTCTGGCATTTCTCCCTGGTGATGTGCCCATTTGTAGTGATTATTTTGGCTGATTTTGCAATGTCCCTTAAATCCTAGAAGATTATTCTACTATGATTTTATAAAACAGCTTTTGCCAATGATAGATGTAGGGATGACCACATGTTATGGACTGTGTGTTTGCGTCCACCTTAAATTCATATGTTGAAATATTCACTTCCAATGGAATGCATGGTAGGAGTTGGGGGTTTCAGAGGTAATTAGTCATGAAGGTGGAGCCCTCACGATGAGATTAGTGCCCTTATAAGAAGAGACAGGAAAGAGCTTGCTTTCTTTCTCTTTGCTCTCCCCCTCCATGTGAGGACACAGCAAGAAGGCAGCTATTTGCAAATAAGGAGGCAGGCCCTCACTGGACACTGGATCTGCTGGCACCTCGACCTTGGACTTCCCAACTGCTAGAACTATCAGAAATAAATTGTTGTGTAAGCCACCCAAACTATGGTAAGTTATCATAGCAGCTCAAACTGACGGAGACCCTGTTGTCCAACTTTGTGCAGCCTGAGGATGAAGCCAACACGCAGGAAAGGGCAAGAGCAAAGGAGTCACAGAGAAATGGATCTTGTGCTCTCTCCACCCATGCCAGGAGCCCACCTGCCTGATGAACTTCCAGGGTGTCATACCTTTCCTTCCTTTTAAGTTAATTTGAGTGGGTGCCTTCTATGCTTTTCAGCTGAAGTCATCCTTCTTCTCATCCCTTCCTTCTGCTCCCTTTCCCCATCATTTTGAAATCAATGTTCATCAAAGAGCTCCATGTACAGACACTTTGGGTTTTCCTTAGATGTCTCTATGTCTTTTTAATTGGCATCCACTAAACTTGCATTCTGAGAATTTCTTGTTCTAGGGCTTCCCAATGTTTCTTTTGGTATTCCAGTGTTATAGAAAGTGACATCAATGTTCAGATAGTCTGACTGCTATTCCCATAGGCCACTGGCATATGTTTAGAAGCACTGTTTTGAAACGTAGGCTGCTTCTTCTCGGAGTGCTCATTGCACCGGCTGCAATATAAAATCTTTTGTCCTATGACACATCATGATTTTGGGTTTGGAGAGATGATCGCTGTGTTTCTACAGTCTATCCATGGCACCAGGTGCGTGTGACTGTTTTGAAGCCTCCTTTTCAAAAGTGACATATCTGACTCTATCTAATGTTCCTTTCATTCACAATAGCAACCTCCAGCATGACATGGCCCCTTTCTCCCAAGGTTCCCGTCACTTCTACTTCACCAATTTGTTCTTCCTTGTTGGTCAGAATTAAGTCCAGAGTAGCAGCTCCTTTCTTACATCCTTTTCTTTCCGAGAGACGAAATTGTCAGCACCGTGAGTCAGGTAGCTCAATTGGGACAGACCCAAGGGATCTATTTGTGGTAATTCACATGCCTGGAAGTAAGGAGTTTGGTGTGAGTTTCAGATCAGCAAAGAAATTGGATTTATTTTGGACACTGTATCAGGAGGAAAAGGATCTGAGCTGTGGGAGAAATTGAGGTGATTGAATAGATCAGATCAAGGCTAAAGGCTGCACTCCTTCCCATCAAGAAATGAAACACTGGCTCGAGGAGGCATTGTGTCTGCTTTAGAAAGACACTGTAAAGTGTTGACAGACCCGGGAAAGACGCAGACCACTTGTCACTGGGCTGGCCAGTCTCAGCCTGAGATGGAGTTGTGGTGGGAGTGGGCATTGCTGGCCACTCTCCTGGTGCTTGTTGCAGGGAGCCAGGTGGGTCTGTCTGCAGGGGACTAGTGGCAGAGGTGACAGCACTAGTCAGTGGCAGATGGCAGGAGGGCTGGAGCACAACAGAGCTTTCTGTACAATTGTTGATAAACAAGATAGTGGGGTGGGTTTCAGGGTCAGCAAGCTCTGGGGTAGAGTCCCCCCATTTCACTCCCAGCTGTGATCAAGGGTAAGTTATGAACCCTTTTGCATGTCAGCATCCTCCCCTGTAAGGTATGGATAATAACACCTGCTTCCTAGGGTGGAGAGAATTTAATTTTAAGGTATGGAATGCACTTAATACAGAATTAGTGCAGAGTAAGGACTCAAAAGGGGAGGGGCACAAGGCAAAAATGAGAAGACTCCATCTGGGACAAGAAAATTCCTGGGGATCTCTATTAAAATCAGGAAAATGAGGCCAGGCACAGTGGCTCACGCCTGTAATCCCAGCACGTTGGGAGGCTGAGGTGGGCAGATCACAAGGTCAGGAGATCGAGACCATCCTGGCCAACATGGTAAAACCCCCGACTGTACTAAAAATACAAAAATCAGCCAGGTGTGGTGGTGGGCGCCTGTAATCCCAGCTACTTGGGAGGTTGAGGCAGGAGAATTACTTGAACTCGGCAGGCAGAGGCTGCAGTGAGCCGAGATTGCGCCACTGCACCCCAGCCTGGCAACACAGCAAGACTCCGTCTCAAAAAAAAAAAAAAAAAAGAAAGAAAGAAAGAAAGAAAAGCAGGGAAGTGAATGCAGGGGACATGTTCAGGGAGGGAAAAGCAGGTGGGAATGGGAGGAGGGCATTTAAAAGGAATTGAGGGCAAGCGATGGCATCCAGAAATAGGGCAGAAGGGATGCTGAGCATAGAGACAGGCAGTGAGAAGCTCCATAGTGTGCAGTGAATGCCTCCTCCATGTAGGCACTGTGTCTGTCATGAAGCATGAAAGAAACAGTAGAACAAGGAACACTTTACTGGTTAGCTATAGGTATCTTATTGCAAAGAGGACACTTAGAAACAGGAGAAAGGGTAGATAGAAATGAAAATCTGACTTCATTACACAAAGTGATATGACTAGCCTAAGCTGACATTCCCAGGGTCTCAGTACGGCTCTTGACTTTCATCTCTCTGTATTCTCCTGTACCTGCCCATGGAAGGAAAAGGTCCTGAGAGGTCTTGAGTCTGTGCATTGCTGGCAACTCGTGGACCTTGTGCAGTGGAGCAAGTAGAAGACTGAGCAGCTTTGAGGACCAGGATTCCTATCACTATGAGGTTTTCTCACATGCATATTGAACTCACAGGAATTTTGCTAAAAGCCCATGGGGAAGACAGTGTACATAATGCAATGCAGCTTATTCCAGCAGCCATTCCACAGAAGGAGCATATATGTCCAGAGTGAGTCTGAGACGGGAGACATCAACTGCTGTTTTCCTGGTTGTTCTCCGGTTTCTCTTCTCAACTTCTCTCATATTGTGAGCCTTTCTTTGGTTGTATGTGATTCTAGGGTATAAAGACACAGTCCTGTAAAGTTGTAGTTTACATGGAAACACTTGGTCACACACTGCATGCTATGGATTGAATGTTTATGTCCCTCCCAAATTCATATGGTGAAAGCTTAATTCCTAATGCGAGAGTATTTGGAGGTGGGGCCTTTGGGAGGTGATGAGGGTTAGATGAGGTTATGAATGTAGGGCCACCATGATGGGGCTGGTGGCCTTATAAGGAGCTGAAGGGACAAGAGTCCTCTTTCTGCCACGTGAGAGTAAGGAAAGAAGGTGTCCCTCTGCAAGCCAGGAAGAGGGCAACTCACCAGGAATTGAATCAGTCAGCACCTCGACCTTGGACTTCTCAGCCTCAAAAACTCTAAAGAATAAATTTCTGTTGTTTAAGCCACTGGGTCTAGAGTATTTTTGTAATAGCAGCCTGAACTAAGGCATTGTATGTCATGATGAATTGCTATATTTTGTAAAATTAGAAAATATGTCAGAGTATAGAGGACCCCCCATACAATTTAAAGAATAAGGAGGAGGAGGAGGAGAAGGAGGAGGAGGGAGAGGAGAAGGTAGAACATAACGTTTCCATCCAGGTTAAGAAACAGGTTAGTGCCTGTACCTTAAAGCTCACTATGTCCTCCTTCCCCAGTAACATTCCCTCTGTTCCTTCTGAGGCAACTACTAGAAGACTTTTCTGATATCTTCCCCTTGCTTTTCTTTAGTTTTTCCACCTATTCACTTATCACTAAATAGTATATTGTTAAGTGTTGTGTGGTTTTGTCTGGCTTATAAACAGAATCATCTGCATGCATTCTTTTTTGTGATCAGCTTCTTGGCTCTACATTGGGTTTGTGGCTTTAGCCAGCTCATTTGATGGCAGCATGCTGTGCCGTTGCATGACCGCACTATCATTCACTCATCGACTCTACTATTGACAAACATTTGTGTGCTTTGCAATTTTTTACCATAGTGAACAATGCTAGTGTGAGCATTCTTTACATGGTTCCTGGTACCTGTATATGAGTTTGTTTAGAATTCCACTTAGGAGTGGTATTTCCGGGATATAGGATATGAGCCTGTTCAAGTTACTAGGTAATGCCAACTGTTAAAGTTGCTGGCCTAACTTATACTCTTATTGGCAAAGAATGAGAATCTTCATCGCTCCACATTCTCACCTCTTCACCATCTTTGCCATTTTATATATGTGTAATATTTTATATGTAACACTATATGTAAGATAGACTGTATTTATATTCCATTTGTGCTTATATAATGCTGTACACAACTGCATTTTCCAAACACTGCATAATATATTTTGTAGAAAATGTAAGGAATTTGCAAGGGTAATATTGTCCATATTCAATTTCCTTTTTCACTTTTGACTTTAGAATATGTCTCCCACATAAAAATGTAGCTCTTCTGTTTTGGGAAATTACATTTTTGGTAGGTCAAGGAGAATTTCTGAGAGAGAAGACCCCAAGAGCATTGTTGAAATACATTTCTGCCTTCTTTCGGTCCATGATCAGTACATCCCAAATACACTGAATTTACAATGTTGAATGGGTTTTTCCAGTCGGGAAGACACAACTTGTCCTCATGAGAAGTTCTAGAATGTTGGAGTCCAGAAGTTGTCTTTGTTGAGGCCTGAAAGGACTGCTGGTGTTGGTGATGACTGGCAGTGAGTGACTTAGTAAAGGATCCAGGGCCACAGGAGCCATACAATCTGATTGAGAGTCTAGAAACTGCATACAGCATTTGCCACTTTGTGTTCTATAATTGAATTACATGGTGACGTAGAGTGTATGTTAGTATAGAGGTGTTTTTATTTAGTTGGCGGTGAATCAGAGAAGAATTATGAGCATGAAGAGAAAAAAACACATTTATAAGTCAACCAGAGTGGACACTGTAGCCTATGTATACCTATATATTTGGATTTCTTAAAAATTGTGTCTTTTTTTTTCATAAACAGAATTAAAAACAAAAACCATATGATCATCTCAATAGACATAGAAAAAGCATTCAATAAAATCCAACATTCCTTCATGACAAAAATCTTCAACAAACTAGGCATAGAAGGGATTTACCTCAAAAGAATAAAAGCCATATATGACAAACCCACACCTACCATGATACTGAATAGGCAAAAGCTAGAAACATTCCCCCTAAGAACTGGAACAAGGCAAGGACTCTCACCCTTCCTATTCAACATAGTACTGGAAGTGCTAGCCAGAGAGATTAGGCAAGAGAAAGAAGTAAAACTCATCACATCCAAATAGGAAAAAAGAAAGTCAAATTATTTCTCTTTGCTCCTCATAGGATTCTATACCTAGAAAACCCTAAAGATTCTACCCAAAACTTCTCGACTGAATAAATGACTTCAGCAAAGTCTCAGGGTACAAAACCAATGTACAAAAGTCAGTAACATTTCTATACACCAATAACATTCCAGCTGAGAGCCAAATCAAGAATGCAATCCCGCATACATCTCCAAATACCTAGGAATATACCTAACCAAGGAACATACCCAACCTAACCTAATGCCCCCAAAATAGCTGCACACACCCAGAAAATATCTAGAAATATACCTAACCAAGGAGGTGAAAGATCTCTAAGAGAAGAACTACAGAACACTGCTGAAAAAGATCAGAGATGACACAGACAAATGGAAATGCATTCTGTGCTCATGGATTGGAAGAATCAATATTGTTAAAATGTGTATACTGCCCAAAGCAATCTACAGATCCAACACAATTCCTATCATGTTACCAATGTCGTTTTTCACAGAATTAGAAAGAATTATTCTAAAATTCATATGGAACCAAAAAAGAACTAGAATAGCCAAGACAATCCTAAGCAAAAAGAGCAAATCCAGAGGTATCACATTCCCAGACTTCAAACTATACCATGAGGCTGTGTAATCAAAACAGCATGGTACTGCTACAAAAATAGACACACAGACAAAAGGATCAGAATAGAGACCCCTGAAATAAGGCCACACACCTACAACCAACTAATCTTCAGCAAAAGAGACACAAATAATAGGGAAAGGATACCTCATTCAGTTAATGTTGCTGGGAAAACTGGCTAACCATATGCAGAAGGATTGAACTGGATCTCCACCTTTCACCATCTATAAAAGTTAACTCAAGATGGATTAAAGACTTAAATGTAAGATGTCAAACTATAATAATTCTAGAAGAAAACCTAGGAAATACTCTTCTAGACACTGGCACAGGCAAAGAATTTATGATGAAGACCCCAAAAGTAAAAGCAACAAGATAAAAAATACACAAATGGCACTTAAACTAAAGAGCTTCTGCACAGCAAAAGAAACTATCAACAGAATAAACAGCCACCTTACAGAATGGGAGAAAATATTTGAAAACTAGGCAGCCAGACAAAGGAGTAATATCCAGAATCTATCAAAAACTTAAATCAACAAGAAAAACAACTCCATTAAAAAGTGGGCAAAGGGCATGAGCAGACACTTCTCAAAAGAAGACATACAAGCAGCCAGCAAACATGCAAAAATGCTCAGCATCATTAATCAGTGAGATGCAAATCAAAACTACAATGAGATACCATCTCACACTAGTCAGAACGACTATGAAAAAGTCAAAAAATAACATGCTGGCAAGGTACAGAGAAAAGGGAAAATTTATACAATGTTAGTTAAAATGTGAATTAGTTCAACCCCTGTGGAAAGCAGTTTGGAGATTTCTCAAAGAACTAAAAATAGAATTACCATTCAACTCAGCAATCCCATTACTGGGTATATACCCAAAGGAAAATAAATTGTTCTACCAAAAACATACCTGCATTCATATGTTTATCACGGCACTATTTATAATAGCAAAGACATGGAATCAACCCAGGTGCCCGTTAACAGTGGACTAGATAAAGAAAATGTACATATACATATGGAATACTATGTACCCATAAAGAGAACAAAATTAGGCCTTTTGCCCCAACATGGATGCAGCTGGAGGTCATTATCTTAAGTGAGTTAATGCTGAAAAAGAAAACCAAATACTACATGCTCTCACTTAAAAGTGGGAGCTAAATATTAGGTACACATGGAAACAAATATAAGAACAATAAGCACTAGTGATTCCAAAAGAGGAGGGAGGAAGGTGGGCAAGGGTTTAAAAACTACTTATGGGATACTATGTTCACTACTTGGGCAACAGGATCATTAGCAGCCCAAACGTCAGCATCACACAATATATCCATGTAACAAACCTGCACACACACCCCTTGAATCTAACATTAAAAAGAATGTTTTGTGTATTTTAATAGCAGTAGCTTTAATATAAAGTATAATAGGAAATTAGGATATATAAACTGCTAGAGTTGTTATTTTATTAGATAAAATGGGAAGAGCTTTAATATTTACTTACTATAAAGCCAGACAATGAGAGCAGTTACAAAAATCTACGTGAATATACAGCTGCAAATGGTAACAAATTCCTTTATTTTGTTTTTAAGTATTTTTACATTAACTTTATTTTTTAGAGCAGTTTTAGGTTCACAGACAAACTGAATGGAAATTACAGAGTTTCTCTATATCACCTGCACATTTCCCCAACAACCTCCCCCACTAGTGACATCCCCTTAGAGTGCTGCATTTGTTACAACTGAAGATCCTACATCGACATCTCATTATCACCCAAAGTCCAAAGTTTACATTCGGGTTCACTCTTGCTGTTATGTATTTTATGGGTTTTGACAAATGTATAATGACATGTACTTACATTGTAGTGTCATTCAGAGTAGCTTCACTGCCCTAAAAATCCTCTGTGTTCTGCCTATTCATCCCTCCTTCCCCACTAACTCCTACCTTTATTTTTTCAGAATACCTCTAGAGACTTAGAAAGTGGTGAATAAAAAATTGTTATATCAAAGTTAAATGTTAATAATATCTAACAGCATTTGCATTTTCAGAAATAAAAAAAATAAAAAATCCATCATGTTGAAAAGGCAAGTCACGGACTGGGAGAAAATAGTTATAACACACATATCTGACAAATGCCTAGTGTCCAGATATTTTTTAAAAAAGGACTCTAATTCATCAAGAGTTAAAAGACAAGCCTCTGATAAATGGGCAAAAGACTTGAAGGATACTTCACAAAAGGAGGTATGGAAATGCTCAATAAGCATAGAAAAAGGTGCTTGATAAAACAAAACCCACAAACCCCACATGATCTGCCTCTTGGTACCTAGGAGAACAGATAAAATAAATGAGACTGACAACACCAAGTGCTAGCAAGGATTTGGACTGACTTGAACATTCATGCTTTTTTGGTGGGCGTATTCCAACTTCTCTGGAAAACTTCTTGAGAGTTTCATGCAAGGTTAGGCATTTACCTCTCCTATGACCTAGCAATTCTCTTTCTAGGTATTTACCCAAAGGAAACGAAAATATAAGATTGGAAAAAGACTTATATGAGAATATAGTAGTTTTAGTTCCAAGAACCCGAACTGGAGACAACCCATATATTTATCTACAGGTGAAGGGATAAAGAAAATATGAAATATTCATATCATGTGATATTACTGAACAATAAAGTCAGAAAATTCAGGGGCTCATCAGGGTGGATGGGAGGCAGGACTAGATTGCAGCTGTGACTCAGATGGACAGAACAGTGTACAGAGGCTCATACCATGAATTTTAGCTCCAGAATGACTGTAAGAACAAACTGGGAATCCCAAGAGGACAACAGACCCTCTGAAGGAAGTGGACTGCTTCTGCAGGACCCAGGAGATGCCCCAGGTGCTCAGCCACAGCAAGACCTGCCAAGGAGAGTCTGAGCTCAGACACGCCTAGCTCTGCCCCCACATGATGGGCCTTCCCTATCCACCCTGATAGCTGAACAAAAAGGGCATATGCTCTTGGGAATTCTAGGGCCCCTACCACTGCTGGCTCCTCTACCTAATCCCATGGCTGATGCTCTCTGGAAAGCACTACTTCCCAGCAGAAGGCCAACTAGCACAAAAATAGAAGATTAAACCACCAAAGCTAAGAACCCTCACAGAGTGCATTTCACTCCCCCACCACCTCCAGCTGAACACGTGCTGGTATCCACAGCTGAGAGACCCATAGACAGTTCACATAACAGGATTCTGTGCAGACAACCCCCAGTACCAGCCTGGAGCTGGGTAGACTTGCTGGGTGGCTAGACCCAGAAGAGAGGTAAAAGTCACTGCAGTTTGGCTTACAGGAAGCCAAATCCATAGGAAAAGGGGGAAAGTACTATGTCAAGTGAACACCCCATGTGACAAAAGAATCTGAACAGTCTTCAGCCCTAGACCTTCCCTTTGACAGAGCCTACCCAAATAAGAAGGAACCAGAAAACCAACTCTAGTAATATGACAAAACAGCCCCCCAAAATCACACTAGCTCACCAGCAGTGAATCCAAACAAAGAAGAAATCCCTGATTTACCTGAAAAAGAATTCAGGAGGTTAGTTATTAAGCTAATCAGAGAGGCACCAGAGAAAAGCAAAGCCCAATGCAAGGAAATCCAAAAAATGATACAAGAACTGAAGGGAGAAATACTCAAGGAAATAGCATAAAAAATCAAAACTTCAGGAAACATTGGACACATTTATAGAAATGCAAAATGCTCTGGAAAGTCTCAGTAATAGAATTGAACAAATAGAAGAAAGAAATTTGGAGCTCGAAGACAAGATCTTCAAATTAATCCCATCCAACAAAGACAAAGAAAAAAGAATAAGAAAATATGAACAAAGCCTCCAAGAAGTCTGGGATTATGTTACATGACCAAACCTAAAAATAATTGGTGTTCCTGAGGAAGAAGAGAAATCTAAAAGTTTTGAAAACATATCTGGGGGAATAATTGAGGAAAATTTCCCCAGCCTTGCTAGAGACCTAGACATTCGAATATAAGAAGCACAAAGAACGCCTGGGAAATATATGGCAAAAAGATCATCACCTAGGCACATTATCCTCAGGTTATCTAAAGTTAAGATGCCAGAAAGAATCTTAAGAGCTGTGAGACAAAAGCACAAGGTAATCATAAAGTAA